>NC_000005.10:169700717-170003748 GCF_000001405.40 Homo sapiens | reverse complement strand
GAACCCACCTGGCTTTTAAAGTCTCATACAATTTCCATGGTCCCCAGTGCTGTCTCCTTCAACAACTGCCCACCTAGGTGGCCTGGTCTGCTCAGACTCCACGGAGATCACAGGAGCATTTTGGTCTCCATGGCTTCACTCACTGTGGTTCTCACACCTGCAGGGATTGTGTCCTATTCTTACATCCAAGCTGGGTTCAAGACCCGCTTCCTTCATGAAGCCTTCCTAGACTGCAGGGCATATTGGGTCTGCCTGATCACTTCCTGATTTGAGGAGCACTTATTGTGTGCAACCATGGATGTTAGTCCACTGTTCTGCACCTGGCCTTGTGCTCCATTTGTTTCTCATGACAGCACTGTCTGGTAGTCAAGAGCACATGTGTCAGTGTCTTGCAGACCAGGGTGTGAAAACCAGTTCTATTGCTTATTAGCTGGGTTGCCTTTGGCTAGTGACTTGACCTTTCTGAGCCTCATTCTCCTCACTTGTAAAATACCCAACATAATGGTACCTACCATAAAGGACTGTTGTAATTACTGGATCAATAATTTGAGAACGAGGCATCCACTATAGGCTTGACACCAAGTGCTCAGTAAATGGAATGGTGGTGTTGATGGTAGCATTGGTTGTGGAGTATTTGTAAGCCCTGTCTTCTCCAATTGTAAGCTCCACAAGTACCAAGATTTTGTCTCCCATTTATTTGTATCTCTAATTCCATGCTCAGCACAATGACTCGAATACAGCTGGGCTCCTGAGAATATTTATTTATCTATTGCCGTATTGTCAGAGAAATTCTTCAAAGGGTCCCAGATTTTTCTTTCTGCCCTGCTAGAAACTGTCTGGTGATATTTCTACTAAGTGCCTAGCTCAGCTGACTAGGGGAAGCTACAGTGTGTCTTTAGCAAAATGCACAGGTCTCTTTGCCCTGGGGAAGAGATGAGGTGATTTCCGATTGGGAATTTAATATTTTGAAATTATAGGACAATAGAGAGTTAGAACTGGAATAAATTTAAGTGTCATCTGTTCTGACTACCATATTGCACAGAGGTAAACAGTAAAGTCCAGATAAGGTAAAAGACCACCCAAAGTCATACTGCTAGTGGGTATAATGAGAATTTAGTTACTTTAATTAACTCTCAAAAAATTATAAAAGTAATATACACACATAGTTAAAAAAATAAATGATAGAAAAGATTAAATGGGAGAAAGTTATTTTCCATCCTACCTTGGATCCAAGTCTAATTCCTCAGAAGAGAATGTTAACAATTCCTTGGATAGCCTTTCAGAATTTTTTTATGCATAAACAAATGTATGTACAGACATCTTTTTTAAAAGTCTGCTGCACTTGGCTTTTTTCTCTTACCAATATATCTTGCAAATGTTTCTATATTAGCATATACAGATCTGCTTCATTCTCTTTTATTGCTACATTGTATTCTATGACGATGTACTTTAATTTTAACCAAATTCCCTATTTATAGACATTTAGCTTGATTCCAATTTTTTTTTTTTTTTCGCTAGCAACAGTGCTGTAATCAACGCCTTTATTTAAACATCTTTATGCATGGGAAACTACATTTGTAGTATACATTCCTAGAACCGGAATTTCTAAGACACAGGGTCTATGCATGTTTAGTTGTTGTTTGTTTTTTGTCTTTGTTTGTTTTTATAGATACTGTCAGGTTGCCTTCCAGGGTTTCAGTTCAATGACCAGTTCCATTATCATGGACAAGGTACCCTACCTTTCTGAGTCTCAGTAACTTCATCTAGAAAATGAGGACAATAGTATCTAAAGGGTATGGTTGTAAGGACTAAATGAGGAAATCACTGGCTAGCAAACTCTCAGTCTTGCAAAAGCCTTCTCCATTCATCCAAGCAAAGTAGATTCACCCATTATTCACCCATATTATACCCTGTTCACAACATCTGTGTCATATTTTAAACAAAATTAATTTATTTTCTGTCTCCTCTACTGGCTGTCAGCATCAAGCAAGCAAGAACCTTCTTTTTAAATTCACTCTTGTTCACACAGTATCGCACATCACGTCTGAGCCAGCACGTGCTTGGGAAATTATTTTTTGAATGAGTTCATTAACGAACCAAGCACACTGCATGCATTCTGGTTAAATCCTCCCTAAAAAAAATATGAGATTTGTATAATTATTCTCCCCATTTTAGAGATCAGGAAACTGAGGCCCAGAGAGGTTCAATATCTTGTCCGACATCACAGAGCTACAAAACGGTGAAGGTGGCATCTGAATCCAGTTTATCTGACTCCAGGACTTGTATTCTTCACCACCCTGCTCTTCTGCTGAAATCGCTCTTCTCCTTTCTCAGTGTCCTTTCAGCTTTGTTGGTTAAGGTTGTCACTGGTCCATCCGATGTTTATAAAGACTATAGTCTTTATAGCAGAGAGATCCAGGATTTTTTAATCAGAATCAGGATTCTTTCTCAGTGACCTTGAATCATTATTTATCCCAAATTTCAATAAAAAAAAATTAACCAGCATGCAGTGGTGCTGAAATGCAGTCAGCCTGCCCTCCTCTGCAGGGCAGAGGCACAGCTGTCATGACCACTCTGGGGATGCTTCTGATTTGGGGAGTGGAAGGTCCCAGGTGTGGACTCAGGTGAGAAATATCAGACAAGAGAATGTCTGGGGCCTAAAAGCTGAAGCAGGCAGGGCTGGGGAAACTGCACCCAAGCATGTGCCCACCGTTCTGCCTGGTGGAACCAACCATCCCACCATGAGTCCCCCTGTGGTGGCGCTATGGGCAGTTGCAAGGCTTTGATGACTGCTCCCTCTGTATGTGTCTCTCCCTCGCCTGTTTTTGGCATCACTGTTTACATTTCCCATTATAAAGACCAAGGTGGCTCTCATGCCTCTACTAATGGCTAGAAATAGTCTAGAAGTTTTTCATTTCACAGGATATCAAAACTGGTTCCCAGGATAGGCTGGTAATCCAAAAATGCCTCAAGGCCTAGGCAGAAATGGCCACACCTAGAGCCAATTAGAGCATCCCCAAGGAGAGAGAATGATCTCAATACCAAAGACAGTGCTGCCTAACACAGAGTCTTTCTGGAGCCCAAGTATAATCTCTGATTCCAGGGCCAATCAGAGATTTCAACATGGAGAGTCTCATCTTCCAGCCAATCATCTCAGCGCTCTCTATCCCAGTGCCAGTAAGAACTAGAAAGGGCAGAGAGTGCTTCTGGATCTAAATAGAGCTGTCTCCTGGAATCCAGAGGCACCCGGTTCCTAAGAAACAGAGCAGAAGAGTGAAAAGAGGATGTGCTTTGCAGACAGGCCTGGGGTTGAATCGCAGCAGCCCCATTTATTGGTTAGATGACCTTTAACAGAAAAGTCAATCAATTCTCTGAAGCTCAGTTTATTCACCAGGGAAATGGGTATATCACAACCTGACAAGATTATGATGAGAATCAAAATTTTCTAAGTAGATGCCCAATAAAGTTAGTCACCCTCTTCAAAAGCCTGGATGCTGGAAGATGGATTTGTATAGCCTTCTATCAAGATTCCAAGATCCTTGAGGGTAGGGCAGTGTTCTTTGCTTCTGAGTTCCTTGAAGCATGTTGCAATAGTCTGGGCCCATAAGAATTGCTCTTAAACAAAAATACCTGCTGATTTGAATTTGAAATCCTCTCTTGGTCTTCCCTGACCACATGAACTGATGCAGACACCAAGGACCAGCATCCTGAATAGGGCCTGGAATGCAAGTGATCTTAGCCGCAACCAGAAAACACCATTTTTATAATTCCCAGTTCTTGTCACCTACAGAGTGGCAGTCACCAAGCTTCTTACTTTCTGCCCTTTGAATCACAAAACCACAGTTCTGGGAAAGATATTAGGGATAATCTCATTGCACCTGCTGCTCCTCTGGTCAGTGGCTGCCAAGACAGGCAGCAGTCAGTGATGGATGCTGTTCCTGCTGATATTAAATGCATAATTAATGAGCCCGTAAGAAGGAGACAAGGCGTGTTCCAGGCAGGGTACAGAGAACAAATCCATTCTTACACAGGGGGAGGAAGAGGTAGGAGAACAAAGATAAGGTTGGAAAATGATCCTGTTCTTGGGTACTTTTCAATAAATAGCTATGGAAGCCTCATTAGGAAAAGAGACTTACTTTATTTTGTAATGTTGGCCACTCTTCTGTTTTACAGAATCTTGTGGGTGTGACAGCCCCAGGCAATGTTGTGGTGACCAGAAAGAGGCCTCCTGTCCTGTTTATCAAGGACTGACATGCATTCCCAGCCCTGACACATTTAGGGGCATGATCATCATAATCATTATCCAAATAATAAAATTACTATTATTATAATGAGCTAACACTTACTAAATGGCTGCTATGTCCCCAGCACTGTTCTAAATGCTTTACGTGAATTCACTTAATCCTCACAACAATCCAATGATATAGCTGCTATTAGTATCCTGATTTAATGTTGAGGAAACTGAGGCACATAGAGATGAAGTAATTTGTCTAAAGTCACTCAGCTTGCAAGCCCGTACTTCTCATGTATGAAACCCTCAATCTCTGAGCATCTCTCAAATACAGATTTTCTTTCAGGAAAACAGGATATAAACCTAAAGGAATGCCCTGAAGGACTGAAGTTGAGCTTCTCTTGGAAAATATCCATCTAAGAGCATGGAAAATAGTGAAGTCAGGAAAGCAAGTTTGAGGCTGCAATAGCCGATACCCACGGAAAGAGATGAACAAACTAGCTCGCAGTTATATGGACCAAACCCTGTCACCTCTGGCCCCTAGGTATGGTGTTCCAAGTTGCCCCTCCCAAAAAGCAGAAACTTCCCTAAACATACCCATGACCAGAGCCTGCAGGCCTCTCAGCCACATTTGGAAGGGAATCAAACATCTCTCCTGATTCAAACCAGCTAAAGAGATATGCTTTGTTCCCGTGTCGAAGATTTATAATGCCAGGAGAAACTCTCACCCAGACCCTGTCAGGCAGTCAACCCACTGCAAGGGTGAAAGTCTATATCAGGCACGTGGCTGTAGTCATCTGGGTGGGCTTTGGTGTCAGCCACCACTGTGTTCTGGTCCCAACTTTGCATTGATGTGCTCGGTGACACCATGCTATCTCCTTATTATCTCTGAGTCTTACTTCCTGCCTCCTTAGAGCAGAAAAAATATTAGTAATAGTGGCCAACTTGTAGGGTGGCTGTAAAGACTGCAAAAGATAATGCCCTTAAAGTGCTTCTCGTGAGATCTGGCATGTATTATTAACCATCAGAAAATGGCAGCTACGCATTTTATTATCGCTCTCATTGTCACTCAGTTGCCTGATTTGAATGCAAGGTAGTTCAAGAGACTCTTGTTCAAAGATCCTGTTCATCCTCTCAGCAAATACTCATCTACTCATAGGCTGGTGCTCTCAGAAGGGTGAATCTCACAGGCCTCAGCCCAGACGTCACCTCCTCAAGGAGACCTACTATGTGCCAGGTACAGAGCATAGAGTTGTTGTGTGTTCAAGGTCTTTATACTCACGAGGCTTAAGTTCTATGGGAGGAAAGAGAAAATACGCAGGTAGACAAGAAAGATGAGTTCTAATGATATTTAGTGCTATGAAGAGACTCCAGGAAGCCACATGGTTTTGCATAATGACTGTGGAGTGAGTGGGGGTGATCCTCAGGGAGGAGTCAGGAGGGGAGGCCTCTTTAAGGAGGAAGTATTTGAACAGAAACTTATGGGACCTTACAAGTGGATTCTTCCAGCAAGCCCTTCGTCACATTCCAGTTCTGGAAAAACCCTATGAAGTAGAAAGGGTAGTTGTTGCATTTTACAGATGACTCACTTGAGGCACGGATACAGTCCAGGCCTTGCCTGAAGTTGCTCAGCTTCTGAGAGGCGAAAGCCCAGAGAGGAACTGAACAACTTAGATGAGCAAGTGTGGGGAAAAGCAAGAGAGATCAGATTGTTACTGTGTCTGTGTAGAAAGAAGTAGACATAGGAGACTCCATTTTGTTATGTACTAAGAAAAATTCTTCTGCCTTGAGATTCTGTGACCTTACCCCCAACCCCGTGCTCTCTGAAACATGTGCTGTGACAACTCAGAGTTGAATGGATTAAGGGCGGTGCAAGATGTACTTTGTTAAACAGATGCTTGAAGGCAGCATGCTCCTTAAGAGTCATCACCACTCCCTAATCTCAAGTACCCAGGGACACAAAAACTGCGGAAGGCCGCAGGGACCTCTGCCTAGGAAAGCCAGGTATTGTCCAAGGTTTCTCCCCATGTGATAGTCTGAAATATGGCCTCGTGGGAAGGGAAAGACCTGACCGTCCCCCAGCCCGACACCCATAAAGGGTCTGTGCTGAGGAGGATTAGTAAAAGAGGAAGGAATGTCTCTTGCAGTTGAGACAAGAGGAAGGCATCTGTCTCCTGCCTGTCCCTGGGCAATGGAATGTCTCGGTATAAAACCCGATTGTATGCTCCATCTACTGAGATAGGGAAAAACCGCCTTAGGGCTGGAGGTGGGACCTGCGGGCAGCAATACTGCTTTGTAAAGCATTGAGATGTCTATGTGTATGCATATCTAAAAGCACAGCACTTAATCCTTTACATTGTCTATGATGCAAAGACCTTTGTTCACGTGTTGGTCTGCTGACCCTCTCCCCACAATTGTCTTGTGACCCTGACACATCCCCCTCTTCGAGAAACACCCACAAATGATGAATAAATACTAAGGGAACTCAGAGGCTGGCGGGATCCTCCATATGCTGAACACTGGTTCCCCGGGTCCCCTTATTTCTTTCTCTATACTTTGTCTCTGTGTCTCTTTCTTTTCCAAATCTCTCGTCCCACCTTACGAGAAACACCCACAGGTGTGGAGGGGCATCCCACCCCTACAGCAAGGAAAAAACACCATCATTCCAGTTCATGAGCTCAGTGCCTACTACCCCCTAAGCCCCCACTGGAAGAGATAGATGCTAGGGATCGGAGACTTCCCTGGAGGGGATCCTTTTGTGGGGGGCCTTCCCTCGCACATCTCCAGGCAGAGGAAGCAATCTGGACTTTCCCACAGAGTTTGTGCTTCTTGGGCCTGGACCTGGGGCAGGTGTGTCATTCTGTTTGCCCCAGGCACATACTTTTAGGACCCTGAATCTCTTAGAGGTCCCAGTTATTGGCTGAGCACTAAAAATGACTTTCAAAGGAATCAGGAAACCACAAAGTTGTACTGGAGAATTTGATTGTAAATCATTTTTCATTGTCAATGACTGGCTGCCCTTTTGGTTCCAGAGAATAGAAAAGTAAAAAAAAGGTGATACATTTTTAAAAGGTGGTACAGACTCTGACAATGAATGAATGCAAATCTCCTTGTTAATATAAGAGGCCATTATACCGTCACATTTGCATATGATGATCAGTTGATGACTATTTAATCAAGGCCCTGGTTGAAAGCCTGAGAATTTTCTCCCCAGCCATAACCCCCCGTGGGAATCCCTGGAGAGACTGGGACAGCTTCTGTGGCCTTTGGGATGTGTCTGATGGAGCAATCAGCCCAGAATGTCAGAGACGCCCTGGGCAGCTCCAAGGGTAGCTCTGGTGGCTTATACTCACCTGGAACTCAAAGTTCGTGTGTTCTAGGAACTTCTGGTTCATGGTTTCTGCAAACTTGTTGATAGCTCTCAGGAAGACCCTGGAAGAGGGCAGAAAATTACCAGACTGTCTGAGCATGATCCCTTAAGTTCCTTCGTCCTTATGCCAGACTAAAATTCCCTTACCCTCTTTGGAGAGAGGCTCAAAGGCCAAATTACTGATTTAGAGAGGTCAGCTAATGCAGATTAACAACTATTCACACTCTAGACTCGGGGCTGTTTGCCTTGCAAGAACTCAATAACTGTTCGACTTCTTTTTGAAAATTTGCATTGTCTTATGTTTAAGATATTACAAGCTTATGGAAGAAAATTCATGCTATCCAGAAAAGATCTAAAGAGAAATCACCCCCCCCATCCCCAAACAAACAAATAAACAACCTGCTACCACATCGTATCACCTAACGAAAACTGTCATCCATGTTTTGATGAACATAATTTCAAGGGTCTCCCTACATGTATATACATGAATGATATTTTCAGGGTATCATTTTGATAAATGGGGCTAAACAACAAATGCTGTTTCACAGCCTGTCGTTTTTACTCAACAATAAATTGTGTACTTCTTTCAGGCCAATGAATGTAGATATATATCATCCTTTTTAATCACTGAAGAGCATTCCACTGTATGGATGTATCACAGTTTAATCCATTTCTTATTGATGGATCTTTTTGGGTTTTTTTCTCAGTTTTTTCTGTAATAAACAATGCTCCAGTGATCACTCTTCTGTGTATATCAAATACCTCCTATATATACCCCTTCTCCACTGTTCTCCTCCAAGTAATAATACTGTTCAAATGGGCCGGGTGCAGTGGCTTGCGCCTGTAATCTCAGCACTTTGGGAGGCTAAGGTGGGTGGATCACTTGAGGTCTGGAGTTCAAGACCAGCCTGACCATCGTGGTGAAACCCTATCTCTACTAAAAATACAAAAATTAGCCGGGCGTTGTGGTGCACGCCAGTAATCCCAGCTACTTGGGAAGCTGAGGCATGAGGATCCCTTGAACCCAGGAGTTGGAGGTTGCAGAAATCTGAGATCATGACACTGCACTCCAGCCTGGGCAATAGTGAGAGTCTCTCTCAAAAAAAAAAAAAAAAAAATAAAAAATAACAATACTGGTCAAATGTCATGCATGTTTAACATTTTGGTACTTGTCAATTTGCATTTCTCCTTAAGTGTCTTCCTCTCCATGTTGTTCTCTCCTTCCTCCTTGCCAAGCCCTTCTGACTGGTCTTGCAGCCTCCAGTCTCTTCATCCTGAAAAGCTCCTTCCCCTAAAGGACAGCTCCATCATATCAATCATTGACTTCATGGCTCTCCACTGCCTACAGGGTGAGTCCAAGCTCTTTCTCTGGACAGTCTCTCCCCTCATGATGGGACCCCAACCTTCTTTTCTAGGCTTATTTCTTGCTAGTACCCTGTGTTTCTGGTATTTCCCAAATCCCTCTCTATGTTCTTTCTTTGTGTAGAATGTCCCTTGCCTTCTCATCTCTGAAAGTCAGGATTCTTCATGGTCATTATCCTTCATGGTCCAGATCGAGAGCCTTCTTCATTTAGTTTTCCACCATCCCACCAGCCTTAAGTGACTGAGACCACCCCCATTCTCTGAGGTTATTTCTGGCACCCCTCCTATGAGCACACTTTACATCCAGCTGTCTGTGTGCAGCCGCATCTCTAATTTCAGACTATGAGCTTCTGCAGGGCAGGGTCTGCTGCACCCATGTGTACCCCAAGGGATCCTCATTGCAACCCCCTTTCCCAACATTCATCATGGTCTAGGATGATTTACTTGTATGACTCAGTAACATCTCTCTCCTTTGGTAGATTCTACTCTTCTGGGAATCACAGACTCCCTCTATGCTCTCACATACTCCCCAGTCCACATGACTTTAACTCCTAAATTTGTATATCCATCCAGGCCTCTCCCCTAAACACCAGCTTGCACTCCAGCTCTATGATCTATACCCATACTTGAGTAACTTTTAGGCATCTCAAGCTTACATGTCAAAAACTAAACTCCGGCCACCTGCCCTCCCTACACCCACCCTGAAATACTGCTTTCTGTAGTCTTCCCAACTAAGTTAAGGACAATTCTATTCTTCCAATTGCTCAGAGTGGGGGGAAAAAAGGAAACAATTTTGGTAACGTCCTTGACTATGACTTTCTCTCATATCCTACACCTGGACTTTACAGAACACATTTGCATATAAGAAGTGTCCCCTCCCAGGGAACAAGAAGGTTGGGTTATTTACACCTTAGCTGTAGCCCCTCACTGATTGAAAGTTGCTCCAATGAGCAGGAAGTCCCTGGTACTTCTGGCCTGTCCTGCAGGTGAGCTGAGCACTCTGTAGCCAGACAAAGCCCAGGGAAAGAAAGAAGTAGGAAAGCCTCACTGAAGCTGCCAGTGGATTTTGGGTGGTCCAAGAGTCGGTGGGTGGAGTATCTGCAGCATTTGCTACATCAGGCACTGCAGGGCCAGGTGTTCATTAAAATACTTTCATGACTGTTGAACACGGAAGACAGTGTATCCTGGCACTGGAATCACAGGATTTGGACACACACACACACACACACACACACAAATGGATGTGATTTCTGGCTTTGTTACTCTCCAGCTGTGTGGAATTGAAGCATGTTAATATAACCCCTGAAGTTTCAGTCTCCTCCCTTGTGAAATAGCAGTAATGTAACCTTTTTCACAGGGTCACTAGCTGAGGTGGCTTCAGACCCCTCTGGACTGCTTCATTCTTCTAAAGGCAAGAGCCAGACAACAGGGCAGACAGAGGACAGGGATCAGTCAGCAGACAGTTTTGAGGCAGGCAGCACCATACAAAAACAGAAATAAAAATCCCACAAAATCTGCCACCCCATCAGGCTGTCACAAAGTGAGATTTCTTTGGTTTTGTTAGTCTGTTATTCACCAATATGTCTTTGAAACAACATTGTATTTTGTGTTCTCTCCTTAAAGATTAGTTATCTGATCCCCCAGATGGAAATGCATTGAGTGCCTGTCACATTATATGTAAACATCTCAGAAACTTGAATACAATATCAAAGAGGGGGCTTTCACACATTCTCAGCACCAACAAAGCTATCAGTCATTCCAGTAACAGTCATTATTTTGGTTGTCAGCTTAAACTTGTCTCCAGCCTCAAAGGCCAGCCTAATGACCGCGAATTGATTTGCCCCTGTGCTGATGATGGGGATTAGTAGCAGGTAAATCAAAGTTCCTCCCTTTCTCTAGAGTCTTTCATAGCCACACACTGGAAATCAGAATATCACTTAACTTTGGGTGCCCATGTTTGGGTTTGGAAAAGTAAGGCATTTTTCTTCTCATTTTTCTTGTTTTTTTTTTAAAAACAGTAATTGGCTGGGCACGGTGGCTCACGCCTATAATCCCAGCACTTTGGGAGGCCGAGATGGGTGGATCATGAGGTCAGGAGTTCGAGACTAGCCTGGCCAACATGGTGAAACCCCATTTCTACTAAAAATACAAAAATTAGCTGGGCGTGGTGGCGAGTGCCTGTAATCCCAGCTACTCGGGAGGCTGAGGCAGGAGAATTGCTTCAACCAGGGAGTTGGAGGTTGCAGTGAGCCGAGATCACACCACTGCACTCTAGCCTGGCAACAGAGCGAGACTCCGTCTCAAAACAACAACAATAATTGTACTTAAAGCCTAAGCACTCATATGGTAAAGTGGGTTAGGACGAAAACACACTCAACTCTATTACTCTCAACAATGAACCTGAATTGTTGAAAACAAAGTTCGTTATCAGATCTCAACCTAGCACTTGCTGTGTCTCGTCTGTGTTGCTTAGCGGCTGTATAGGAGGAAGAACAATCCCAACCATGGTTTTCAACTGCCTGCCAGGCTCCATGCTAGGGCTTTGCATGGATTCTTTCCTCTGTTGCTTTTGTTTTTCTAATGCTCACATATCTCTGAGTTAGATATGGTTTCCACTTTAGAGACGTGAGTTTAGGTAACTTTCCCAATAGCCCAGCCAGTACATGTAAAATCAGGATTTACATGAAGTTACACGGCCTGCAGAATCTAGGTATTTAACCACAGGGCAGTTCTGTCCACAGGGACATCTCTGTAGTTCTGTTCAATCCAAGCCGTGAGCTCACTTTATTAATAATGACAATGATGGAAGCATCAATTGCCATAATTCATATGGCCTGTGCTAACAGTTCTACAAACATTATTTCATTTAATTCTATAAACTGAAATAGGAGCTACTGTTATACCCATTAAACATAAGAGGAAACTGAGTCTTAGAAAGAGCAAATAATTTCCCCACATTCAAACAGCAAAGAAGCAGAAGAGTCCAGACCCAAACTCAGGTCTGTCTTTCTCTAAAGTGTTTTCAGTTAACCAGAAGGACACACTGGCTCCTTGAACTTCCGGCACTGGCATGCTTCCACTAATGCCTGCCATGCACGCAGCCCTTCGCACTTTGTCCGCATCATTCTGCTGCCTGCCTACAGCTGACTGGGTCCAGAGCCAACACGTGACTCAAAGCAGTCTTGTATGGGCTGGCCAGCAGCCCATGGGTGGTCTTATGGATATAGCACTGTGCAATGGAAATACCCAAGCCTGGACAGAAGTAGATCCATCCTTTCAAATAGCCCACAAGGAGGGAGAACGCAGTCTGAGCCTTGAGCAGAAGCCATGGGCAGATGATTCCATGAGGAACCAGAAGCCATATGCAATAGAGCAGGGAACAGATAAGTCAGCTGTTGTGAGTAGGAAGAAGCTGGCAGAAAGAGGAGCCAAACCCAGGCTTGCTACCCTCAAAACTGTTCCATGTGAGGCCTCACAGAGCCTGCTGGCTCAAGTCCCCAGTTTCCTACTTCTCTTCATGTGGCAGAACAAATCCTGGTGTCAGGAGGCAGCCGAGAATAAGCCTATACACACTACATGTACTACTCCCTGGCCCAGGCCCAGGAATGGAAGGTGCACACAGAGTCCTACAGGCGCTGCAAGCCTGCCAGGGTCACCTTCCCACTCAGCCACTCTTCTGAGCTGCGGCCGTGGGCTGGGTGGTTGACCTCTGTGAATCTCAACTGCCCCATCTGTAAAAGGAGCCATGTGTGAAGACTAAATGAGCTGCAGTACATGAAGCAGGGGCCCAGTGCCTGGGCACACAGATGTCCTCAGTACATGTCAGCTGTTGTTGTTATGGTTATCCTTAAATGCCCATGGCCTCGAAGTTCTGGGGCAGGAGGATATGAGGCTGATAATACTCCCATGTGACAACACAGCGTGGACCATGCCCACAGGCAGTATCATGTGAACAAAAGAGGGGAGAGGAGGCGGACATGCCCTATCTGGTGAGATTCACCAAGGGAGAGAAAAGGCCACTCCAAATCCCAATCCCCTGTCATTCATGGGATGTAGTTGATTCTACTGGTTAGAACTAAAGATAAAAGCATTGGCTGGGAGACACAGACATCCCTCCTCTTGAGCCGCTGGGATACCTATTCTCCCACAGAGCATTTCAGTGCCTCCTTTACAACACACAAAATGCTCCATGGGCCAAAAGGTTCGAATGAATCAGCATATTCCAGCTCAGTGACAGGACACGGTTCACCCCAAGTGCCCGGAAACATTTTCTGCATAATTTGGGATTCCAGTTAGGGATGCAGCAGGCTCTGGGATCGGGATCCTGCAGCCAGCTGGATGTCAGGATTAGGTGTTCTTTGCTGATTAATGAAACCATGAAGAGGTAAGCTGGGCATGGTGGCTCATGTCTGTAATCCCAGCACTTTGGGAGGCTGAGGCAGGTGAGTCACCAGAGGTCAGGAGTTCGAGACTAGCCTGGCCAATGTGGTGAAACCCTGTCTCTATTAAAAATACAAAAATTAGCCAGGCATGGTGGCGTGCACCTGTAATGCCAGCTACTGAGGGGGCTGAAGCAAGAGAATCACCGGAATCTGGGAGGTGGAGGTTGCAGTGAGCTGAGATCGTGCCATTGCACTCCAGCCTGGGCGACAGAGTGAGACTCTGTCTCAAAAGAAAAAGAAGAAGAAAAAAAAAAACATTAAGAGGGTTCTTTCTTTCTGGATTACATGGATTGGAGGAGGTGGGGACCCCAAAAACGAATAATCACTACAAATTAAGGTAGGTAGGATGAAGGGAAAATGGGTGTCAGTGATTCATCAGCACACTGATGGAACTACCATATGAAAAGGTAGACAAGATCCAGCCCAGATTTGCTGCTTCAGTGAAGTAGTTTGGCTATACCCAAACCATAGAAATAGAAATATAAAATAAAAATAACTAACATTTATGAAGCGCTTGCTATGTGTCAAACACTATTCTAACTACTTTCTACATATTACTTCATTTTAGTTCCCACAAATATCCTTGTGGTAGGTATCATTATTAGCCACATTTTACAGTGAGGAAAACAGAGTCTAGAGTGGTGAAGGATCTTGCTCAGATGGAATTTGAATCCAGGCAGCCATAAGTCCTAACTGCCCTGTTCTGCCTCTGGTCTCTGTCTGGGCTCCAAATTCATGACAGCAACTGCAGCTTGCATTTCCATGGGAATATTTATTGTTTCCCCAGCTAGACCGTAAGCCCTCTGCCTTCTGGGACCATAGCTTAAATTGGCCTGTCCATTGCCTACAACCCTGGATGCTCATGAAATTCAATAAATATTTGGTGGTTGGCTGCATTTAGGGTAACTTTAGGGCTATGCATAAATCCTAAGCCTCCTCAAAATGTTGGATTTCTAGAGTGAGGTGCAGATGGAAGAGAGGTAAAAGAGGTTTCTAGGCATAATCTTGTTCATTTACAACATTATAAAGAACTTGATCATTTAAAAATTAACAACATCATGTAAATCAGATCTTACTGTGTTGCAGCTTACCAAAAAGAAAAACACTCTAACAGGAAGTATTTCTTGCAGGAGATGTGTCACTATGTCTGCATACGCAAACAGTACACAGCTGGGGAGACATTAAAATCTAGAAAACTCCACTCCCTTTTCCAACAAACAGATAAGTAAATAATAGATGACTAATGCATACATAACACAGAAATCATAAGTGATAATAGAAAAATTATAAAAACAGGCCAACTATCATAACATACAGATCATGGAAGGAAGGAAGAAAAGTTAGTTGGAATGTCCAGACATACTGACAAGTGAAGTTGGCCCTGACCACATGAATAAGTTGCACCTTTTTGGAGAAAAGAAAATGGTATTCTGGGGAACACTGGTCTGGCATAAGTCATGGTACCTGTTCTGTTTATCTAAATTGGGTTGAAATTGTTCACTAGTGGCATGACCTTGGAGAGTCATTTCACCTCTCTGGGCAAAATGCACTTAATAATATGGAGATTACTTTGGGAGGCCGAGGCAGGCAGATCACCTGAGGTCGGGAGTTCAAGACCAGCCTGACCAACAGGGAGAAACTCCTTCTCTACTAAAAATACAAAATTAGCTGAGCATAGTGGTGCATGCCTGTAATCCCAGCTACTTGGGAGGCTGAGGCAGGAGAATCACTTGAACCCAGGAGGCGGAGGTTGCAGTGAGCTGAGAGCATGCCATTACACTCCAGCCTCGGCAACAAGATAGAAACTCTGTCTCAAAAATAAATAAATAAATAAAACAATAATAATAATAATAATACAGAGATTAAGAGCATTGTTTTCAATGAAATGGCTTCTGTTTCTTTTCAGCAATGCAACAGGAAGTATGTTACTTATCTATTCTGTACCTCAGCTTCCTCTTATATAATGCGTGGATTATAGTTGTTCTACATTATAAAGTTGTTGGGAGGATTAAATGAACTAATTTCATGTAAAGCCTTTGCAACAGTGATGGATCTCGGTACTTAATAAATGTTAGCTATTATAATATACAAAATGCAAAAATAGTGAGAACATTTCATGTGTTCTATAAACATAAGAGATCATTTTGGCCAGAAGATGCAGGAAATCTTCGAACTAAGCTATGTGCCTGCAAGCAGAAAAAAGCAATCTTTTCTGGTTGACATTAACACATGCTTCTTTAGTCTAAAGCTAAGTTTGTTGTCATCACCTAGTGATGGCAACGCTATTATTATTGATATTTTCCTTGATCCTGGCACTGTGCTAAGGAGTAACTCATTCTATCCTCGTACACACAAAGCAATTTTCATGAAATAGAAACTACCATTATCCCCATTTTACAGACTAGGAAACTAACACTCCAAGAGGTTAAATGACTTCCCAAGAAAGAGAAAGTGGCAGAATTAAAGAGTCTGAAGCCCAGGCTGTGTTCTAGAGTCTAACTTTTTTCTTTAATGTACAAAACATAAGTACTTGGCTGACCCTTAAGAGATACAAATCTATGATTTCTATTTAGGAGAGATTTCCAATGTATTAGGTCCGTTAGGAAATTACATTCTAATTTTCTAGGTATAAAGAAATAAGGATTACTGTATCATTTCTGGGGGCCTCTCCCAAAAATGACTAAAGTTTGAATGAAGCTGGGATTTCAGGAGGAAATATTCCTTCAAAGCACTCCCATGGGACCCAGCACATGTTTCTTCCAGAAGGACCGTGTGGACAGCTCAGAAGGGGAAGTTGCCTGGCCAGGGCTCCAACCCCAAGACCCTGGATCAAGGCTGGACATCTGTGCATTCACCTGCCCATTATTTAGTCCTCTTTCTGGTAACAACTTCTAGATTTTCCTTTGAAGAACTACTCTCTCTGCTTCTTTCCTTATTCCCTGACTTTGTGGTTTTGGTAGAACTGACCCAGTTCCAAAGGCGGGTCATGAAATCCAAGCCTGACTTAATAGCACATTTCATTTGGCTGGCCGCAGAGGTCCATGGATGGGCATGTAGCTCAGGCCAGACCTTTGAAGAGTGGCCTCAGGATTTTTTCTGTACCTATAGGAAAAGAAGCCTTTTCATTCTATTGTGGTTGAAAATACAACAAGGAATATATCTGCAACTTCTAGAGCCCATTTTCCCCACTAAGAGAGCATCTGCCTGAGAATCAAGTAAATAGAAAAAGCAGAGAGAGACACACACACAGATTCCCTACATTGCTATTTGAGCACCTAGATACATCCATGCCTGAAGCCACACCTCAGGGCTCTTTCAGTTATCTGTGCCAATACATTCTCTTTTTGCTTGGGCAAGTTTGAGTTAGTGTTTGCTCTTTCCCTTCCACTTCAGAGAATTCTGATTTTGTCTTTTTAACTTCTCCCCTTATTCTGCCCTCTAGGGATATTTCTATCTTTGCCAGACAATGCTTGGTTTTTTGATATAAAACAAGAACAATAGGTAGAGGGAGATAAAACTAGACACCAGTATAAGTTGAAGGGCTTTCCATGAAAGAATTTAAAACAAATAAAATAAGCCAAAGGAAAGCAGGGAGAAAGAAAAGAGAAGAACCAAAAAGATGCTGTTTTAAAGGAACTGATCGGCAGGATTTGAGAATCAGGTTCTGAGAGAGGCTTGGGGAAATCCAAGGAATATTAGAAATAAACCCAAGGGAATATTAGAAAAGATTAATGAATGTTATAATTTGGATTTTACTTTGGTGAAATGATATAAGAAACCTAGGAGCAGAGACTGAAATTGTTTAGAATTACTTTTATCTCTTGTTGTGTTGGGCCATAGGACATCTAAGCTATACTTGGGTTACACTGATAGTGTAGGAGATGTTAACGGGTATTATAGATACACACATAGACACACCAAATGCACATCCTATGTGCAAATGGATGGGCAAATGGAATGCTGTACCCTAAATCCTCCTCTTAGAAAAAAATCACATTAGCAAATTAAAAGCTTGAAGAAGTCCTGCAGCATGGAAATCTGTTCAAATCTGTTTAATTTAATGCTTCCTAAACTTATTTTACCATGTCACAGAATATATTTTATTACTTTTTAAAAATTAAAATAATATATTTTTAAAATGCTTTTCTAAGATCTCCTGTCCCAAGAGTGAACGAAAGGCTTCAGAGATGAAGTATGATATTCTAACTGGGATTTGAAAAATGGAGAAGTTGGAGACGATTTTTTGAGTAGCTTCGATTGGTGAGGAGTCCTTCCCTGGGTTTAAAGATAGAAAGAAAGCATGCCTTAACACTTTAATTTCTTTTCAGCAAGGAGAAATTGTCCCTAATTTAACCCAAAATAAGTGATCTTTGAAGTGAGGGCTGGGTAAGGTAGCTTTGCGGAAGCAGGTAGCAGCTCACCTGTTTTGAACCATGCTCATGGCCATCCAGTCTCCAGGGTACACGTTCTTTCCAATGAGGTCCTTGAACATGATGAAGGTCTCCATCAAGAAGTCCTGAAACAATGAAGCACAGCACACATGTCATCCTGTTTTACAGGAACTCAGAGCTTGTTGGCTCTTCAAATTTTTTTGCTATTATATTTTGGAGGGAGGAAAAGGGAAGGGACACAGCCTTTCATTAACTAAATTAAATGGAAGCTTAAAGATTGAATGCTGGAATGCTGTTTCCCAAATGTCAGTGGAACATGAATATGGGATGCGAAAATGTTCTCAAAATAAAGCACTATTAATTCCATCTTTGGGAATAAAGAAGTAAATGTACTCATTGATGTGGCAATTTTATAATCATTTTCACAAATATGTATTTGAGAAGGAAATAATCTCACTGTATGAAAGCATCTCAGGTCATTGAGCAAATAAACTCTTATTAAAATGAACATCTAATTAGCAGTGCTGTAAATACAGCTAATTCATATGTCACACACATACACACACACACACACACACACACACACACACACACACACACACACGAGCAGATTAGCTGAGACACAATGACAGGAACTCTTCCTCTCCTTTGAAGAGGTTCTTAGCGGACTTCAGCACCCTTCACTAGATTTTGCAGTGAGCCATACTTTTTCTCCATCTTTGGAAAACACAAATTAAAGCAAAATCTGGAGGCCAGGCACGGTGGCTCCCACCTGCAATCCCAGCACTTTGGGAGGCTGAGAAGGGTGGATCATGAGGTCAAGAGATTGAGACCATCCTGGCCAACATGGTCTCTACTAAAAATACAAAAATTATCTGGGTGTGGTGGCAGACACTGTAATCCCAGCTACTCGGGAGGCTGTGGCAGAATAACTTGAACCCAGGAGGCGGAGGTTGCAGTGAGCCAAGATCGTGCCACTGCTCTCCAGCCTGGTGACAGAGCGAGATTCTGTCTCAAAAAATAAAAAATAAATAAAGAAATCTGGATAGCTAAGACCAGAACCACTGGCACTGAGACCCTTTTGAGCTGGAGGTAGTGAAGACATACCACCAGTGTACTTTAGGCAAAATTTAAAATCTAGAGGAAATCCGTTCAGAGTTGTTTCCTTAAGTTGGTGGTTTTCAAATTATTTTAACAGCAGAATTCTTTGTTCAAAGAAAGCCTTACCTGGAGCCCAATATATAAAATATATAAAGGTAGAACAGCTCTGGTGGAATTGTGTGTGTGTGTGCGCACGTGTGTGCATGTTTATGGTAAAGCATAGTGAGGATAGGAGGAACATAATTTGAAAATCACTGCTTTTAGCTAAGTTGCAAAATTCTGGAAATGACATTTGTTCCTTTCCAGCAATCTTTGTTGCTAGGGAAAACTACCTCAACACTTTAAGTCCTAGTTTCCACGTCAGCAGAATGGGAATAATATCTACTTCAAAGGGTGACTGTGACGATTAAGTGCATACTGCCTATCACATGCTTAGTACAGAGCCTGGTCTCCTACAAATTCTCATTACCTGTTGATGATGATGGTGAGTATTGTTATATTATTCATACTTGATGTCACCTGCGGAAGTGTGGATATCATCACAGGCACATCCCCTTCCTGTGGAAATGAAGAAGGCTCCTGGCTCATAGATGGGAAGAGTGGCTTCTTAATGAGGAGATAGTGTGGTATAAGGGTTACAGTCAATGTCCAGACCTTACCTCCACCACATACTAGCTACGGGACCTTGAGCAAGCAGATTGTAGAGTTGTGAAATGTGACTCCTAATTTCCATGTCATACTTTTGTGAGGGTTATGTAAGAAAATGTGTATGTTCAATCATTAAGAATTCCATTTCTTACCTTCTTCCCCCAGAAACCTTTCCTTCCATACAGGATCAAAAATTAGGAGTCCAGTTTTTCTATTTCCATGTCTTAAGACATAGGGAAATTGGAGGTTGAGGGAAAAGTTCCATTTCTTGCCAATCTTACTCCAAGGGAGAGAACATCTCACTACTGAATGGATGAAAGGGTAGGGCATTAGTTTTCTAATGATTCCTTTTTTTATGGGCCACTCTCTGAGGTTGATCCAATTTTGGTGCTCCTGGTCTCTCCAGGGAGAGTTGAGAGTGACCTTAAGCAGTGGGACTCCTGAACCTGGTAGCAACAAGACAGAGAGAAAGGAGGCCACACTGAGGGCAAAGTGTGCTCTGCTCCACCCTTGGGGCAGGAACAGCCTGGGCTGGGCTCTATGTTAATGAAGTCATCAGCTGCAGAGATAGAAGCCACAGGCCACGGGCAGATGGTCTTGCAGCAAATGCATCCTGAGAGGCTAGAAGAAGGTGGCCCAGAGACCAACTTCCTCTAGGCATTTGTGATCTTAATAAGAGCTATATTTTACTGAGCACTTACTACGTGAGAGCTATTGTGTTCTCGTGCAACCCCTTCTTAGCCCTATGACATAAATGACATTATCCCCACTTTACAAATGGGGAAACTGAGGCATAAAAGGATTCACCTGACCATGGTCACACAGCTAGCATGTGACAAATCCTAGATGCAAACCTAAGAATGTATGACTCTAACAGTCATGCTCTTAAACCCCAAAATGTCTGTGATTCATCAACAAATATTGGTTAAGTCATATCTAGATTATGTGATAGACAGGCAGGTCTCTCTGACAGGGACAGAAGCCATGTTCCAGAGATGGAAGAGTTCTTCCTCACCCCCAGCATCCTGCAGACTCACCACAAGTTCAGAGCTGGTCTGGAAGGTCTCAATGTAGAAGGAGTAGTGCTGGTCACCCATCTGGTTTAAGATGGCTGTCATACATGCCACAAAGTGACTCTGCAAGAAATGAAGACAAATACTATAAATAGTTGAGAGAGGACCATGGAAAACTTCCCTGTGAGAAAATGTCTCCTTATGGCTCATTCATCAATAAAGTATTTACTGAGTACTATTATGTGCCTGGGACTGTAATAGCAGTGCCGAACATAAACATAACACCTGATCCATTACCTCTCCTGCTGTTCGCACACTGGGGAAAGAGCACTGTACTTGTGTCAGGAAATCCAGCCTATTTCAAAATCATGGAGACAGTTTCATTTTATGACAAATAATTTTACATGTGTAAGTCCCAATCGTCTCATCTGTCAAATGGGACAATAATTCATCTGAATCTACCTCTAGAGCAGTATCAAAAGAATCAGGTGGCTCCTTTAGCACCTTGAAATGCACTAAAGTTCTCTGCAGTGGAATCTGTAGTTGGATCACCAGGAATCAGCCAGTGGCAACCCAGCACCTCCTGGGGCCTGCCACTTGGTAAGAGCTGAGAGGGATGAAAGAAATGAGAAGAGATGGCTCTTGCTCTTTGTGAGTTCATGATCTAGTTGGGAAAGCGAGATTAATCATGAGAGAAAAAGAGTAAGACCCTCAATTGGCAAAGCCAACTAAGTACCAGAAAGATTCAAAGAAGAGGGAAATCAAGGCAGGGACACAGAGAGGAGACCCTCTGAGCAGAGGAGGAACCACACCCTTTCATGCACCAGAAGACATCAGCATAGCCTTTTCTGCTTCCTCTTTCCCAGATTTATCAGTCCATATCAGGGTGAGTTTTCTGTGTCTGCAAGCAGCATTCAGGGAGATCTATTCTGGAACCTGGTAAACAAAGCACTAGCCACGAATCCACCAGGGGTGAGAAGTCATTTTTGACTGTCTCTTGCAAGTTTCCACTGGGGCTGCCATCTTGGCCAAATGAAGTTCTACTGTGGTCCAGCCAAGCACGGGCTTGTGGAAGATGGCCTGGCTGGAAGTATTATGTTTGAACCAAAAAAAAAAAAAAAAGCATTTTTACCATAAACTGCTGCCTTTTTTATATAAAAAAGTTCCTCTTTTGTTAATAAAATAACAAATATGAAATATATACAGGCATACCTTGAAGATATTATGGGTTTGGTTCCAGACCACCGCAATAAAGTGAATATCACAATCAAGCCAGTCGCATGAATGTTTTGGCTTCTCAGTGCATATAAAAGTTATGTTAACACTCTATTGTAGTCTATTAAGTATGCAATAGCATTATGTTTAAAAAAATATAAATTTTAATTTGAGAACATAAACCTTAATTTAAAAATATTGCTAAAAAACTCTAATGATCATCTGAGCCTTCAGTAAATAGGAATCATTTTGCTGGGGGAGGGTCTGGGCTTGATGCTGATGGCTGCTGACTGATCAGGGTGGTGGTTGCTGAAGACTAGAGTGGCTGTGGCAATTTCTTAAAAAAAGACAACAGTGAACTTTGCCATAGTGAAGTTTGTTTATAGTGTGCTAAAACAATTATAATAGTAACATCAAAGGTCACCGATCACAGATCACCATAACAGGTATAATAATAATGAAAAAAATCTGAAATATTGCTTGGATTTCCGAATTGTGATGCAGAGATACGAAGTGAGCACAGGCTGTTGGAAAAATGGTGCCAAGAGACTTGCTCAATGCAGGGTTGCCACAAACCTTCAATTTGTAAAAAACAGGTATCTGTGAAGCATAATAAAACGAGGTATGCCTGTATGTATATATACACGTGTATATATTTCCTCCCAGGTTTACAATTTCGTTCTAGTGGTAGAGAAACAGGAAGCCTTTTGGAAAACTGTTTCTTAAGTTTATACTCCCGAAAGTAGCTCCCATGATATGGATTTTCATTTGTTTCTAGGTTCTTTTCAATTGGGAAGTTAGGGATAGCATGCTTTCCTTGTCAGCAGGAACAGCTATGTAATTAGTGAGTCCCAGAACAAAGTAAAAATGCAAAGCCCTTGTTTAAAACTATTCAGAATTTTGAAACAGCCATGGAGCCCTTCTAAGCAAGGGGTCTGTCATGACTACGAAGCTTACAAACCCAGGAAGCTGGCTCTCCCTGCCAAGTGACCACCACACCCACACACCGTAAATGACTAGAAAACATGCAAATCCGGCGGAGATCACAAAGCTGGGACTCTCAGGGACAATGGCTGATGATGCTTTGTTGATGGGAACTTGTAGCCTCTACACTGGGTGGCAGGCAACTCCTTGAAGAGCCAGAGTCAAATTCTTTTTCCTGCTCAGGCCCCCAGGGGGTGGTAGTGAGTGTGTGAAATTATCCCTTTCAAACTAGACAGAACACCGCCGTCACTGCTAATTTAACCAGCTCCCACTTAAATCAAGAAATAACCATTATTCTCGTTTCTACCTCCAGCCAGGCCAAATGCAAGAAAGGAGAAACCTTAGCATTTGTGGGGTGTAGGAGTGTGTGTATATGCATGTGTGTGTGCCTGCATATGTGTGTGTGTGTGTGTCTATACACACACAGGAGCGTGTGTTTCCTCTGCTCCATCTCTCCTCTCCCTTCCTTAAAGAATTCAGCCTGTGGCCACTAGAGGTCTTTTCTTTTCACATGGTAGCTGCCGAGCAGTTTGTTCGGCTTTTTATTTATTCCTACGTGAGCAGACCCACTACACTTCTTGCATATAAACAGTGAAAATTACAATATGAAGGACTTATTATTCCTTCTTTTGGAGTAATTTTGCTGCTGGTCAAAGCCTGGCTCATTGTGCAAGGAAGGGGGACCATCCTCTGCAGGTAATTCCACTGCTTCAAGGTAAGAGATGTGGGTAGGTTTTATTTTTTATGATCGATGATCCTCTGAGAGAAAATGCGATCGTCTCTTGGACAATAGTTTACTTTTAAAGCTTTGGCTTAAATCAACAGTGAGACTGGGAGCTTGTATGTGTGTGTGTGGTGGTATGTAGTGGAAAATCCACCATTGTCAGAACTGCAGGCTGCCCCAAATGCATGGATATGGAATGCTTGTTATTTCAAATGGCTTGATTTGAATTTGAAGGGGGAAAAAAAGCAAAGAAAAACAAACCTTGGATCTCAAGTTGCCTGGAATTGCCTTGAAAAGGATGAATTGTCTTAAGCCTTGTTTAGAGAAACTTCCATTCTTCATTTTAAAAGATAAAAAGGGAGGGGGATTCTAGTCCCCATCTAGAGAGAGTGGCTGTTTTATGAAAAAAACCATTATCTTTTCATTAGGAGTTGGTCGGTGTGTTGTAGTTCACTGATCAATCAAAATTACTTTTACCAGCTTGTTAATTTCTTAGTTCTCACTACCACGTAGAAAAACCCGGTTGCGTGCCTTTTGGTACGATTTGTAGTGCAATGTGACTGAAGTTTGGACAAGTTACCTGCATTTGGCTGTTAATGAAAAATGACAGTGTTTTACTTCTGACTAGAAGCATCTTTTTTTTCTGCTATGGTGTCTAGCCCCCTTTGGTATCAGATCTGTGGGAAATCACACCGATGTGAATGATTGATAACCTGAAATGGAGTGAGAAACAAGCAGCAGCTTCATATTCAGAAAAGTCTCCTTTCTGTCATTTGGATTTTAAAAACCACCTCTTTTGTCATACAGCGATAGAATCATGGAATAACATTTTGCTTCTCTGATGTGTGTCTCTTTTTCAGTAGTTTCCTCAAAAATGGCATTTGTGTCCTGCCCCTCTGTACAAGTTTGAGACCTTACTTCCATATCCACCATGTCTTAAATTTTTAGGGGACATAGGAATAGGGGTGGGGGAATGTTGAGCAGACTGCATTTGCCCTAGCAACTTAGACAGCCCTAACACTGACGTTGTTCAAACTTTACAGTGTAGGAGCTCGAACTCCCAGCCCTGTCAGAAACCTGGAAAAGCCTGAATACTGCATGGGGAACAGAGGGGTGGAGGGACCCCTTGCAGTCTCCAGGCTAGCAAGAATCCCCCTCTTTTCATCCCGGGCAGAAATTCTGTAATCGACATATTTACTACCTAGGAATGAGGCAGCCACTCATCCATATCCAAGCAGCATGCCAGGATGGGAAATTGCTTCTTAAAACAGAATTCCAGGGAGACTTGCATATTAAATTCCAGTGAGAAATTGTATCTGAGACTCTGGCACAAACCAGACAGTGTCACCTCGCTCCGATTGGGATGGTTTAAAATGTGGCTAATGAATCACAGCATGAAGAGACACGGTTTGAAACTAGGTCAAACGTGTAAAAATAAGTGCAATCATCGCAGGCACTTGGCTGATGAGGGACTACTTAACACCTTGAGTGGCAGGGCTTATTTGCTGTACAGAACCCTCTTCAGTGATCCAAGACAATCAATCCTCTTAATTAATTCAGCCCTTCGGGACGTAGGGAGGTCTTGCACACTTGGAAGCTCCAAAGGAAAAGAGTGAGGGTCTCTTCACTGTGTGATGGTGAGAGAGAAGAAGAGAAACCCAGTATTGTGTGATCAAAATTAATTAGCTGGGATACTAGGTGATTGTGATCAGGAGATTAGCACTCCCCAAATCATTCCACTCTTTTGCATTAAAAAATTCATCATCATCATCATCATGATATTGACAATGCCAATAATTTTAGTGTACAACATTCAACTTAAACATATCTATTTAACAACCTCTAATGCAAACACACCTACACCCCCCCCCCCCCACACACACACACACACATACACAGAGCCAGGACCCCTGCAGTGCCATGTGAACTGAGGGAAAGGCTACCAGTTTGCCTTGCCTTGGGAAACAAACAAACAAAATAGGGGCGAGGGGCATGGGTGCTGCCTGCCCATGCAACCCTCACTCACCTAAGATTAGTAGGAGTGATGAGATCGCAGAGGGAGTGAAACAGCCAACTTCGGAAGCTTGCTACCTAAATGCCAACATTACTATGTGATACCAGCTGGTGACACGTTGCTATAGTAACTTCAAATAATGCGCACGACCAAAATAAAATAAAATATAGAAAGCACCAGTGAGAGGAGATGAAGGAAAGTTTGCCGAGGGAGGCTCAGAGACAGATGAAAAGTTCTTTCTAGGAGCTGTCCTTTGGAGACTAGGAGTGGCCGAATGCACTCACAGGTTGCTTCTCTATTCACCCCCATGTCTGCCATCTGGTTATGTAACAGATTTTATTCTTGGATGAAATTGGTGCTGTCTGTGTGGTGGGTCTAGGACTGGAAGTGGGAGGCTTTGGTGTCAGGAAAAACAGGGACTCTAAAACCTATTCATTTTAGAGCTTTATCAGGCAGTTCAGAATTGTAATTGGGAGCACTCTTTGGGAAAACTAAGGTGTGCTGTCTGTCCTTGCGTTCTGGGCTCTGTGCTAGGTGCGAGGCATGGAGCAATGAGCAGGATGGATAAGGCAGTACTCTAAAGAGCTTACATCTGGTTCTGCCAGGATGCAAGCATGAGAGTGGGGGCTTAGGAGCCAGAAAGCCTGAGTTCAAATCTCAGCTGTATCTCTTACTAGTTTTGTGACCTCGAGCAGGGTCTTGTGCCTCAGCTGCCTCATCTGTAAAAGGGGATAAAAATATTCCTTACTTCACACTGTTTTGGTGAGGGTTCAATTAATTTGTGTAAAGGACTTAGAATACGGAAAGCCCTCGATAATAGCAGCTATTATTAGTATTGTCTTGTTGCTGACTCAAGTCCAGAGAAGCTATGCAGATTAGCTCATTGAAATTCCTGACCTGGACAGAGGAAATGATGACTCCGCCTACCCGTGACTATCTATGGACACATCAAGCACTCCCAATCACAGCTTGGGATGAACAGCTAAGAGCCTCTGCCGCTGAACATGCTTTTGGTTAACAACATGCCACTGTTCAGTAAGTCCAGTGTGTGCCTCTTGGAACAGAGCATGCTGGGACAGTTCTTTTATTCAGGAACAGTTGCTGGCAGGTAGGAAAAGTGACAACAGTGTCCAAATTGTTCAGAAGCCTGAAAAATAACTGTCTTCATCGAAAACTTAGTTCCCCAGTTGTTTGGCTTTAAGAAGGTGTGTCTGTCTTTGCGTGCAGTGACATTCTTTGGTTACCCAGGACATCCTGCTGTGCAATAGAATAAACTGAATCACCTTCTTTCCTAAGAAGCTTTTTGATCCGCAAGGTTCATGTGGCCTGCTACATGTCAAAGGCATAGCATCACAGGAAAACAGAAAGATGCCACTTGGATGTTGCATATGCTGGGTGTGCCCTGACATGTTCCATCTGTACAACATGGCAACTCCGGCAGAGTCAGCCATGTGCACCCCTGCCTGACGCTGTGGGCATTAATGACAGATCAGCTCTTAAGCACAGACAAGGGGCCAGAAGCGCAGGCTGCTTTGAATCAAGGCTCGAAGAGGGGCCTGAATTCATTACACACTCTTCATTTGAAACTAACACCTTCTGATCCTGGTTGGAGCCTGTGCTTGTGGCTCTGTGATGTGAAATCACTTTAAATTTTCTTCTTTTTTTTCTTTTTGAGATCACTTGAAAACTTCTAAAGTATATGATGAGATGTTTAATCACAAGGGGAAGTGGAAGGAAAGAAAATTCCATTCATTCATTCCTTTTGCCCAGGGCCCTACATTCATCATCTCAATAGCGACCACCAAGTGCTAGGTGCCAGAGGCACAGCAGTTACTGAATCCTGTCAGTAATCTCATGAGGTCAGCTTCATGCTCATTTTATACAGGAGGAAAGTTAGATACCTGGAGGTCAGGTAGCTTGCTTATGCAGACTTTTAGTATATGGTGACATAGGACCTAAAATTTAGGCCTTTCCGACTCTAAGCCCTGTGTTCTCTTAAAAACCCGCCACGTCTTCCACATCAGCACTCTCATGGGCAGAGATTTGTGTCCATTTATTCATTGTTCTTTGTCAGAAGGTAGAGTTGAACTTGCATATTGCATGGGTTCAATAAATATTTGTTAGATGGGAGATTGAATTTATTATAGAATTTCCCATCTCCAAAAGAATGTTATAGGGACCACCCCCTCCATAAAAGCTGAAAAGTTAGGGTCCTGTGTTGACTACCTTTGCCTTAGGAGAGGCCAGAAATGAAAGAAGTTTTGTTCTACCTCTGAACACATCCCATCTTAAATTATATTCTAGCAATCCAGAGTGAGATAATTCTTTCACACATTTCTTAATTCAACAAATATTTCTTGAGCACCTACTATGTGCCAGGCATGGTTTTAGATGCTGGGGATACAGCTGAGGTTACCAAAGGCTTTGTTCTTAAGAAGCTCACATCCCCGTTGGGAAGAGCCAGGAACAGAGGGAACACACTTTAAACAAGGAAATATATATGTAAGATCATTTTAGATAGTGATATGTGCCACTAATGAAATATTACAAAGCAATAGCATGGAGATGGAGTATCTGCCCTATTTTCAATAGGATGGATCATAGTGGCCTCTTTAAGAGTTGACATTTGAGTAGAAACCTGAATAGTGAAAATGGGTCATGCAAAAATCTGGCAGAACAGTAGATGCAAAGGCCCCGAAGTGGGATGTGCTTGGAGCGTCGGAGGAGCTGAAAGAAGTTCAGTGTGGTGGAAAGGTATGACTGAGGGAAGGCTCCGTATATGATGAGGTCAGAGAGACAGGCAGCAGTCTGATCCCACGGGCCCTTGGAGGCCCATGGGATCAGTGCAAGAATTAGGATTTTCTTGTAAGTACAAAGAGAAGCCATTGATTTGGACTTTGAGAAACATGCTGTAGCTGCTGTGTGCTGGAAAGCTCTCCTCTTTAGAGAAGCATTTTCCATGTCTTTCTACACCAGCCCATCTCCAAGGCACTAGACTGGAGTTGTTCCTAGGGTCAGGAGTTTGTGAAAAGCACAAATTATGTTTTAAATGTTGACTCTTCCTCATTCCTGATGGTTGTCACTCTTCAGCAAGCATTTCTTGCTAAATGATTATTTTCTAGCAGAATCTGGCCCTCCTTCAGCAGGTGTGGGCATGGACTTTAGTTTTACATTGATTCCACTTATCTTTGAGTCCAGTGGGCTCATCTCCCTGTCATGCAGAGTTGAATGAACAGAAGCCTACTTTTGGAGGCTCCCAGTCTCTGGTTAAAGCCATTCAAGTCTGGGGGCCTACCTGAGAAGCCTGCTTGCCAGGAGAGGGGTTATCATTCAGGATACCCCAGTTTTTAATGGCACAGAACATAATTATCCTGTTTCTAACTCTCTCCATGGAAACATGTGTGTGTGTCGGGGGGAGGGGGGTCACAAATATGATTGCAAAAAGAACAGGTTCAGAAACAAGGATTTATTCTCCATGTATACAACAACGATGGGCTTCTGTGCCTCACACTGAACATCTCAGGAAGGGCTGTGCAGGAAAATACGGTATATTCCTCAGTTCACACCTCCCTGAGAAAAATCAAAACCAGGAGCATTGCTAGGGTATGGAGCTCTGGATAAGGATCCTAAGCAGCTCCGCTCCCACTCTTTCCTGCAAACATGTGCATCCAGGGTAAAATGACACCAAGGTCAACCTTCTGTGGGTAAAGGTGTCCCAACAGGATGTGAAGTCTCTGACAGGAGGTACTGTGGGCTAAACAACAGTAATAATAATCACCATTTCAAGGGCTAAATACATGTTAGATACTAGGCTAAGCCTCCATTTCCCATCTGAAAGGACTTTTTATAGGGCCATAACAAAGGAAGAAAAAACCAGAAGAAAGAGAAGTTAGTATTAGTCAGATGTTTATGTGTTAGACGCTGTTAAAAAGTACACTGATGATCGTAATAGCCAACAGTTATAGGATACTTACTATGGGTCAAGCACTCACTATGTAAGCTTTATCTTATGTAATCCTCCAAACTTTCAGTAGATGTTGGTAATACCATTTTTACTTGATAGATAAGAAAACCAACGAACAGAGAGGGGATATAGGTTGCCTAGATCAGCTTGACTTCAGAATGCTTTCATTTAATTTAGAAAAAAAGGAGGCTATCATTTTTGCAACCATGGTATGATCTTATTATCATTAAAATTAAGCCATACCTCAAAAGTCAATGAAGAAAGGAAAAGTGTGTGATCGTCCACCTCACCACCTCTCCCCCTGCTGAATTAACCTTGAATATTAGGAAACATCATTGACATCTCTTGTGCCTATATAGAAGAGGAGGAATGGATGATGGACGGATGGACAGATGGATAAATTAACAGATGAATGAATGAATAGATGGATGTATGGACATATGGATAAAGCTAGCTAGATGATATACACAGATAGACCAATTGGTAAAGTTACACAGTTACATAGACAGAACCAGCCCTCTTAATGACTATTCTCTATGGCTGAGGACACCCCTCCTGTTTTCTGCATTACTTGGGATTTGAAGGCTAAGAAGGGTTCTGTATGAGGTACCAATACCGCATACTGGGAAATATATCTAGTTTCTCATAGATGTAGCTTTTCCGGCAGGCACTGGACACATCCTAAGTCCTGGGATCAATGCCAGCTCTCCTTGACATGCTCTGGAACTCTGGACAAATTATTTTACCTCTTGGACCCTCAGTTCTCTCTTTGTGAATGGGGATAACCATGCAGGTTCTGTAGGACTGTAGTGAGGATGAAGGTAGAAGACACATGCAGAGGGTCCCTTAAAAAGCCTGGCACACACTAGGTATTCAGAAAGACTTCTTGCAATGCTCAGCCTCAGTTCCATTCCTGATTCACCAGGAACAGTCTGTGATCAGCCGGAGATGTGTAGAGTTTGCTTCTGGTTCACTTGTAGAGGATGATTTAAACCCCCCTGTGGAAATGAGGGCAGCTGCATTGTGGGTGAGGATTTATAGTTTCTTCCATTTTTCTCCCTTTACAAAGCCTCTATTGTTTAAGGGAGTGGAGGGGGCAGGCAGATAAATATGTTCACAGAACATCGGGTGACCAAGCCAGAGAGCTTCCAGGAGGGAAGATTACTTTGTGGATAAAAGGATTTCTTCAGTTTACCTCGTTTTCCTTCTTGAGGAGTGAAGAGGAGTGAAGGTCTCTCACATCATGTATTAAACTTCAAGCCAAACGTATCATCCAGGCCTCTTTTAGCACTTCCTCCCTCCTCTAGTTGTTTCTGCTGCAAGAGATCTGCTAGTCACAGCACACTCAGGTACTAGGATCTGCTAACAGCTTATTGGGGAGGGGGGTGGTTGCTTGGAGGTGGCCCCTTTGCAAACTCTGCATTGCTCAATTCCGCAGTGCTTAACTGCAGCAAGGACACACTGAAGGTGTAATTCTTAGTCCACATTGGAGAACATTTTTCCCGCTTCCTAGACAATTCCTCAGTCCTCACTCCCAATCAATCAATCAGTTATCAAATATTTATTTAGCACTTATTGTGTGTAAGGAGCTATGTCAGGTATGATGATGGTCCACACACTGAAGGTCTCAGACTAACAGGGGAGATTTTATCCACCTATCATCTATCTATCTATCTATCTATCTATCTATCTATCTATCTATCATCTATCTATCTATCTATCTATCTATCTATCTATCTATCTATCTGTCTCACAGTGGCTCTTAACTGGGGCAATTTTGTCCCTCAAAGGGCATTGCCTTGAAATATTTTTCATTGTCAAAAGTGATGGAGAGGTTGCTACTGACATCTATTGGTTAAAAACTAAGGATGCTGCTAAAATATCCTACAATACATAGGATAGCCCCCACAAAGAAAATGATCCAGCCCCAAGTGTCACTAGCACTGATGTTGAGAAGCTCTGATCCATAAAGGGGAAGATACATTATGATACTAAATGATAAGTGCAAAATGCATGCTATAGGTAAGGTTTGCACTAGGCTTTTAATAAGCAGGAACAATCTATGAGGGTAGAAATATTCAGGGAAAATTTCATAGAGCATGTAGGATTTGAGAAACTACAAGATTGATAGAGATTGAGCTAAGAATGGGAAAGGACATCTTAGATCAATAATAGAAAATACATTTTATTTTATAATTTGATTAATTTAATTGATTGGTAGTGACTGTCTGGGAAGTTGTGTTGGAAATAATTCTAAGGCCAAGTCCTAGCTCAGCAGGAAAGAGTGTGGCAATCAATTAGTGATGTCTGCCATGGGCAAGGGCAGGGAGTGGTAGTATATATACTGAGAAATTGCTGCTTCATATTTATATGTTGGAACAGGATGAGGAAAGTGGCAGAGGTGGAAATGAACAAAGTGCCTGGGTACAGCAGAAGTTCATGGGTAACTACGAGAGATATTTAGAGGGGAAGAATATGGAAGGGCCTTGGATGCCTAGCTAAGGGCTTTGATCCTCAATTTGTAGGTAATAGGATGCCATGCAGGCACCTGCCTACTGTGTTGCCTTCAGGCCAGCTCTGCTGACGAGGTCTTGAGAACTAAAGAAAGCTACCCAAAGTCCTTGCTCTTCATTTCTATAAAGGGAGTACTATTTCATCTGTTAACAGCAAAAACTGGCAGAATCATCACACTCTGGCTTTTATGAAGCTGATCCCCATGATGAGAAAAATCCTATGAGGCTGAACTCAGAGATAACTGTTTGAAAAGCTGACTCCAAGGTTTCACATTAATGAGCTCCTGTAAAGCCCTTTTGGATAGAGCATTCCTTCTGATGTCTTTCATGAAAAAAAAAAAAAAAAAAGGCTCTAGGAGGAAAGGGGCAGAAGGAAGTGGAAGTCCATTCCTAGGGCTCACGTGCCAGCTGTGGCTGACCCCTGGCTAGGGCACTGCATAGCCAACCCAGCTTGTGCTTCCTGTCAGGCCCCAGCTCCCCGGCAGGCTGGCTCCTTCTCTGGCAGCTTCCTTCCTGCTCTGGGAATGATACTTCATTGATTCATTGGTTTGCAATTTTCCAGATGATGTCATACTCATTTTTTTTTTTGCCTTTCTTTCCCTCTGTTCACCTCTTGCCTCTTAAATTCACATTTGTCCCACTTCCCTGTCCTCTGGAATGGTAGCAACACCTCCCGATTACCATCCTCTGCAGTCCGCATTAGCTGCCTGCTGACTCCCTCTCCCCGTCATCATTAATAAAGGTGACACAGCAGCTTGGCATGAACGCAGGTCCTCCCCCCGCTGCCCCACCCTCCCCTGTCTTGGAGAGGATGGCTCCCTGACTGCAAAACCCCTGCCTTTGAAGGTTTCTTCCTGCACCCAGCTCCCATACGTATATTCGGATCCACACTCAATTAAAGAAAAATCAACTGACACAATGAAAAATGCCATTCAGAGAGCTGGCCTGGTGGAGCCCAGATATCAGATCAACTTATTAAAGCCCCATATCTACTAATTCCATCTAGAAAAGAAAAAAGATGTCACAGTTGTCTGGACTGATTTTTTCTTTAAAATCTCCCCTGATTATTTCACCCTGGCAGGGCCAGAGAAATCCCAGCAAAAGTCTAATCAAAGTTAAAGCTTAGAGTTAGAGAGCTGATGGGGAGGATGATTCTTGGGAACTACCCTGCAAGCCAGCCTCCCTGCAGCACAGATGGGGAAACCATGGACCAGAGAGGTTGGGTGGTTTCCCCATAGTCACATTACAACCCAGTCATATGATCACAGTGTTGAGTTGACTCTATCACCCTCCACCACCTTCAAACAGCAGTCCCCTGACCTTCCAAGTTTCCTACAAACAAAGTGATTGTTCTTTCCCAGCCTTATTTCAGCCAGGGGGCTGTCCAGATGCCCAGGATAAATGAACCTTAAGGCTGATATTTGAGAAATACATTCTTCTTTACTTTTCTGACCAAATAGGTATCCAGGTTTGGGGCAGAACAAGCCATTGAGCAATTATTTTGTCTTTCAAAAAAAAGATGGAATGCATGTCCCTATTACCACTATTCATTGCCACTTTGATCCATTACATTCTGTGCACGGCATCCAAATCTGGTTAAGAACATCAAATTAAAAACCAAACGATTGATCACTGAAGTCACTCTGCATAATGAAAATCATCTGAACATGCCTTTAAGGGGCCTCAGGGCAGTAACAGGGTGGGACATGGGAGGCTTCACTTACATCACTGTAGCCAGAGATCCTCAAAAAGGCAGCCTGTAGGCCTCACATAGCCCACAGAAATGCTTGGTTTGACCAGCATCATGTTTTTAAAACATTTGAATTTGTTGTCAACAATTAAAAACCAGAAGAACTTGCATTGAATTTTGGATATTCAGTTTCTCTTGGACATTTGGAAGATCCAGCAATCCCAGTCTATATTTCCAAGGAGCTGCCCCCTGAAGAGAGCAGGCCCTTTCTAGGCAGGCAAGGCCTGGCCTCATTCTAGGGTAACCAACTCATCTTGGTCTGCTGGGAGACTTTTCCTGGGAAACCCCTCAGTCCTAGGTAACCAGGACAGTTGGTCACCCCACCTAGTTCTCTCACTGTTGTTATCTGCCTGGACCCTGTAGGCACTGCACGTGTGACCTTTCCTACAGCCTCCGCCACTCCCCTCTAGGGAATGCCTCCGCAGAATGGCATGCAAAGCTGTCCACTCTGAATTCTCCCCACTCTCCTACATACCACCTGCTCTCAACTTCTCTTCACTATTTGGTATTTGCAAAAGCCATGGATGCTCTCTCTGACACAAATGAAGTCCAATTCATTTTTTTCTTTTTTCTTTGTTTTTTGAGATGGAGCCTCACTCTGTCACCCAGGCTGGAGTGCAGTGGCGTGATCTCGGCTCACTGCAACTTCCACCTCCCAAGTTCAAGTGAATCTCCTGCCTCAGCCTCCCGAGTAGCTGGGATTACAAGTGCCCCACACCACACCCAGCTAATTTTTGTATTTTTAGTAGAGATGGTGTTTTACCATATTGGCCAAGCTGTTCTTGAGCTCCTGACCTCAGGTGATCTATCTGCCTCAGCCTCCCAAAGTGCTGGGATTACAGGGATGAGCCACCACCCCCGGCCATTTTTTCTTTTTTGAAACAGAGTCTCACTTTGATACCCAGGGTGAGTGCAGTGGCATGATCATGGCTCACTGTAGCCTTGACTTGCTGGGCTCAAGCAATCCTCTCACCTCAGCCTCCAGAGAAGCTGCGACCATAGGCACATGTCACCACATCAGGCTATTTTTCAAAATTTTTTGTAGAGGCATGGTATCACCATGTTATCCAGGGTAGTCTCAAACTCCTAGACTCAAGTGATTCTCCTGCCTTGGCCTCCTAAAATGCATAATTCATTTTTAAAGACTCACACAAGTGCCATTTCTTCTCCCGGGAAGCCTTCTCTATTCTCCCTGTGCCAGGTAGAACAGGGCAGTCCATCTTTGTGTTCTAACCACACTCAATTCTTCCTCCTTTTATTTTGCTCATCACCATTAACACAGCATCAAGTGAGCTGACCCAGGGAGTACCCTTCCTAATAACTAGCGGGAGTCAAAATTGTGATAAAATTGAAAAATGTGAAGATTTCGAAGACTCAGTCTCTCTGCAGTTGTGAGCTTTGCAATCATTCATCAAAATGAAAAACAAAAACCATCTCACAAGTATCTGCACGAACTCCATAGGGATATTTACCATGCTGAAGTCGAAGAACACTTGGGCCCCCTGAACATTGACCCCCCAATGTTTCTTCCACCTGTAATGTGGTATCTTAATCATATGCTCATGTGTCTGTCCCCACTGGCCCTGGAGAAACTCAAGGGCAGGAACCTTCTTCCCAATCCTGTATCCTCAATGCCTGACACATAGAAAGCACTCAGTAAAAATATCTCAAGGAGGGGAGTGGCTGGACTCCTATCAAAGAGGTTAAAAGGACTGCCTCGTTTGCTGTGATTTTAAAGGACAAAGGTCTTCTCAGCTATCCCAGTGCCCACAGGGCCACTGAAGCTTAGCTGAATGCCTTGAGCCATATTACAAGCTGAAACAACCAGCCCATGATTGGGGTCAAGCTGTCATTCTTTTGGCCATTTCTCATGAGATTACAAAGTGTTGTCAGCTTTGGGATCTTTTCTGATAAGTAAAGAGAATTCCAGGAAGGTTTTCTCTCCTTGAAGCTTCAGACTTATGCATCCAGCATCCAACTTCCTCCTGGACATTTCCACCTCATGGGCAGCTCATATTAACATGTCAACATGATCCTTCCCCTCTCAGACCTTTCTTCCTCCTCCCCATGTGCTCCTTCTCAGAACCAGCCACTTTGGCCAGGACAGTAATCCAGCCATAGTCCTTTGTTCCACCCTTTCTCTCGCTCCTCCCACATTCAATAAATCACAAGCCATGGGGATTTAGAAATTTTTCTTGAAAGAAAAGAAATTTGTCTTGAGTTTGTTCATTTCTCTCCCTACACTCTTACTGCACTGATTGACGCTACCATCATCAGTACCTGGATTATTGCAGTAGCCTCCTAAACGCACCCCCTGCTTCCCACTCTGGCCCCTCTAATCAATTCTCCCTGTTGCAGTCAGAGTGTGATCTCTCTATAATGGAAATGAGACTAAATCTCAATCCTACTAAAATAGACTCCACTTACTCACAGAGTCAAAATCCAAACCTCTTAGCATGGTGTTCGGTTCCCTGCATGACCTGGTCCCTCTTCCCTTTTCAGCCTTATTTCTTCCACTCTTCCTACTCTTCCCTTTAAACTTTATCATCCGGCCACACAGAACTTATACTAATTCCCCTCCAACCTGCACATCCAGATCATATTCTGATCACCTCTGACAGCCTGACCACATGCTGTTGCCTTTACCAGAAGCATTGTTCAGCATCTGAGCCAACACATGTATCTACCTACCTTTTAAACAATTGACATAGTCACCTCTACTGAACTTCAGGTCCCGTATTTGAAATCACTTCATCTGGAAAGGCTTCTGGGATTCTCTCCACCACTAGCTGTGGTCAGGGCCCTCCTCTGAGTTCTCATGTCCCTGTGCATATCACTTTCATGGCACTGATGGCAGTTTTCAGGAACCCACTTTATCTATCTCTGTCCACCTCTGGACCAGGAAGGCAGAGACTGGCTCAGTGTCCTACTTTCTCCTTATCTCTTTATCCCTAGCACCTGGCACAGTGCCTGGCACATAGGAGGTACTTCACCATTAATTGCTCAATGAATGGATATATAATATGGTCTCAGATGGAAGAATCAGTGGGACACAGATTGGGAAAGTAGCTATCTACATAGCATGTGTTAATTTAAGTCTAATTTGATGGCGCATGGATTGGTGAAGGGCTCTCTTTCGTTGAATAGGTTCCTCAAAAACATTAGACCAAAGTCTGATCTGTGTGGAAAGTAACCTCCTCATTGCATGATGGCTGGAGCCTGAGTAGGGAGGGGAACAGCTCATGGAGTCCTGGCCATTCTTTCCGGCCTCATTTTCCATGGAGGTAGTAGGAAACAACACTTGTCCCAGAGTGAGGAGACCATAGTCTCAGCTCTGTCCTGCCACTTGCTGTCCCTGTGTGCCAGGATTGCTTTTCCTTCCTCTTCCTCACCTGTAAAATAAGGGTATGGAGCCAGGTCCTATGCTGAGTGTGGTGATTTGAATTCACCCACAGGTGAATTTGCATCCCAGCTCCTCCAATTATTGCTGTGCAGGCCTCTGTAAGTAATGCTGACTTCATGGGGATCTTATATAGATTGAATGTGATTACATTCCCTAAGTGGATAATGCCATTCTGCTCACAGAATAAGTGCTCAATAAATGGTTACACTTAAGCATACCAGCACATCATAGGGATAAGTTATCAATGGGTTATGTGGTAAAGCTACACAGGCACAGCTAAGATTTGGGGCTTTTAAACTCTGAGTCATGCCATTTCCTCAACCCCCGCCCCCCAAAATAATCTTACTGTACACATTTGCAGCCCATTTTATCTTTGTTATGAAGCAACCAACCAATGTACATTATGTTATGATTAAAACAATAAATCCTTACTGCACTAAATCAAGCCACCAATTATGCTCCTACCATAATGGGATTATATATTTCATCTTGGAATTTTAAAGGCCTTACAACTTCAAAGTATGTTCTGTTGCACATTGCCATTTCGAGATTGGCAGAATATTGCAAAGGAAAACTTCCTGCTCTTCGGAAGGCAGTGGATTTTTCCCTGGTTCATCCTAGGGAAACCTAGGTCTCCTTTGAGTCTCCAAGGTCCCAGCTGATGGAGGAGCATGGAGAAGCCTTTTTCCAGTGGATAATCTGTTCCTGGATTCCTCCTCCAGCACAGGAACCACGTCAAAGGTGAGAGCCCAGAGGCCTGAGTTCTAGTCCTAACTTTGCCATCAATGAGTTAAATGATTTTGGGTGAATATTTTAACCTCTATAGGCCTCAGTTTCCTCATCTGTAACATCAAAAGAGGCCTAGACCTCCAAATTCTGAAAGTCTATAATTGGTTCCTGAAATTAGAGAGATGTCAAAATTCTTCTCCTTTCCTTTCTTGTTCCTTGGATGAGGTTGGACTCTGAGGCCATGGTTCCTAAACTCTGCTGCACATTAGAATTACCTGCCACCAGCTCTCCCGACATTGGGATGTTTAACGCTCCCTGGGTGATCTTAATATGTGGCAAACATTGGGAACCACTGCTCTTAAGGGTGAGTGAGCTCAATAGACAAAAATGAGCCATGCTGACCTGACTCCAACACTAGCCAGCTGTGTGATCTTCAGCAAGCTATTTAATCTCTATGAATTCTCATTTCTAAGCTCATCCCATAATGTTTTGCAAGCAATAAGTGACATAATGCAAAGGAGTGTCTATCTTGCTACTCAGAGTGTGGCCTGTGGACCAGCAGCATTAGCATCACCTGGGAGCTTCTTAGAAATGAAGAACTGCAAGCCCCAGCCCGCAGCTGAAGAATCAGAATGTGATTCTAAGATCTGCAGGTGGGTATTAGGCCCATGGAAATTTAAGGAGCATTGCCTTAGCACACAGTGGGTATTCAAGAAAATGTATCTTTTGTAAGCCTTCTCTGCAATCCTCCCCTTTCACTCATTAACCATCAAGTAACACTTACATACTATGTGCAGCAATGGATGATGGGCCCCTAGCACAGCAAGTGGCACACAGTAGGGCTTCAACAGATGTTTGGCGATTGAATGAATTGATTCAAAAGGGAATCAGACCTGGCTCCTTCTCTCAAGGAGCTCAAAGTCCATGAGGAAAACAGATATGAATGCCAATATGCAGAACAGAATAATAGTCATGAGCGACGGAGACTCACCTTTATTTGCACATGTGCTATGTGCCAGATACTAGCTAAGCAATTTACATGCAGTTCCCCCTTTGAATCCTCCAAGCAACATTGAGAAGTAGATGCCATTATTATACACCTTTTACAAATGAAGACACTTTTGCTCCGAGGGGAGAAGCAGCTCATCTGAAACTATACTCAGCTACTACATGGCACCAATAAGATTTGAAGACAGGGCAGCTCCAGCCTGATCACCTGGTATAGTACTGCTGCTGGGAGATGAGGCAGAAGGGCTGACTTTTGGCTTACCAACTTTGACCATGGCCCCTTCAAGGGTGGCCCTTTCTCTGGGCACTGAGAAAAGTGGCAAAAGGAAGCCCTCCAGGCGGAGATGCTGGGTTTCTATTCCAGCAGAAGAGCTGGCCACAGGGCCGCCAGCTCCCATGAGCCACCTGTCTGACACAGTTCACTGCGTCTAGCTGCCCCCTCCCAGGCCTCTCTCCTGCTGCTTGAACATTTTACTTGCAAATACATTCTGCAGATGATGCCAGTCTTCCCAATGACAGGCCAAGGCAACAGAAAAGAAATTTATAGTCTGAGCTTGGGGGTGGGAGCGGAGCAACTTTCTGGAAACTGCCTGATGGGGGCCAGAGTCCGGGAGTCCCAATCCAGAAGTCCTGAACTCCAGGCTAAGAAAAGGCCTGTGGTCACCGAGGATAAAGCACAGAATGTAATTCTCCTGGGTCTTCCTCTGCACACAGATGAGTTCCCCCAAATCTGCATCTGAATTATGTTCTGGTCAGTAGAATTTCATCATTCAACAGGAGGTGGTAGATGGCAGGGAAGGTGGTGGAAATATTTATTTGTACCTCAACCTTTCTTTAATTCTCCTCCCCCTTCTCCCTCCCCCAATCCTGCCACTTCCATGAGGGTAGGACTTTTGCTCCCTCCCCTTGAAGCAGTGGTTCTCTCTGTGTGGGCCCTGGAGCTGCAGCAGCAGCATCCGAAAACTTATTTGAAATGCACATTCTCAGGCTCCACCCCACACCCACTGAATTAGAGCATCTAGGGGTAGGCCCAGCGGTCTATGTTCAACCAGCCTTCCCGGGGACTCTGCTGGGTGCTCAAGGATAAGAGCCAGGGCCTTAGAGAGCATCTGTAGTGAGTGAATGATGCTAGGGGGAAGGAAGAGGGAAAAATGCTGCTGGTAGGGAGGAAGAGGCAGAAACTGAGGCAAAGAAAGGGTGAAAAGAGACTCCCAAGACTGGGTGAGGGGGTGGGTTAACATTCTGGGTAGCAAAGATCAGTAACTCCTGCTTTGATGTGCACCGGAGGGGAACGGCTGTGTAAGTGCCCCTGTGATGGCTGGTCCCTGGGCCCAGCACTACCAAACCAGCAAAGCCTCCAGCTCTAAGGGACATGCACAATTGTACAATGAGAATATCAGCAGTGACCACAATGGGCCTAGGACCAGAGGAGTCACCATGAATGCACTGCTAAGCATAGGTCCCCAGGGACTTTTGTATGACTCTCTGGATGGGGAGGGAGCAGAGAGGGATGGAGGCCTAATCAAAGGCTGAGATTGAGTTCCTGTCAATGCCAGCCAAGTCAGGTCAGGGCTGCTGTGGGTTGGATTTAATTTGATTTAGAGAAAATAAGGGATCTGTCATCATCCATCTCATCAGTTCATGGACATAAACTGATACCCACCCCACGTGGACCACTTTAAAGAGGCAACATTATGAAGAGCATCCTCAGGCCTTCCCAAACTCTCTTTTGGTTACAGCACCTTATGAACACAGAGCAGAGGGGTAGAAGGTGTAGTTTCCTGAAACACATATTCCAGGGGAACCCAGTAGATATTTCAGGGATGGGAACTGTAACTGTAAAGAGAGTCCCAAAGCCCCACTTAAGCATCAAAATGTCAATTCTTCCACCCTTGGCCTTAGCCCAGCTAGAGCTTCCACCCTTACCCTTCCACTTCCCATCCTATACCTGGCCTAGGGGTATTTGCAGAATATAGCCAGGCAGGGACAGGGGAGCTAAGGCTTTCTCTGTTCTGGGCAAGGAGAATTCTGCCTCATCCCCAGTCTGGCCTCGATACCCTTTCTCCTTATTTTGACGTCTACCTTGACACTTGCCATCTCAGCAGAAAGTGCTCTCTTCCCCTTTCAACTCCTATGGTATGCCCTATTTCCTTCTCTTTCTCTCTAAGAGTTATCATTCCCTACTTTTTAGTGCCGTATTTTCCAATATGTCATTTCAAGCAACAGACAATACGTTCCTAGAGGTTAGGGATCTTGTCTAACCTCTTTGTCTAACCCACCATGGAGCCTGACACAGGTTAGGCTTTCAGCACATATTTGCAGATCTAGTGATAGACACAACTACCTGTCTGACAACTCCAGGTGAATGTTTGCAGGCATCTCAAACTCAAGATGCTCAGTTGGAATTCTTCATCTTCACACCTTTGCTCACCCCAAATCTGGTTCTCTTCTTTCTCTTGGGAAATGGAACCTCCATCCTCCCCCACTTTCCGGTTGCCTCTATGGAAACCTTTGACATCTTTACCACTTTTTCTGACTGGCCATATCCAACTCTTGACCAAGTTCTTTCTGACTGCACCTATAACATATGGCCAGACTCTCTCCTTTTCTCTCCACCCCAGGTCAGTCCACCACGATGTCTCCCTTATACTACAGCAATAGCCTCCTAACTGTCCTCTGCCTCCAATCTTGCTCCCTCCCCTCCAGGGAGCAACCAGAGTAGACTTTTTAAAAACCCAGTCCTATTACTCACATCTCTACTTAGCCACAATAAAGCGTGAAGCCCTTAGCCCAGGTTCATCAGCCACCACTCTGCTCAGACACACTGGCTTTCTCCAAGTTGGACAAGTTGGTTTGTTCTAGTAAGTTCTGGCCTCTATTCTTTTTCTCCATTTTTTTTTTTTTTTTTGGGACAGAGTCTCACTTTTTCACCCAGGCTGGAGTGCAGTGGCACGATCTCGGCTCACTGCAACCTCCGCCTCCTGGGTTCAAGTGATTCTCCTGCCTCAGCCTCCTGAGTAGCTGGGATTACAGGTGCCTGCCACCACACTCAGCTAATTTTTTGTATTTTTAGTAGAGATGGGGTTTCACCATGTTGGCCAGGCTGGTCTTGAACTCCTAACTTCTAGTAATCTGCCCACCTCGGCCTCCCAAAGTGCTGGGATTACGGGCGTGAGCCACTGCACCCGGCCTGGCTTCTATTCTTCTTAAAAAACTTTATACTTGTCCTTCTTAGCACTTGTCACAATTTTAATTAGATATTTATTTATTCAAGACTTGTTTAGTGCTTGTCTCCTTTCCTAGGTGGAGCTCCTTGAGGCAGAGAAATGTCTGCTTAGTCCACCATGTTTTCCCAGCATCCAACACAGTGCCTGAATGTAAAAGGTGCACAGTCAATAGTTTTAAAATGAACACGTTTAAATTTCAAACATTATGCTCAGCATGCTATACTTATTCTTGCACTGTTGTTAGAGTTGATTAGCAGGCAAAGGTAATACATTCCCCTGATGCAAGGCAAGACTAGGCAATTCAATTTAATTCTGTTCAGTGTAGTTCAAGTCACTTCAATTATATTCCATTCATCTTAATTTAATTCCACAAACCTTCACAGATACCAGAACTCTGACAGCATTTATCCTAGGTGTGGAAATGTTAGAGATGATGATGATCCATTAATTGCCCTTGGGGGGCTACCCATTTATGCCCCCTCATCTATGGCCAATGACAATTGTAGGACATATGACTGATCTCCCTACATGCATGAAATTGCAAATGGGCAACAGGTTGACCTAAACAGTGTCTCACTACCATCACTCACTCATGCAATATACTGGGGTGTTTACCATGATAGTTACAGTCGTCTTTCTTAGTCCTCAGGGATATGTTCCAAGACTCCATGGATAGTGAACCTATATATACTATGAACCCTAGTATATATATTCAGTTCATAGCCTATACTGAACCCTATATATACTATGATTTTTTCCTATGCATGCATACCTGTACAGTGTGAATATACTGGACAAAGGGATGATTCACATCCTAGGCAAAGAGAGTAGGATTTCATCACATGACTCAGAACAGAACACAATTTAAAACTTATGAATTATTTATCTGTGGATTTTCCATTTAATATTTTTGGACCACAATTAACTGCAAGTAACAAACCATGGAAAGTAAAACCATGGATTGTGGGAGGAGGGGACAACAATATAGAGACCCGAATATTACCACACAAGTACAGGTGACTAATGATGGCCAAGAATATTGAGTCAAATGGCTGGCCCTCCATTATTGGTCATTTTAAGTGATAGAAATCCTCCAATCCACCTTGAAAACCTATCTTAGAACCTCATGTTTCTTTCTAATCAATAATTTTCCTTTTTATTCCATTTCATCTTGAGTATATGAGATTTGAGCCTACTCACTTCCCAAAAGATGTGAGATGAATGGCAGGCTGAAAAACAAGACATATTAATATTATCAATGGCCTGAAATGAGTTCATCTGCTACAAGAACCAGAAATAGCACCTTTCAGGCACCATAAATGAGCAGATGTAAATACCCAAGGATCTGTCTCTGAATTCTCTAACAGCTAAGAAAAACAAAGATACCCATGTACAGAGGTTTTATCTTTTGACATGGAAGGCATACACAGCTTTCTGTAGGAACTACATTATTTCCTCCTCTGGAACTATACACTGGTGGAAATTTATCATGGGTACTTATAAAAGAACTCAGAGAGGCAGGGTAGACCTTGCCTTCATCAGTTTCACAAAAGCATAAAATGCTCCTCAACCTGACCGTTCCCTCATCCACCTTCAATAAAGGCAGTTCTTTGAGGGACTGATAGCCTGAGATCCGACACTCTGCCTCTGATGATCTAGCTTTACATGGTCGAATTTAATTTAACCTATTTACTCTTATCTGGACCTCAACAGAAACCAAACAAGCTGTTTGCACCCCTTCCAAATATTGCAGGCTCAGCTCTCTGAAGTGCTTCTGTTTCCTCTTTTCCTGGCCAAACCTCTTTTCCATCCTATTGTTGTATTTCCTATTTTGCCCTCTGAGCATTCTACCTGGTTTCCACAGAACTACTTCTAGATCTCTCTAGATCTACGATGACTCTAAGGATGTGGAATAACTAGGATGGCACCTGTTAGTAAAATATCTAGTCAAGGCCAAGTAACACACAGTTGGAGACCTGAGAACTGGACGGACTCCCTAAAGTCCTTTAGTCCAACACTTACCTTTATGCATGATCCTCTGTGAAGCATTCCCAATAAAAGATTCAGTGACCTCTGCTTGCAAGATTCCAAAGAGAGAGAAATCTCTACCTAATCAGAAATTCCATCACCCTGTGGACTATTAGAATTGTTAGAAAGTTCTTCCTTATGTTGAACCATAAACTTCTTTTTGGTAACATCAAGCCATCACACCAGTTCTACTTCTGCAGAATGATCTTCTGGACTCCCCTAGAGTTGTTGGGAATAGTTTGTTCCTTTTTTTTTTTTCTTTTGAGACGGAGTCTCTCTCTGTCACCCAGGCTGGAGTGCAGTGGTGTGATCTCAGGTTCAAGCGATTCTCCTGCCTCAGCCTCCCAAGTAGCTGGGACTGCAGGCGTGCACCACCACGCCCAGCTATTTTTTTTGTATTTTTAGTACAGACAGGGTTTCACCATGTTAGCCAGGATGGTCTCAATGTCCTGACCTCATGATCCGCCCCCCTCGGCCTCCCAAAGTGCTGGGATTACAGGCATGAGCCACCATGCCCAGCCAGTTTGTGCTTTTTATACATGATTTCTACTCATCAGAATATTCTGCAATGCTACCTACATTTTCATATGTTGTTTCTGCCCAGTCCTAGGCTTAAATACTTTATAAGTTAGTAGTTTACTAACGGGAGCTGTTTGATTTGGATTCTAGGAACCTGCCTCATTCCTTAGCCAACTATGAGTTGCTAATGCTGATAAAACACATTGTCTTTGAGAGACACAAAGCGTACTAGGTTTTTCCCCCACTCTCTTAAGTATTTTTGGCAAAACAGAGAAGCATGAAAAGGTGAGACCCCTTTGCCCTGAACCAATTATGAGGGTGACTGGGTAGCTGATGAATGACAGCCCCTCCTGCCTGAATGCCCTCTATTGCTGGGCATTGCTGCACACCAGCTTTTTTCCTGGCCTTAATACATACTTAACCATCTTCAAGAGAGCTCCACGCCTAACACTCAATCTTAAAATGTGACATTGTTCCTATACAATCAATATTTAAACCACATTTTGTAAATTTATACCAAAAAAAAAGAAACCCAGGAAAAGAAAGCACCCCTTTTGTCCTCTATTTTAATAGTAAGACGGAAAGGGGGCTGGGCTAATGGTAACAGCTGCCCTTTCTGTGTATGGAAAGCTGTAATTTAAATATGCACACCAGCTTTTCAAGCAGAACATTCTAAACCATCAGCCCTGTTATTCGGATGATGGAGTTTGCAGATTTTCTGTTTGCCCTCCTCTTGCTTTTCCCACCTTTGGGGCTTTTCACTGTCCCCAGAAACCCAAGCTTAGAATGGAGAAGGAAGGCAAAGACCATATCTAATAGATTCATAAGCTTCTTATTAATAACAGTGCAGTAAAGTATAAATGGGGTAGGTGCCTTTTTTTTTTGCAAAACAAAGTTTCCAGATTATCTGTGTTCCATTTAGCCAGGCCCTCATTTCTCACCACAGGGTAGATAATCAAGTTGACAAAGACTGTGTTTTGTCCTTCTATGTGCATGTGGACGTCATGTTTCACACTTGCACTCATGTTTGCTTGGTTCCACACAGGGAACGTATCCCCTGGGTGAATTTTAAATGTTCTTGCACTGCTTGCATTTTCAAAAGCACAGCATATGAGCATCTCAGTCAAGGTGAGCTGGTAGGACCTCTCCTGACGCCCTACTCCCTCGCAGTGGACTTCCCACTGGAAACCTCCACTTTTGCTGCTTAGCTCAGTGTGTCTCTGCAAATAGGCATGTTTAAGGAAATAATAAATGCCTAAGGCAATGCAGGTGGGGAGCAGGGGAGAGTCAGGGAGACAAAGAACAGTAGCAGTACATGGAGCTCTACCAGCTTTTGGGCTAACAGGGTCATGAACAGACCAGGAACCTGAGACAATCAAAGGACTTCACCCCACAAAGCCAGGGTACTCTGGGGAGCTGAAAAACTCAGAAGGGTTTCCAAATATTCCTGAGGCTTCCTCGCGCATTGCCTCTAGTGTCTCATTACCAGGAATGAGTCTTTCTGTGATTTCACCAGACTGTTTAGCAGTAGAAAGAGGCAGACCAAGGAGTCCCAGTCCCACCTGTGACCTGGAGCAGTCACCTGACACCTCTGAGCCTCAGTTTTCTCATCTGTTCAGTGGGAATGGTATACTTCTCCTTACAGGGCTGTGGAAAGGACAACATAGTTTTACACAGAAAAAGTAGTACTAAGCTAACATTGGTTGAGTGCCTATTACGTTCTAAACAATGTGCTAAGTACTTTGTCTATTTTGTCTCATTGAATTCTGATGACAATCCTACAAAGTAGGAACTCTTACTATCCCCATGCTATGGATGCAGAAACTGGGGCTCAGAGCAGTTAAGTCCCTGGCTAAAGGCCAGAAAGTCAACTAGAATTGATGTGTCCATTTTAATTAATTCATTCATTCATTTATTCACCATTATTTATTGAGTACCCATTCCATACCAGGCAATGAGAAGCAAATCACACATAGTCCCTGCCCTCATGGCACTGACAGTCTTATTACTGCAAAGTACAAAGTGCAGAGTAAATGGAAGTCAAATGGGATTCCAAATTCTACTCAACATCTAGTAAGCCCCAGAATAAACTCTCCAGAACAATGATACCATTGTATTGCTCCTGTGGTTTTGCCTGGTGTTCATGATTGAGACATACTCAAGGAAGACAGTGCTGGCTCTGCAGGCCCTCCAGGGACAGAAACCAGGCATGTTGGCCAATACAGAAACATCCTACACATTTTCCTTATATTTGATGCATTCCTGGACCCATAGGTCTGAAAGGAACCTTGAAAATGAATTTATTTTTCTGCCTCTGAGAAAGATTACATTTGAACTTTTTGTGAGAGAGATCCAGCTAGGGAAACTTCACTTTAAGAACCTGGTTTAACAAAGCTTGTATTTATAAACAGGTGAATTTAAGGGCATCCCCATGACTTTAAATAGTGAACACTCCAATGCATTTTAAGCAAGATTGAGTCAATGTATTTTCTTAGCAGATAGCTTTTCAGGAATGCAAAATATACCTGTGCCCAGCATCTTAAGGCTTCTAAAAGGTAGATGATACCTTTCTCTCTGTTCACTTACAAGCTCATGTCTTCAAAAGCATTTGTTTGGAAGTCCCTCCTTAAATCTAATCTGAATCCAACCTGTTGTGCTTAAAGTCGCTGCAGTAATCTTTCTAATACAACCCACGAGAGAGGGACTGGAGGGAAGAATTTAAGACCCCCATGAGATCAGGAGCAGCCTCTTAAGTTAGTAGTATCACTTGTGGCTAAATCTTGGCATCATTTCCCTAATTTTTTCTAGCCGCTCCCAGGCACTCCAACTATCTCTGAGAATGTTCTTCTTGCACACACTTAAAGAAGCATCTGAAATTTGTGCTATGCAGCTTAGCACTTGCTCAACCAGGATGAATCTTAGAGACCATCAAGTTTTGCCCTTGCAGGACAGAAGAGGAAACTGAGATTCAGAGAACTGCTGTGACTTAATCAAGGACACAGCAAATTTGTGGCAAAGCCAGGAAGATAACCCAGACTCCAGACCCCAAGCCTGGGCTCTTTTTTTTTTTTTTCAAATCTATGTCTCCCCCACATTTGACTCTTTGTTTCCCTGAGCTCCAGAGCCACACCCTGTTCCTTTTTAGGACTCTCATGACCCAGGCTTAGGCACATTAGTTGCCCAAAGCACACTTGGCTTGTTCTGACTTGAGCAGTACAATGAGCCATGTCTTAGTTTCAGGCAAGGCCACCTTGACCATGAGACATGAAAAGGAACTGAATCGATGGAGCCTCTGCTATGTAGCAGGGACTGTGTTGGTACTTTGCTAAAGCCCTGGGAGGCAGGATTTCTTAGTGCCCATTACACAGATGAAGAAACTCAGTTTCAGAGAGGTTAAAGAATGTCTCTGTAATTCCACAGCTATATAGTGGCTAGGCTGGAATTCAAAACCAGGTTTGCCTGCCTTCTTCTCCTGCATGATACTGCTTCATACACGGTCCTCAGAACCTTAAGGACCAGGTGGAAAGAACCAACAAGGTCATACTGAAATTTTGCATCAGTGCCCTAATGACCAAGAGAAAATACATTTCATCCAATTCAAAGGTATAAAGATGTAAGGTAGAAGCCGCAAACTGGCCTTGGAGGAGACTCAGAGTGACAGCACGTACTGTCCAGGGGCGCATCCTCCTCCTTTCTTCCCTCCCAGTCTCTCTCTCTCTCTCCCTTCCTTTAACACTTATTGAATATGCCAGCTACACAGTAGGTGCTCAGTAAGTGTTTGGGCCCAGAACCTTCCTATGGGAAAGGCACTTCACTTTCTGAACATGGCCTGGCACTGTCCAGATGCCCTTCTGTCCTGTGTGGTCCCGGGCAGGGGCATCTCCCCTTCTCCTGCAGGACCACTCTGAACCCTAACTTGATGGCAGCTGCCTGGCGATCTCGTCATCCTCCTGACATGGCCATGTAGCTCCTCAGCTTCCATCATTCCTGAATCTCTGCAAGGTTATGGGGTTGCCTTGCTTCAGAGGGCACAAAAGTGCTTAGCTCTGCTCAGGTTTGCTCTTGGCTGGTGGAGACCTGTGACTGCTCTTCCAATCCCTTGAGCCTTCCTCATGGAGGTTTGCCAAGTCACAGGAGGCACAGTCTGCGATTGATTCCTAATGCCCCTGCTAGGTTTTAACAGCTGGTGAAAACGTCTGCTCATATTTCACCCACGCTCCCCTGGCTGTGGGTTCAAGTCACTGTTGATTTGGTCATTGGGTTACACACACTTGCAGCCTGGGTGGACCTGTATGAGCCTTCCCAGCATCAGCTGCGTTGACCTCTCATGAGGTCACTCCCCTGGGTTTTGAGAGCCACTCCTTGAAAATCATCTTGGAACATGTAAAAACAAATAAACAAACAACAACAACAACAAGTTTGAAAGGGCCCAGGATTCTGCATTTGGAGAACCAAACTGCACTATATTCTGGGCAAGTCACTCCCCTCCTTGGACCTGAGTTATCCCTTTCATAAAATAGAAGAACAGGGATGGATAAGCTTATGGGTCCCTTCTGCACCCAGGCTCTGCCTGATTCTGCTGAACCACAGCTTCAGGGGGGTGGCCAAGAGGTCTTTCTGGTCCCTGCCTGACTGCCTTCATCTATTGCCTTACCTGAGGTCTGAAAACACATTTTTTGGGGCTTCAAAATACAAAAAGATAAAACTGAAAAATCAAAATAGATAAAAGCTTAATTAAATGTCTACATAATGGAATGTTATATAAACATCATTAATTGTTAAGTTTGATGTTCATAAAAATTTTATTACACTTAAAAACAATTTATTCCTTAGAATCACTCACTTCGAAAGGATTTTCAAAAATGTCCAGCGATTGCTAAGGCTTCATAGCCATGAGTTAGTCACAGCCAAACACTTCTAAAAGCAAAATCATTAAAACCTCTTTTAAACATACTACAGCAAATAATAACAATAATAATTAATGTGAAATGTGGGTGACTTTCAGTATGTTTGATAAAATGTGGGGTGAAATCTCCAAAAGGAAGAGTGTTCAGGGTCTTTGAAAGTCTTAGGATTGCTCTAGAACCAGAGTATAGAATATGCACTCATATTTATAAATCACTTACTCTGTGCCAGCCTCTTGTGAAGCCTTTGCCATGCATTAACTCACTTAATTGGTGAGACAATTCTTGAGGTAGTTACAATTACCATTCCTATTCTACTGATGAGGAAACTAACTCGGAACAAGTAAGTGGCACAGCTAGAATGGAAAACCAATGGTGCCAGGGCTCATGCTCTTAGCCACCTTACCATATACAATGCTTGCCATCCCAGGTGTCTCCCGAGGAGAAAACAAGTGCTGGCAGGTTGAGAAGGGAGGGAGGTGCATGTCCCTAATGAGGAGTTCACTTTATGCTGCATTAAATGGAACCCATTCCTTGCTGGCTCTACCACTACTTGCTACCTCCTCTGTGAACTCTTCTGCCCACAGAGGTCTCCTCTGTAGCTGACTCTCAGCCTCGTCTAATGCTATTAATAATGCAAATAATAATAATGCAAAGCTGATGTTATTGACAGCTCCATCAGCATTTTATACAGGACTTAATCTCATTCAATCCCCAAGACCTCCATTTCATAAACAAGGGAATTGCGGGTTTAGAGATCTGAAACAATTTGCCCACAGTCACATAACTCTCAGAAATAGAGGAAGCTAGGACTGACTCACACTCCAGTCTTATTCTAAAGCCCAAACTCTCTCTCTCTCTTTTTTTTTTTTTTTTGAGATAGAGTCTTGCTCTGTCACCCAGGCTGGAGTATAATGGTGTAATCTCGGCTTACTGCAACCTCCGCCTCCTGGGTTCAAGTGATTCTCCTGCCTCAGCCTCCTGAGTAGCTGGGATTACAGGCACCCACCACCACACCCAGCCACACCCAGCTAATTTTTTGTATTTTTAGTAGAGACAGGGTTTCGCCATGTTGGCCAGGCTGGTCTTGAACTCCTGACCTTGTGATCCGCCCACCTCAGCCTCCCAAAGTGCTGGGATTACAGGTATGAGCCACCGTGCCTGGCCCCAAATTCTCTTTTAATTAGAAAGATATACATATTGTTTAAACAATTCAATAAATAAGTATATTGAATAACAAAGTGAAGCCTTCCCTTTACCACAATCAACCTACTGTTTTCTCCCTATCTGAGGCTCTCTTCCTATGTTCCACTGTCCCAGACTTCTGCAAAGTATTTATGTATCTATCTAGGTATCTGTCCATCTTTCCATTCATTTCTCACTTATGTATTCTGGTGGCTTCACTCTCCATGTGGCAACTCTGTACCCTGGATTGAAACGGCATCAAACGAAGCTTGGAACAATGACAACCCCTACCTGAGATGTCTCCATTCCAGGGGCAAGGCTGGCTGGAGCATGATATCCACGGGATTAGGAAAAGCAGGTGGGGTGCTGTGCATCCCTTCTATTCCAGAGCTCTTAGCAGGGATTCTGTGGCTAACATGTCAGTTGTATTGACTCCTGTACAGTCTCATGTGCTGAAGTGCCACACTACCTTCTCAGCCTGGGAGGTTTCTGGGCTCAGCTGGCTCAGATCCCATGTGTGGGGAGCATTAAGAAAAACAGGTCACCTGCATAAGACCAGCGGCAAAAATCTGACTCAGTGCTACTTCTCTGTTTGTCCTTTACTTAAAGGGGAGCCATAATTAAAATGATCCAGGAAAGAGAACCAAGCAGGAGATTGAGTTACTTGGAGAAAGGACCATGCTGCATTGATTTTTACATACCCAATGCCAGCAGTGCATCAGGTACACAACAAGTTCTCAATAAATTGTTATACGGACGAGTTGATAGAATAAAAAACAGGTCTCTTCCCAGTGCTGCATGCAAAAAAGCTCGGTTAGAGTGAATTCTTATTTGCAAAGATGAGAGATTTTTAGTCTTCTGATGGCTTTTTCCTCCTTTCTGTTTTCTTAGTCACAGTTCAGGGGCAAAGAAAAGCTTCTATCTCTCTGAAATGGTAGGAGAAACCCTTGGGGCTTAGGTAACAAATCACAAGGATCTCTCTTTCACATGTTGTGAGAATAGAAATATTTAACCATCAGCACCAACAATGTCATTTGTATAAAAGGGAGTGACTTCCTGGCTGAGAGATGGTCAGAATAACATAGAGCCTAGGAGTCAAGGTAGTGAAGTTTGTGAGCCTGGGGCTCTGGTTCTGGTGTCTGCTTCTTGGCTGTGTGATCTTGGGCAAGTTTCCTAAATTTTCAGCTTCTCAGTTTTGTCATCCATAAAATGATGATAATAATAGTACCTGCCTTAAATAGTGTGTGGAAGAGGCTTAAACAAGCTAATATAAGTCAAAACTTGAGCACAATCCTTGGTGTAGCTATACATATGTTTGTGTATATAACAGAAGCTCAAAATTATACCATTATTATTAATAACATACTCTGGACCCTCATCATAATGCTATTCTCAATATCCAAACATTTGATTTCTATTGATAACTATCTGTTGAATGAATGGGTGCACTGGTCTGATCAGGGTGTGATCCAAGGCAGGTGTCCATGTCTTCCAACTCTGAACCTCCAGAATGGAGCAGGCAGCACACAGCAGGCTCTGAGTGAATTAGCCAAGAATTTCTAAGCCAGAAGACTATGTGGGGAAGGGGCAGATATCTTCTGCAATGGTATCCAGAAGATCTGGATTCAAGCCCTGACTCCACCATGTGTTGTGTTATTTGGAAGCATTAAGAATCCTCTGTCTGGGGCCACATATGCAGCATCAGAAGGAATGTCCGTGAAACAAACAAGAGGACCAAAGAAGATAAGCTGGGAGAATCCCTGAGACTGTCCACACTAGGGAAGGTAAAGCCCAAAGTCTTCCCACATTTGATAAAGGAATGAGTATAAGAACCATTCCCCTTTTCTCTTGCCCTGACTCTATCCCTGCAAGAGTGAGAATGACAGAGCAGCCAGGGAGGGAAAGGGTTGGTGGGGACCGTGTCCCAGATAAGGCAGGCAGGTCTCATCAGCTCCAGCCAATCACTGTGGTGTGGGAATGCAGGACCGGTGACGCTGGCTAATCTGACTTCGGAGCAGCTGGAAATCTAAATGTTTACATTCAACCGCCCAATTTTATATAGTCTCATCAAATTCAAATTAATTTTATAATTTTGAGTGAGCCAACATCATGAAGACCAGTCAAAACATCACAGGCCACATCTGCCCCGTGGGCTGCCAGTGTTTGGCTCAGCCTCAGTAAGAACCTGCAGCCCAGACTGTGAGAGGAGGCTGCTGAAGCTGGTGGTTCATCACATAGAGCTGGGGACAGAATCTGGTCCTGATACACCCGAATCTTAAGAGATCAAATGATGCTGTGAAAGAATGTGGCTGTTACCAGGAATAACGACAAAATTCCCAGAGGAACACAACATTGGACAAAATACTTCATAGGGGAAAAGAGTACACCTGAGGCCTCCTGTCACATAGAAAATCTGTAGCATGATCCAGGTGCAAGAACTAAAACCAAAAGAGAAACTGACACAACCCCCAGAGAATGACTTCTTTGCTACAAGAGAGGGGCCATGTTGTGTGGCCCAAAACTCAAGCCTCTCAACCCTGGTTCACACAGTGATCTCCACTTCTGTTTACCTAGGTTTGTCTTGAGAAAGCTTCTGTTGTTTGAAAGTCCAAAAAGACTGTTATGCTGAGATAATACTACTGTTTTTTGAGTGCTTAGTAAATGCTAGACACTAAGCGCTTTGCATATATCAATGCTCTTAATCCTAAAACAACCCTATGAGGAAGGTCTGCTTGTTCTCTTATGAGGAAAGTGAGGCTCAGAAAGGTTAATAACTTTCTCTAGGGGCATGGAGCTAGAGCTGGGGTTTGAATCTGACAGGCTGGCTCCAGTGACCAAGCTTCCAACCACCTTCCACGATGGCTCCTGTCTCATCTCATGATAGTAGAACAGAAAGAGGGAGAGAAAGGCCACCACCATCTACTGAGAATGGTGCCAGATGGGCTTGAACATGCTTCAGAAGAGATGGCACTGGATCCCTCAGTGGGAAGCATCTGTGATCCCCTCAAACGCAGAACCCTCCTTCATTGCGAGGTTGTGTTTTTCTGGTAAATGTGAATCCTGCCAGAGGATAATCTAAGCCAGTATTAACTATAAAAGAAAATCGAGAAAGAAGAGTTACTAACTGATATGAGCACGTATGTATGGTGAAGAGTCTATTTGCATTTGCCACTTCAAAAATGAAACCTCTGGCTCTTCTATCAAAAATTCTTAAATGACAGGGTGACAACCTTCTCAGTTGGCTCCTTTAATTAAATGAATCTGAAATGCTACACCTCTGTGTACACTCAGAAACTCTCCTACTCTGTTCCCTTTTGATCTCTGTAATTTATTTTAAAGATCACATTGAACATGCTATTTACTCTGTGAGCCACAGCCCAAAGAAATCAAATTCTAACCTGATCATGGCATTCCATTTCACATCACCCCCACCATTAAAAAGCTGCTGTGCTCCCCCGCCTCTGGGTACCAACGCCTCCAAATTCAGTCTCCATTCAGTATGGAGTTCCAGGCTCCAGCTACTTTTACAAGTTATTTCTCACTTTTCATTGATTCCTTCTTCCCTTCAGCCAAACTGGGCTAATGGGCTATCTCCTTCAAGAAAAATCTCAAAAGCCATCCCTTCAGGCAGCCCCAGGAACATGGAATGGGATCTCTCCTCTCATGGGCCTCCATGAGGCTTCCCAGGTGCCTCTATTTACAGTTCTGTCCACATTATTATGATCTCCCTCCTGGGAAGTAAAGAACAGGAGGGCAAGGATTGTATCTTCAATGGATCCCTACCACATTCTGCACATAGTAGTCGTGCAGCAAATGCTTGTGGAGTTGAATTGATAATCAGGAAACTGATTCATAAATGGAACAGTCTTCGACTTTTGCATGAATATTCAAAAAGATGCCAAGGAAATTCGAATACAGGGCTATACACTTTTATCCACATGCTCTGCTTTTCCTTTAATAATCATCCTTCATATCAGGGAACGTGGTGATTCTAAGGTTGGGAGGACATGCAGAGGCTTCTATTGCACCTTTGTAACTGGATGCATATAAAAAAGTATAGGATATTCTTGTAATTTGATAATTTCACAAATGCTTGTTATGCTTGCCCTTATGCCAAACAGTATGTTCACTACTGAGGAGGCAGGGACGAATGACCAGGTGCCAGTCACTGGGGAGCTGAAGAAAAAAAAAAGAGACAAACCATCCTGAGGAACTGGCCCTGAGTGGGTGTCAGAAAGTAGTTGTGAGCCAGGTGTAGTGGCACACATCTATAATCCCAGCTGGTTGGGAGGCTGAGGTGGGAGAATCGCTTAGTCCATAAGTTCCAGACTGCAGTGAGCCATAATCACACCACTGCACTCCAGCCTGGGGAACAGAGCAAGACCCTGTCTCTAAAAAAAAAAAAAAAAATTAATTGTGGAAGGAAGGAATAAGAAAGGAGAGAAGGGAAGGAGGGAGGGATAAAGAGAGATCTATGAAAATCTATAAATGTATATGTGTTTCTATGTGTGTGTAGGTAGATGATAGTCAGATATACAGATAGAGAGAGAGAGAGATGTAGGGGATGGATGAATGAATGAGTGGACAGAGAAAGGGAGGGATGGATGAATGGGTATGAAAAAACAGAGAAAGGTGCAAATAATCATTCTCCCCCTACCCATCTCTTTCTGTCATTACTGTGTTTTATCTTTTTCATAACACTTATGTGTATTTGTTTACCTTTTTTTAAAAAACGTTCTGAATCCCTCTACTAAAATATAAGCTCTGTGAGAGCAGGGCCTTCATCTGCACTGTTCCCCACAGTATCTTCAGAGCCTAGGTCACAGCAGACAAATAACTATTTGTCAAGTGAATGAATGAAGAGAAGAGGTTGGATGAAATTTTCACACCTAGAATTTAAGCTTAGAAGTGAAGAGGGTGTGTACCGAATGGTGGCCTGGCTCTTCTCTCGGTGCCTTACAAGATGAGCTCTCTGGGTCTCCTGAAGGTAGGATCAGCCCCAGAGGAAAGGCCTGAGAGGAATAAGAATGACAAATCCTGACCCTGCTTCTGGCAATTGCAAGGACCCCTGGGTGAAGCTTTGCAGAACGCAGCGGCACTGCACGGTGTGACATTTACTTTTTATTTATGGAATGCCTGTATGCTCATGCTCACCCAGCAGGCACCATGTATGCTGTAGGTATTTATGCTGTATGTATTTATGTATGCTCATGCTCACCCAGCAGGCACCATGACAGTGAAGGATCTGGTCCTGCTCCTCCCCTCTAGGTAACAGGTAATTTGAAGAACAATACATGCATGCTGACAGCCCGCCATTCCCTTCACCCTAAAGCAGGTTTGCACTTACTGTTAAGATTTTTACATTTTTGGGGATATTCATTTTCATTTTTGGAGGGAGAGGAATAAGAAATAATGAGACAAAAAAGCATCAGCTTAATGTGGAGGGTCAGAAAGGCCCAGATGCCAGGGCAGATGCCCTGAACCCTCACTCGGTCAATCTGATATTAGTTGCGTGGCCCTGGGCAGGAAGCTTCACCTCTCTGAGCCTGTGCTTTCACCATCTGTAAAACAGGGCTAATGAAGTCTACCTTGGAGGGTTGGGATCAGAATAATGGATGAGAAAGCATGCAGCCCAGTGCCTGGCACTCAGCCTAGGCACCATCAACAAATGCCAGGTCCCTCCTCATTCCCCTTGGAAAATGTTCTGTCCTATTCCAAGACCCATCTCCTCTTCACAATCTTGGAACATTTTGTTAATACATTCAAGTGAGTTTGCAGTGACTGTATAATGTACAGGTTAAGAGTACAGCTTCCCCTATCAGACTGCTTGAGTTCATATCACAGCTCTATCACTGATTAAGTGTGTGACCTTGGAAGTTTGCACAATCTCTTTGAACTTAAGTTTCCAAAATGGTAACAGGGAGTCATAGTGTTGTGTAAAGATAAACGTATGTTGCAGGTTAGGCATTGAGAACAGTTCCAGATACATTGTAAACTCACTCCAGCATGGGTATACTCAGCGCTCCTCTCCAAACCCCCTGGCCTTCATTCCATTCCTCCCATATGGCAAAACTCCATCCTGACTCAGGGCCTTGCCCACGCTCTTCCCTCTGCCTGGAACACTGTCTCCCCAGATCTTTGCATAGCTGGCTCCATCTCGATATTCAGGTCCAGCCTAAAGGCCCTTTCCATGTCACTGCCCACCCAGTTTCAAGTAGTCTCCCTCAGCCCCACGTCACTCTCAATGACAGGATCCTACTGTGTGACTTTCAGATTGCCTATCGCTGTGTGAAATTATTTTTCTATTAGGTTTGTTTATTGTCTGTCCCCACCCCATTAGAACGTAGCTCCAGGAGACTAGGAACTGGCCTATCTTATTCCTTGAAACAGTGGCTGATACACAATGAGTCCTCAGTAGACTGGTGGAATGAAAAAGTGAATGAATGAATGAATGAATGAATGGATGAGTGACTATGCCAGATCCCCCAGTTCTTTGCAGTGTTTTGCTGGAATTCTGCCCACCTAATGCCCAACACAGGAGCTGGGGTAAAGATCAATTTCCAAAACACTCCTGCCCTTTCCTCCCAATATGAAAACCAGCTAAGAACACACATGAAGAAACATAAAGGTAGCTCCTGGAAGAGCCTTCTTGGACTTCCTGTGACTCGTCCCCCTCAGTCGCCCAGTTAGAGAGCAAACACACCACTTCCCTCAGATGCCTGCCTCCGGATACCCCTGGCTGGGCTGGATGTGGGGGGCTGGAACACTGCTTTCTTCACTGTGGCAGTCCAGAATAATCCTACAGGGCTGGAGGCTTGGCCTTCTCTTCAAGTGACTGGGAGCTTGAGGCCCCTCCTCTGTCAAGGGCAGGGAGACTGTTAGATCACTCCTTCCTCATATTTGCTGTGCTGAGATGGCCTGCCAGAGTGAACTGGGGCTTCCTGGGTAAACACAGCTTTGGCTCTGAGGAGCTTTGCTCAGCTGATGGTCTGTGAATGGATGCAAGGAAGCAGGGAGGAGGGGATGGCACCGGGGTGTTGCACCAGGGCTGGAGCCTGCCTGGCCTGCTCATGTGGCTTCCTGGAGCCAGCAGTGTGGGGGATGCTCGCTTTTCTGGAAAAGAGCCACATCAATATTCTGGGAGACTCTTATGCAAATAAGGACGAGTCAAGAAAAATCAGGCTGCACAAAGGACGGAGGCCGTGGGCGAATCCAAACAATAAGCAAAAGCCAGAGGTGCTGGCTGCTGAAGAAAAGCCTTGGGGGCCGAGAGAACCAGAGGCAAGTGTTCTGCAGGCTGAAAGAATGATTTTTAAGCGGGAGGAGCACATCCAGCCTCCGTTCTACTCCTTCCTAGTACCCGTGTGAAGAGGCCACTGCAGATGCAGCTCAGCCAGTTAGTAGCTGTGAGCTCTGGGCAACAGACTTCACTTCTCTGAGCCCTGATTTTCTCACCTTCGAAATGAGCACAATACTATCTCCCTAATTAAAAAAGAACGCCTGGGAAGATTGCATGAGACAACACATACAAAGTGTTTGGCACTGTGCCAGGCACGAAGTAACAGCTCAATTAATAACACTTGTTAGCATTTCTGTTGAGTTTATTCTCACTGATTTTTCACTCTGAGACCCAAAGAGTTCAAATTTGTTCCAGTCTCTCCCCTTGAGCTCTCTGCCCAAAATTATATATGTCTTCTAACTAGAGGAGAGAAGAGAACTACCACTCGGTATATGCCTGCTAAGGCGTTAGTATGGTATTATTGACCCGTTGTATGAATGATAACACAGTCCTGGAGAGGTTGCATGACTTTCCCAAGCTCATACAGCTGCAGCACAACCAGCCTGTCTGCTTTTAACCCACACCTTTTTAACCATGTCAGAGGATTCTTCTGGGGCCAAGAGAAAGAAAATGAAACCACAGTCGGTTCCCTAATCTGAGAATTGAGGGTCCCTGTGAATGCTCTTTTGTCCTGGTCATGCTAAGAAGACACCTCTGAAGTTGTAGTCAGGATTTAAATCCTCCTAGAGGTATTTGCCAGCCATTCTCAGGTTGGATAGACCCCAGAGAGGATTTCTGAAGGGAGAAAGAAGTTAGAACATGTAGCAGACAAGAGACAGGGCAAGGAAACAAGATGTCTGGAAAATGAAGCATTCTGAGCAACTGGAGCCCACAAGGCAGATGGAGGAGGAAGGCTGTTCCCATGGTCAGAAACCGTTCAGCTTTCCGATCATCACAGACAACAGCACAAGGTGCTTCTAGAGCTCTCCAGAAAGGGCAAGCAAGGTTCCTAGCACTGGTGAGAGCCACCACATGTTCAGCTGTTTACAGCATCCCAGATGCTTTTCATTAACCTGTTTGCTCCCAATCATTGTGAAGTGGGGATTGTCCCCATTTCTCAGATGAGGAAACCAAGGCACAGAGGTATTAAAATGCTCTCCCAAGGTCACTCCATAAGGGATGGCTGGGATTCCACTGAGGACGGGGGAGTTTCAAAGCCTCCCTGGTATTCACTGCACAGGCCTGGCTGCTCTCCCTCCCTCCCTTTCCAAATCTCCTGCCTCCTTCAGCATCTCTCCAGAGTCACGGCTGGCTCCTTGCAACTGGGGCTGGAGAAGGCCACGGCTGCCACGTTCTATTTTTGATAATCCTTCCTGTTTGGTAGAACATGCCTCTGCCTGCCTTGAAGGACCTGCCAGCTTTGTTCTGAGGTGCCGGCCACACTGCCGTCATCACCTTTCAGACACCTCTGTGCATGGGCAGGTCACAGGAAATAGAATATCAGGGAGTTGGGGCTCACCAGCTCTCAGTTACATAAATCCAGGGCACTCAAAGGCAGGGCCTTTGGTGTGGCAGCTCACGCCCCTGAGCCTCAATTTCTCCATCCATAAAATCAGTCCTCAAAGGGAGCCATGGTTAGTGTTAAATGACATAATCCAGGTAAAGTGCTTACCCCGGTCCTGGCACATGGTCAGCACTTTATAAATACTAATTCTTAGTCCACAGACCTGGAGAATTATAGAGTCACACCATGCTATTAGCCCACTCTTACCACTTTACAGAGACAATAAGAAAGCAAAGTGGCTTTTCTAAATTTTCCCACTGAATTAAGTGGCAAAGATGACATTAGAAGCAGTTCCCTTCATTTTCCAGTGCTCATCCCTTACCATGGGGTAAGGATTCTCAAACTTAATGAGCGTCAGAGTCACCTTGGGGGCTGGCTAAAACACAGGTCCCTGGACCCTACCGTCAACTGTTCTGAATCAGTAGGCCTGGGAAGGGCCTGAGAATGTGCATTTCTAACAAGCTCCCAGGTGATGCTGATTCCACTGATCCCAGGACCACACCTTGAGAACCACTGCCCCCAGATCTGCAAACTCTAATGCCTGATGAGGCCAGGCAGATAAATTAATATAATAGACAAGCCAGGAGGTGAGGGTAACCAAATAGCATGTGTAATCTTGTGAAAACGGCAACTCTCCATCAACGTGGGATGGACTTGTATGGGAATGTGGGACCTTCTGTTTTCTCAAGAGAGGCCCTAAAATCTTTTTATGTGAAAACTCCTAGAGTTTAAATGTTAGAAAGGATTCACATTTTTTAAAAGTCTGGGCCATATTCCTGTGTAGAATATGGCCCGCGGGCCACAGGTCCAGGACCTAAGTATTGCCTGTCCACAGGGCCTGGATCTCAGGGTGGGATCAACCTTTAGACAGCTACTGCTTATTCCTCAAGATAAATCCAACCCAGAATCCTGGGTTTTCTTCAAAGGAAATGTACCAATGAATATTTTAAAACCTATTCATCCAATTCAAATTCCTGAAGCATGCTCCAAAGCTGAAACTCAACTTCACACGGGTACTTTAGGAAGCAGAGACATTGATGGCCTGGGTGTGGGGAAAACTCAATGATATTTCCATTGAATGGAATAGAGAAGCTGCAGAGCGTTCCAAAGACCTGCAGGTTCCTCCAGCCCAGCCCAACACATTCCTATACTTATTCCTCTTTTTTAGCTATTGATATCAACAACCATGTTTGTCCCACGCATACGATTTGCCAGGTGTTTTACATAGAGTCTCTCATTTAATCCTAATGACATTGTGAAGGGATTATTGTCATTCTTTATTTCAGCTGAGTAAGAAAATCTGAGTTCAGAGGCGAGCACACACAGTGGTCAAGGCTGAAAGGAAGAGTTCAGACCAAGCCTTGGAAGCAACAAAGACTGAGGTTCCTGACAGTTAACCTTTGAGCAGGCTAGTTGGTGATCTCTGTTTCCTGAACCCTCGTGGTCTCTCCGACCAATGTGGAGGGCAGGAGCTGTGTCCTCTATTTCTCTGTACTGCTTGCAGGGCCAAGGCCAACTCCAGACCGCCCTGCATCCTCAACTCATAAGAGCTGCTTCCAGCAGAGCCAGCACCATCTTGGTGAAAAATTCCTCCTCCTCACAATGGAGGGAACTTGGGAGGGAAAATTACAATTTTCTGTAAAATATGGAAATAGATCCTTGCAAATGAGTTCAAATTTATGATAATTTCCCAATACCTCAAGACAACCCACTTGAACATCTGTGTGGCTCATGGACGAGTGCATGAACTGTTGCTAATCAGAAATGAATTGTGTCAGCTCCACAAACTTGTGTTTCTGGGCATCTTTACATATTTCTCCTCCTACCCAGTCTCCCTCTAAGTTAATTAGACCATGGGAGAGGCATGGATCCACTTCATGATTCAGAGAAGTCAGAAGTCATTGCAGAGAGAGAATAGACCAAGGAAGATAATATTTTTATTGCCTTGACAGTTGATTTTTAAACTCCCTTCTCCATCACCCATACACACACTGCCATAAATAAGATATGCTACAGACTTTCTCAGGTGTCAACATCTTAATGAGAGAATCTGCTTCCTGATACCTTGGAAAAGGTCAATAAAGAAAAAAGAAATTAGAGACAGGCCCACATCCTTCTCATGTCGAACTGTTTTCGTTCAGGCTAACGACAGCAGTGGAATTGTTATTTTGCAACTACAGAACAGATGTGAAACTGAAATGATATAATACAGTTTTACTTCTGAATGGTGTGTGTTTTTTAAATTGGGAGAAAGGATGGGACTTGACATTTATAGGTGACAGAGTTCCTGATGCAGCGTGACCCTGCTGTTAACGCAAACCAAAATTGGCAGCCCCAGGGAAGTGGGGTTCTATTCTGGAGGGGAATGCCCCTGTCCCATCCCTGCAATGCAAGAAAGCGTGTGGTATTCGATGTCTGCTGGTTCCCTAGGGCCACTCTTGCTCCATCCAGTTTGTTTTCCACATAACAGTCAGCGTGATCTTTTCCAGTTCCAATAAAATCATGCCATACCCTGCTGGAGGAGCCGTCACGGTCCCCACAGCTCTTAGTTTAATCAAGTCCAGATTCCTTAAGATGGCCAAAGTTCTGCCAGATTTGGTTCTTCTTTCCATCACTGTGCAGCCCACCTCTTGCACTCTCCTTTCTAGCCCACAGGCCTTCCAACAGACACTTGCCCTGGTTCCATGGGGCCTTTGCACCTGCAGTAACCTGTGCCTACACCACTCCCACTCCACCTGCCCTCTGCCTTCAGACAGAAGCCTCTCTAACCAGCCTGACCAACTCAGTCTCTACTAAAAATACAAAATTAGCTGGGCCTGGGGGCACAGGCCTGTAATCCCAGCTACTTGGGCGGCTGAGACAGGAGAATTGCTTGAACCCAGGAGGCAGAGGTTGTAGTGAGCCGAGATTATCCATTGCATTCCAGCCTGGGCAACAAGAGCAAAACTCCACATCAAAAAATAATAATAACAATAAATAAATAAATTTAAAAAGCACCTTTCTGGAGCTCACAGACAAGGGATCCTTGTTATCTGCTCTCCCGACACCCTGTGCTTTCCCTTCGGGGCGCGGCTTCAGTTTGTGAGATTAAAGACTCAGCGTGGGTGACTGGATTAATATCTGCCTACCCCACTGAAGCACACTTCATGAGGGCAGGCTTTCTGTCTGTTTTTCTCACCTCTGTTTATCTAAGAATTAGTATGGAACAGGGTCTCTCAGCCATGGCACTATCGGCATTCTATTAGACAATTCTTGCTCACTGTATGATTAGCAGCAGCATTCCTGGCCTTACCCACTAGATCTGGGGTCCCCAACACCTGGACCATGAACTGGTACCAGTCTGTGGCCAGGTAGGAACCGAGCTGCACAGCAGGAAGTGAGTGGCAGGTGAGTGGGTGAAGCTTTATCTGTATTTACAGCTGCTCCCCATCACTCACATTACTGCCTGAGCTCCCCCTCCTGTCAGATCAGTGGTGGGATTAGATTCTCACAGAAGCACAAACCCTATTGTGAACTGTGCATGTGAGGGATCTAAGTTGCGTGCTCCTTATGAGAATCTAATGCCTAATGATCTGTCACTGTTTCCCATCACCCTCAGAGGGGACTGTCTAGTTGCAGAAAAACAAGCTCAGGGTTCCCATTGATTCTACATTAAGGTGAGTTGTATAATTATTTCATTATAAATTAAAATATAATACTAATAGAAATAAAGTGCACAATAAATGTAATGTGCTTGAATCCTCCTCCCGGTCTGTGGAAAAATTGTCTTCCACGAAACTGGTCCCTGGTGCCAAAAAGGTTGGAGACCATTGCATTAGATGCCAATAGCAATACTCAAGGTGTGAAAAACAAAAATGCCTCCAGACACTGCTAAATGTCTGCTGAGAGACAAAATTGCCCCTGGTTGAGAGTGATCAGAGTCTGGCACACAGCTGGCACTCCATAAAGACCACCAACTTCTCAGCACAGTTCTACCTTCATTGTTAAAGCAGCAGGTCCCTTCTAAAGATCTGTAGAATACACACACAGAAAACTGTGGAAGAAGGCGCTACTTCAATAGACGGAGGGGACCATGGGACCCTAATCACCCCTCTCCCCACCCACAGCCGTCACCAGGGCTCTAGATGACACAGTGAGAAAACTCCCTGGGGAATGGGAGGTGTTGGGGTTTGGAGGTAAGATCTGAAAGATGACTCTGCCTCTTCATAGCCAACTATCCTTAAGCAAGACACTTAAACACTCAGAATCTCTGTTTTTCCACATATAAAATGGGAAATGATCAACTCTTGTGGTAAGAAATTAATGAGCTGAAGAGGGCAAAGTACCTTATTCAGTGCCTGACACAGAGAAGGAGCTAACTCTAGGTTGACTTTTTTTACCTTTCTTATATTTTTTAGGGACCTTAATATAGAGCTGAGTTCCTTATAAGAACTTTAAGTATATTAATTTTATATGAAAACATATATATACATGCATAATGACGTCTCAGTCAATGACGGAATGGAGCTGAAAAATTCCTACCTCCTAGTGGCATCGCACCCATCCTAATGTCATAACACAATGCATCACTCACCTATTTGTAAACTAACATACTGTGCTGCCCGTCATATAAAAGTACAGCACACACAATTACATACAGCACATAATTGACAATAATAATAAACGACTGTTACTGGTTTATGTATTTACTATATCATATTTTTTATCACAGTCTAGAGTGTATTCCTTCTACTAATAAAAATTAACTATAAAACAGCCTCAGGCAGGTCCTTCAGGACATATTCCAGAAGAAGGCATTGTTATAGGAGGTGACAAATTCATGAATGTTATTGTCCCTGAAGACCTTCAATGAGACCAGATGTGGAGGTGGAAGACAGTGATAGGGAGGGTCCTGACCCTGTGTAGACCTAGGCTCCTGTGTGTGTTTGTGTCTTAGTTTTTAACAAAAGAGCTTAAAAAGTTTAAAAAAAAAAAAAAGGCCGGGCACAGTGGCTCACGCCTGTAATCCCAGCACTTTGGGAGGCTGAGGTGGGCGGATCACGAGGTCAGGAGATCAAGACCATCCTGGCTAATGCGGTGAAACCCCGTCTCTACTAAAAATACAAAAAAATTAGCAGGGCGTGGTGGTGCATGCCTGTAGTCCCAGCTACTCCCGAGGCTAAGGTAGGAGAATGGCGTGAACCCAGGAGGCGGAGCTTGCAGTGAGCCGAGATCACGCCACTGTACTCCAGCCTGGGCGACAGAGCAAGACTCCATTTCAAAAAAAAAAAGAAAAGAAAAAAAAGAAAGAAAAATGCTTGTAGAATAAGGATATGAAGAAAGAAAATATTTTTGCACAGTTATACAATATTTGTGTTTTAAGCTAAGCGTTATTACAAAAGAGTAAAAAGTTAAAAAATGAAAAGTTTGTAAAGTTACACTCTGCTATGGTTAATTTTCTACTGATGAAGAAAAAATATTTTTAATAAATGTAGCATAGCCTAAGTGTACAGTGTTGATAGTCTACAGTAGTGTACAGTAACCATCCTAAGCCTTCACATTTACTCACCACTTACTCACTGATTCACTCAGAGCAACTTCCAAGCTCCATTCATGGCAAGTGTCCTGTACAGGTGGACCATTTTTTATTTCATACCATATTTTTGGCATGCTTTTTCTATGTTTAGAAAAACACATTACATTTACCAATGTGTTCTAATTGCCTACAGTATTCGGGAGAGTAACATGCTATACAGGTTTACAGCGTAGGAGCAATAGGCTCTACCTTATAGCCTAGGTAGTAGGTAGGCTCTCATCTAGCTTCGTGTGAGTACACTCTGATGTTCACACAATGAGAAAATTGCCTAATGATGCATTTCTCTTAACATATCCCCATCCTTAAGTGATGTGTGACTGTGTTTGGACACGGACATCCCAGGAAGAACACATTTACTTTTGTGCTAAAAAAAAAAAAAAGAAGAAAGAAAAAGAAAGATTTCTTTAAGGTGGCAGCTGTGCGGTAGCTGTAAACTTTTCTTGAATAGACTGCAAGCTTTAGAGAGGCAGGGAGCATTTTGTCTTGCAAGTATAACCTCCATGGCTGGTGCATGTTAGGCACACAATAGATGTGTACTGAATAAATGAATATGTGGCTCTTTCAAAACTTAATGGCTCCCAGGATTTCTGAGTTTTTACTGGCCTGAGTTTTCACTATCTGTCTGGCCATACCTGGGGGTGATGTCCACCTCCTGTTACACTGCAAAGGCCTGGAGAGGATGTGAAAGACAAAGAAGGGAGGCTGGAAAGGCAGAATGGAGAAAGGGACCCACCACTCACGTGAGAGAAGAAATATTTGATTTCAGTGTTGTCAGTGACCAATAGAATGATCCATGCCTTTAGGTCTAGGGTCCAGGGACAATGAGGACCCTCAGGACCTTCCCTTGAGCAGCTTGCCAGCCAGGAGAGCAGTTACTACTGGGCAAAAGTGTTACTAAATGAGAATTTAGAAGAATAGACAAAATAATAATAAATACTCTTTATCCATTTGTAAAATTAAAATAATTATATCTCCCTCATAGGTTGTTATGGGATTAAACAAGTTAATATAGATAAAGAACTGAGCACAGAGTCTAGAACATATAAGTACTCAATATATGTTCCTATTATCATTGCTTTTACTAATCTCATTAGCCTTTTATTGAACACTTACTATGTGCCAAGCACAGATAAGCGTGCAGCATCTTACCTAATTCTCACAGTCTCAGGAGATAGTCTTTGTATCATCCCTATTTTACACTTAAGAAAATCATAGGCCAGGGATGTGGGAAGTATCTATTCAAGGTTGCACACCCAGGGAACCATAGATCCAAGGTGCAGCCCAAGTCTACGGGTTGGCAAACTTGTTCTCAAAGGGTCAGATTTTTTTCTTAAAGGGCCAGATAATAAATGTTGAAGGCTTTTCAAGCCATAAGGTCTCTGTCACCACTACTCAACTCCTCAAATTTTTGATGGTGGTTTGAAAGCAGCTCTGGACAACTATACAAAGAAATAAGCATATCTGTGCCGCAGTAAAACTTTATTTACAAAAACAGGCAGCTGGCTGGAAGTTTGTTGAAGGAGTCACCTACCAATTACTCTGCCCAGAAACTGGTCAGCCCCTCCCTCCTCACCAAATACCCAGCCTCTCCTCCACAGTGTTCAAGCTACCATTTTTGCAAAGCAGTGGCAGGAGAGGTGGTGGGAAACCCAGTCTGGGATTGAGAAGCTTTGTTTGATTTTTCTGTAAGTATGTTTGAATTATTAAGTGTCTGGCTCATTAAGTGAAGGGTGTCGTTATAATTCTATCACAAGAGACAAAATTGTTATTTAAATTGAGTTTTGTCAATTTAGCTAATTTACTAAGTGGGCATTGCCACGTCTTAATTAGTATCCTCTGATCAGAGATTATTCATGAGGACAGTGCAGTGTTGGTGCACCAAATCTATATAGGCTGGAGCGCGCCCCCCAGGAGGAGGTTTTTGCTCTCTGGGGAATGCTAGATTCTGTAATGGATCAGTAGCCACACTGGTTTCTCCAGTGAAATCCAAGGATCTGCTAATTCATAAAAAAAAAAAAAAAAAAAAAGGAGTCTGAGAATCACCAATGATTCTCCCCAACATGCCCATCGAAATACACACAGGATAGAATAGATGTGTTTATTCATTTTGATTATCTTATAATCAGCTGTTTCCCTCCCTGGGTACTGGATCTGCTATTGACTAGCTGTGATACCTTTGAGAATCACTTCACTTCCTGGATCCTCAGTTTCCTCTCCTAAAATGGCCAGATAAGTTCAGAGTTTGAGGATGAGGAATAACCGTCCTAAAATGTTTTGCCCTAGGAACCCACTGCCCTTGCTGCAGCCTAGCCCCATCTCTGTCGTTGAAGCACGGACATTATCTTGTCTGTAGAACCATGCACGGAAGTGTTATCACGCTTGGGCCTCAAAAATGCCTCTGCTTCTATGGATTAATTCTGTGTGTAGTCAAAATGCAAATATTGTTGATTTTGTTCTCCATCTCCTCAAGGGCAGACAGGTGGTTTTGTTACATTTTCTAACAAGTGGGGAACGATTTTGTTTTTATTGGCAAAAATACTTAGGAAACAGAAACAGACTTCTTTACAGTTGTTCCCCCCACCGCCATGCCACCTCCCCAAGAAAAAATTTATGTTAACTTCCTAAAGGCTGTGTACCTGGCCTTTTATTAGTTGTGGTTAGAGACAGGAAACTGTAACCATTTGAGGATGTAGCTGATAGAGAATGTTGTTTTCTTCCTGCTCTGTGGAGTAAATGCCATTCCTAATTATTATTTATCTGTAGGACTTTTGAGTTATAATGTCTCGTTCTACCAGAAATGTCTGATTTTTTATATTTTTACACAACGCGTTTTTTCTCCTATGAAGTCAGTGTACTGTGCACAACTTGACAAGTTTTAAGACATAATGTAGCAGTTGAAGCTCTAAGCAAAATAGCACAGTGATGAAGGATGACTTCACCGCATCGGCAACGTTCATCACCACCTCACTATGAAGACCTTCATTTCACCGCAAAGTAGGTAGGACGTGATAAAACTCCGACTTCTCCACCAGCATGTCTTGGTGCTGGCTTCTTAATAGTCTCCCAAACCTTGACCTGATATCCGAATGGCTGCTGTCCAGAGGTGGCAGTGGTTTTAGAAATCAGCTCTCAACCCGAACTCCACCATTAAGTTGACAGTTCAGCATGTCAGATTTTGGTGACTTAGCACACAAGAAGAGAAAGAAAGCTAGGGCATTCTAGGCCTCTGCGATGGTTCCATGGGAGCAGAAGGGCGCAAGTGAGATTCAGTTTCCCTACACAGGCATGGGAGATGAGACCTTTTTTTGGTCGAGTTAAAGCTTTGATCTGATAATGTACAAAAGAGAGGATCTTGGCAGTGACTCACAGCAAACAGTGTACAAATTTACTCAGAAACGGCAATGGCATGCTGCTCTGCAGACTGTCTTTATACACAGCTGCTCCCTCCAATTAAGAGGGCTCTCCACAGTGCTGGCCAGTCCTTCTATCCAAATCTTGCCACGCTGTCTTCACTGCTGCTTAGCTTCCTGCCCACGTGGACTCCCTCTCCAGTGCTCTTTCTATTAATTTTCCCGCCTTCCCAAGAATCTTAGATGGCTGCAGTCAGTATGTTGGCTGCTAACGTTTGCATTCTAGCTGATATTGTATCCAGCATAGCACAATCACTTTCTATACTACTTTCTCAGGTCATTGTTGTTTAATCAGAATAAATATCAAGTGTAAGGTGGTTAAAGTTGTTTTGGCAATGTATAATGCTTTATTTACCTATTTGCAGATGACACTACAATCAATTTATCATACAGATAATAATGAAACTAACAATAAGGATTGCATGATAACTAGCATTTACTGAGCACTGATCCCGTGAGCAGCCCTGTGCTAACCCTTGGCAGATACTATCACATTTAATACTCCGTAGCACCCAATCGGTTCAGTCCTATCATCAGCTGCATCCTAGAAAGGAAGGAGACAAGACTTAGCAAGGGGAAGTATCTTGCCCAAGGTCAGACAGCCTGGAAGCAAAGAGCAGGATTTAGATCCAGGTGTGTGTGAATGTAGCGCATACAATTAGGCTGGAAGAAATGTGGGTGCTGATAAGCATTCCATCTCCTAGCATATGTGCATGCACCTCTTACTACAAAACCAGTGTGGTGTGGGCACTGGGGACACCCTGCCCTTGAGGGTTTGTGATTCACGGGCATGCGGATAGGTAAATTAGTGGGAACAACACAGGGTGGTATTGGCTATGATCCACTCCGGGGACAACTACCAAAGTACCTAGGAGGGGAATGCAAATCAGCCCAGGAAATCAGAGAAGTCTTCCCGGGTAAATACAGTAGAAGGGACTCTTCTTGTTCCAAGGAATTCACAATCCAAGTCCACTGTTATTACGTGAACAATAAAGCAAGTGGCATAAGCCCCGCCCCAGTACCTGATTACTGCCAACCCCTAATTGGGAACACTCAACCCCCTGCCTCAGCAGTTCTCAACCCCACAGCTACCTCCCACAGACATGAGGTGTGCTACAAATGTGACCACTGATCAATGAGCAGTATGGATCAAGGGAAGATTGGCATGCTCTGCCCTAAATGCTTAAACCTAACATTAGCAATAGATGCCGGTCCTGCTGAGTGAAGAAAAAGACAAAAAGGCACATGAGGTTCCTAAGTCAGTAGCATTAATGGCGACACCAGTAGTTTGTTCAGGAAGTGCTGCATGTCCCCTGGAGCACGCTCTGTTCATTTCTCTCTGGTTACAGTAAGTCTGGACGCCAGCCACCCCTCATGCATTCCCCACCTCATAAATCTGCATGTTGAAAGAAATCCAAGAAGGGAAGGCAAAGGTTGGCAGCTGCCTGGAAGTCTGAGAAGTGGGTGTCTGACCCCAAAACTGCTTGAAGGCTGATACACACAGGTACTCTCTTAGTGCGGCCAGTAAGGTCCCCTGACTTCTACAGCTGTTACTCCTCACAAGGAAGGAGGCCGAACGAAGGAAGAAAAGGGAAGGAGCTGGACTAAAGATTCATTGTTTCTGAAAAGTGGGCAAATAAGCAGCCTCCTTCCCCAGGTGAATGCAGTATCAATATTAACAACAAAACACAGTTCTGAATTTATTTATGCAGACTCTTGATGCTCAGGATAATGACTGATTTACCAGAAAGAGCTCTTCTATAGCAGCCACTCTCAATCTTTGCCTTCACATTAGAAGGACCTTGGATGCCAGCCCATCTCACAAACTAATGAAATCATATCCTTAGGGGTGGGGCACCGGTATCTGTATTTGATTAGCCCCAGGAGATTGCAATGTGCAGCCAGGGCTGACAGCCACTGTCCTACAGGCTAACCTGATGCACTCCAAGTAGGGGAAGCTACTAGTAAACAGAACCTGATTTCCATGGTGACATATCATTCATCTCCTCTCTCTTTCAGGGTACACCAAAAGGTGAATTATTTAGTTTCTACACCCTTCTCCTTACCCTGTTTCAGGTGAGAGGGTCGGGAGTAAGGGCATCTCTCTTACTTAACGACTGTAGGATAGGTGGAAAGGCAATGATATAATTTTGCCTGCCAATACCTGCCGGAGAAACCATTTCTTTGCAGAGAATGGCAGACAGAGGCAGAGTGTGCTAAGAAGTTAGAAGGGCTTGACGGTGGGAGGAAGAGATAGGCTTTTTTATAGAACTGCTACAGTTTGAGGATGCAGGATTGGTACTAGAATATTCTTGTAGTTATTTTTTTTTATTTGGCCCTGGGAAATTATGATATCACATCTCTTTTTTAAAAAGACAAGGAAGCCACTATTTATTTGTAAACACTATGCATAGGTGAGTGTTTGTATATTTATAGGAAAGGATCAGAGAGGATTCACATTTCCCTTCTAATATAAGTCACTTCTGGAGACTGGAATATAGGGAACAGGGAAAGAGCCTTGGGTTTTCTCCTTACATGTGTTTATAAGGTTTGGATTACTTAAAACAACAAACATACAAATCCAGCCTGGCCCTCACCTTGTGGTCAGTGTCAAGCGTCCCAGGTCTAAAAAACCCAAAACTGACGGCAAAAGCATCAGTGAGGCATGCAGATTGTTCCTGAGGCTCCATGAGGACACCCAGAAGCATGTTCCATCAACTGAGAGATCTCCAAAGCCTCCCTCTCTCTTGCCACATGGCAGCTGCCATCTTCCTTCCCCATTCTCTCCCTACTTCATGTCACCTACCTGCCTTTTCCCCTTTTCTTCCTCAACTACTCTGCAGCGGGTATAGTTCCAACCACTTCCTACCTCTTAGATCCCACTCCATGCAGTCCCTTCATATGAGTGAGTGTCCCCCTCACTCAGTGCTCCTTCCTCATAACAGGGCTCTGTAAACTCAGGGACCCACCCTCCTTACTCTGTGTGTGTGTGCAGGTGATGCTAAAAATCAGATACTCACCGTTGATGTTAATAGGCTTCTGTCACCTCCATCATATGCTCTTACGCCACTTTATCTCACTATATAGCAGTTATCGCCACTGGATGTTGTATCTTCTTTGTTTACTGCATCTGTGCCTAACTCCCCACTAAAATATAAGCATCATGAGGTCAGGACTCTGTTGGGCTTATGGCTGTATTCCTAGCACCTAGAGCAGTTCCTGGCAGGCAGCAGGCTCCAGAGGTATTTGTTGAATACATGAATGAGTGAATGAATGCATGATATTTTCCCTGACCCACAGTGAAGAAAGAGGAACATAGAGAAGGGCAGGCAGGAGGGAAGCAGTTCAGAAGGCTATGATCCCTGGAGGAAGGATTCCTGTTATTTCTGGGGCTAGCTGGGAATTGTCCTCTGGGCCACTTGGCTGTGCTTCCATCTCCTGGAAGCACAGTGCCAGCCACCTTCTCCCATGTGAGCTACTGTGCTAGGAACTTCACCTTCCTCACTTATAACCCTCACCACCATCTCACACAGCAGCATTAGCCCAGTTTCACAGACAAGGAAGCAGGCTCAGAGATCTTGTGTCAGTTTGCCAAAGTCAAACAGCGAATAAGTAACTGAAATGAAATTAAAACCCGAATTGGTCTGACCTCCCACCCCAAAACAACTTTCCACAAAACGATACCACCTCATAAAATAACCACATCTAATTTTATATGCCAGGAACTTAGTGCACTTGGATAGGTGGAAAGAGTTTCTTCAAAGAAGTCTGAGGGTTCAGGCGAACGGGAGAAGTGTTCAATTGCCGAGAGGCGGCAATATCAAGGCAAGCCCTTTGAGAGACGCTGGTGTTTGTGTTCTTCCCACTGACCCACTGTTGGAAGTAAGACCTGTACTTTGATGGCTTTGTCAGCAACTGGGCTGGGTTGAGCCAAGCCTTCCTCACTCTCCTGGTCGTCTTTGGGATGCACATGTATTTGTAAGATGGTTTCCTAGAGCTGGGCTCTGTAGGAAGGTAACTTTCATGACTCAAAATATCCCAGACAATGCTTAATCCTAAGATCAAGGGTGTTAGTAGCATCATTAGTTTGGCCAATGAGTCAACCAGTCAAGCAAAGCCACTTTATCTTTACCTGGAGGAAAACAACTTCCCACAAATCCACTTTTCCTAGCTTAGAAACTCCCCTCTGTCTGGCACACACATGAGTACCTGCCATGGCTGTGCAGGAGCACCTTGTAAAAGGGACTGGCCCATGACATGTGATGAGGATGCTTTTCCTTGGGACAGGTATCCTTTATTGTATTTATGTGTATGGCTAATTTGTTGTGAATGTGAGAAGAAAATGAAGTGCAACCCCCAATGAAGAGCTGAAAGCATAAGAAAAGAAACCAAGAGAGATGGTTTCTCAACAACCTGGAAATGGAGGCTCACCCACAGTGCCTTCCACCCGACTCTCAAAGGGCGAAGATGTAGACTGCAGTGAGAGAAGCAACCCTTCTTGAAATTAATAATTCAAGGTAAAATTACAAAACTTAATTGCTCCCTGTCAGCCGCAGCTCATCCTTGTCTACCGTTATTTTGCACAAATTGATTTGGCAGCCACCACATTCATTTTTAAAGGACTTTCTTATTATCTATAGCCTGTTAATATGTTCATTCTTCACCCTTGTAAGTAATTCCAGGCAGATTTTTACTCATTTACCATGAATGAAGCTCACATTTCAGAGGAGAAGGGAAATTGTCCAAGAAATGTCATCCCAGAGGACACACATTACCCTAAGAGGCTCTGAGGTCCCTCGAGCCCAGACAACCCCAGTCGTGAGTGCATAAGGAGAACTAAAGCCAGAGTGTCTTCTGAAGTCCTGCTTTAACCATCACCCATATGTGGTTATTTAAATTTAAATTAGGCCAGGTGCGGTGGCTCAAGCCTGTAATCCCAGCACTTTGGGAGGCCGAGGCAGGCGGATCACAAGGTCAGGAGATTGAGACCATCCTAGCCAACATGGTGAAACCCCCATCTCTACTAAAATGCAAAAAATTAGCTGGGCATGGTGGAATGCACCTGTAGTCCCAGCTACTCGGGAGGCTGAGGCAGGGGAATCACCGGAACCCAGGAGGCAGAGATTGCAGTGAGCTGAGATCGTGCCACTGCACTCCAGCCTGGTGACAGAGCAAGATTCTGTCTCAAAAATAAACAAAATAAATAAATAAATAAACAAATAAAGTTCTATTCTTCAGTCACATTAGCCCTATTTCAATGTTTAATATGTTTAATATGCATATGTTTAACAGGCATGTGTGGCTAGTGGCTACCATATTGGAGCACAAAACAAGGAGCACAAAACAAGATTTCTATCCTCATATAAGGGTCTATAGGAAAGTGCTAGGTCAAGCTTTCAGACTCCAGCAGGATAGCTTCTTTCTCTCTCTCTCTTTTTTTTTTTTTTTTTTTTTGAGACAGGGTCTCACTCTGTTGCCCAGGCTGGAGTGCAGTGATCCCCTCTTGGCTCACTGTGACCTCCATATCCCAGGCTTGAGTGATTCTCCTGCCTCAGCCTCCGAGTAGCAGGGACTACAGGCATGTGCCACCACACTCAGCTAATTTTGTTGTTGTTGTTGTTGTTAGAGACAAGGTTTCATCATGTTGCCCAGGCTGTTTTCAAACTACTGGGCTCAAGCAATCCTCCCCCCTCAGCCTTCCAAAGTGCTGGGATGACAGGCATAAGCCACCACACCTGGCCACAGGATGACTTCTTACCATCTTATCTCATCCCATGGCAAGATAAGCTAGGAGTTCTGTATATCGTTTGCCGGGATTCGCTTTGTGGAAAATCTACGTGTAAAAAGCTATGGGATTTGTCTGAGTCTTACCCATGTGAGATGAACTTGTTGGTGTCAATGGGGAAAGGAAAGAGAAATGTTTACCATATGGCCAAGGATGGTGGAGGAAGAGATTGGAAAATACTGGCCCTTGGGGCTTTGGCTTATAAATGTGTCATGACTTGAACTTGAAAACACCTTTAACCCCCTGCTATGCCTAAGTGCTATGTGCGTGGGCTTCCTGCATAGGCACTCTGGTTCCCTTTCAAGGCAGGGCATGACAGAACTTCAGTCTACCTGGCCAGCTGTGGGCCCAGGTTGACCTCAAGCTTTCCATCTGCTCTTCTCAGGGCACAAAGATGAACAGAACACATAGCTCCTCCTCATCCTACATGTTTGGCCTTTTAGTCTATCTCAAAGCAAGCTTTGGCATAATTAATAGCGCAGTTATCTGCTAATTATTCCACTATTCAAGCAGGAACAGAAACACCCAGGGCATAGAGTGAGCATCATGTGCACAATTAATAATTTTCATCACTGAGTAATTACTTGTGTAGTATTTAACCTAATAACATTAGATCTGCATTATTGGGCTGTGGTTGCTATTTTCTTCCACCCACTCATTCCTGTATAACTGTTCTCTATGAAGGTGTCATAACTTGTTGAGAAATCATATTTTTTTCTAATGCTTTACGCTTCAACAGTTTGGATGTATTTAGATCTCTCTGCCTCTTTTAAAAGTTTGTCTCCTGCTAGGCCTCCATGACACTGTCCTTTCCATGCTTTCTTGGCCTCTCTTTTGGATGGACGATGCTTCATGTCACTCACTGGTTTTGGCCTCCTGCTCAGCAAGGTTACTCCCGTAACTTGGATTCACTCTCAGCAGCACTGATGCATGGGGAAGCGAGGAGGCTGGCTCTGGTAGAACTAAGGCTGGGGAACCTGCCTGACTACGTGAAAACAGCGGGGCATTCTGGGGCAGAGCAGTGCAAACCCAGACCTGGTTCATTCAGGTGGAGATAGGGCATCCCTGGTAAGGCAGCACTGCCACTGGTCAGAACAGGGCAAGAACAGACTGGGCAAGAACAGGCTGGCCCACCGAGGGCCATCTGGTGTAAGACCTGTGGCAGCAATAACTGTAGACCCCTCCTGCTGGTGCATTGAGGCTGCTGTCAATATTGGTTTGGCCTTGGGTGGGGCAAGTCAATGAGGTGGCTGATCCTGAGTTGCAGGGGGAAGGGTTTGGCTGGGAAGGCCTGAAGGAACCCCAGGTTGACAGTATCTTATCCTGCTTCTGTGGACTTTCTCCCTGATATTTGTACCCTCTCTACCACCTGTTTAAGAAAAAATGCATACACACACATGGATCTGTGAGTTAATTCCCACACCTACTGAAACCCAAGGAAGATTCCTGCTGGTTATACCATCTCATCATCCAGCCCTGAATAAAGAATTTTTCGGGCCGGGAGCAGTGTCTCATGCCTGTAATCCCAGCACTTTGGGAGGCCGAGACGGGTGGATCATGAGGTCAGGAGATTGAGACCATCCTGGCTAACACAGTGAAACCCCATCTCTACTAAAAATACAAAAAATTAGCCAGGCGTGGTGGCGGGCGCCTGTAGTCCCAGCTACTCGGGAGGCTGAGGCAGGAGAATGGCATGAACTCGGGAAGCGGAGCTTGCAGTGAGCCAAGATTGTGCCACTGCACTCCAGCCTGGGCGACAGAGCGAGACTCCGTCTCAAAAAACAAGAATTTTTCCTATATGTTTTACCTCCTGATCACACAGGACTGTACCTTTAGAATTATCTTTGATTCTTTTCCCTCTTTAACCCTACACTCCATCAGTTACTAAGTCCTGCAAATTAATTATATGAAACATCCTTCTGTTAGGGTTCTCACTGCCTTACAGCAGTGGTTCTCAAAGTCTGGTCTCTGGCCCAGTAGCATCGGCACCACATGCAAACTTATTAGAAGGTCCCCATCTCTAGGGATGGGGTCCAGCAATCTCTATTGAATCTCCAGGTGATTCTGATTCATGATAGAGCTTGAGAACTCTGCCTTGCATTACAACTCAACCCCCTTACTGTGGCCTACAAGGCTCTAGAGGATCTGGCTGCTTCTACCTCTCCGAATTCATCTGAAGCTGCTTCCCTTCTCTCATGACTCTCCAGCCAGGGGCCTTTTTTCAAGTCCTGGAAAGGGCCGAGATCTTCCCATCTTGAACTTTTGCAAATGTTTGCTCCTCCAGCTGGAATGCTCTTCTGCTCTTTTGCTCTTCCCACTCTTCATGTAGCATATTTATGAAGAATATACCATATTGGTCTGGCACCCTGGGAAGCACTTTATATGGCTTTAATTCTTAACACAAATGTCAGAGAGATGTTATCCTTGGCCATCCCACCTAAAGTAGCCAGCCTCATTTCTGCCCCAAGCTTTAGTTCTTCCCTATTCTGCTCCTTGTTTTGTATCATAATTTACAATTATTTTTCATGTACTGGTCTTTTTTTTAGAAGACCTAGAGGGAGGGACATTGTCTAGTTCATCCTGTGTTTCCACTGCAGTGCCTGAGATGCAGTAAAAGCTCAATAAGTAACTAGTTGCTAAATGAATGCATCCAGCCAAACTTCACCTCTAGTTACAGAGTCACAAGCCTTAAAGGCATTGGTTTGTTTTTCTTTAAATAATCTTTGAGGCCCCCTCTAGTCCTATGCCATGGTAAGTGGGTGACGTATGGCATAATGCATTCTAATGCATTCTTTGCTTAAACCCTATTCTGTCCTGCCTGAGTGAGCTGATGTGCCACATCACTGCCCCCACCTTCCAGCCTCATGCGGCACCCAGATTCATCTTTCTCAGTCATCATGTTCACAAAGCTTTCTTTGAACATGGCCACCTGAGCTCACAGAAGATCAATGCAGACCATAATCCGAGGCTCATGTGATCAGGGAAAAGGGCCTATTTGTTAACAGTAATGCCAGCATGTATATGGCAGTTGAAAAAGGTAGAGGATAAGAAGTTCATTTTTCAGACATTCATCAAAAGTAAGAACAGTGCCATCCTATGCAAAGCGACAATATTTCCCAAACAGCAAGTAAGGAGCAGGGTCTGCAGGTGGCAGGTGAGAGACAATCAGGTGAGTGGCTTCCCCGTGGTCCCCAAGTCAGGCACTGGGCCTGCGTCTACCTATCCACATCCATGCCGACTATAGGAACTCCTACTCCTGGATCCCTTTGGCCTGACTGGCTTCCCAGATCTATGTTTTCCCACAGCATCCCACTTGTCTCTAAGAGAGAAATTCTCTTTTCTAAGCTCAGCTCTAAGCAATGGACTCAGAGACTAACCAGAGCTGACGACATCCTGCCATGGAATGAGGGGTGTGTTGCGAGCTCCTGGGCACACAGTTATGCTCAGAGATGATACTCACAAAGCCCCTTTAAGAATTTCCCTAGAGTCTCTGCGGGAAACACAAGACCTAAAACAGGCCCAGCTGCCAGGGAACATCTTCTCCCCAGGGAACCAGAAATTGTTAAATTCCAGAAACAGTGATAATAGCAGCAATAGATAATATGTATGAAGGACTCACCATTATTGGTCTGGCATCCTGGAAAGCACTTTACATGATCTCTTTTAATGCTCCCAACACACAACCCTATATGACAGGTGCTATTGTCACTCCGTTCTACAGATGAAGAAACTGAACTACAGAAGTCCCACAGGTCACACAACCAATCAATGGCAGAGCTGCTGGGATTACACCCCAGGACAATGCTTTTTTTTTTTTTTTTTTTTTTTTTTAAGACAGAGTCTTGCTCTGTCGCCCAGGCTGGAGTTCAGTGGCCTGATCTTAGCTCATTGCAATCTCCACCTCCTGGGTTCAAGCGATTCTTCTGCCTCAGCCTCCCAAGTAGCTGGGATTACAGGTGCACAACACCACGCTCAGTTAATTTTTGTAATTTTAGTAAAGATGGGGTTTCACCATGTTGGCCAGGCTGGTCTTTAACGCCTGACCTTGTGATCTGCCCACCTCAGCCTCTCAACAAGACGATGCTCTTACCAGGACCCATCTGTCCTAGGGTCTTACCTGCAGGGTTTCAGTCACCTGCCCTCAAGGCAGGTTTGACTTCTCCACTTTACAGATAAGGAAACTGAAGCTAAGCTAGGGCTGCCTGACTGAACTAGTCCTCAGCTCCCTACTACAGAGTCCCCTTTCCCCTCTTTACCATGTATTACACTTTTTGGCCTTCCATAAAAAGAACAGATGAATGGGGGGTTGGGGTGGATAGTGAAGAAAAAGAATAATAGAGAAAGAAAAATTAAAAAGGAAAAAGGGAAGTCTAATATTATTGATGATTTAATTACTTGAGTCAATACTCTGAAACAAAACTGAAAACTGGTTGACAAGATTGGAACATCCCCAGGAAGACTGGGAGAAGCAATTGTGCCTGGACACACACTCCCATTTTCATTTCTGGGGACTTCTAGAGGAAGTAGTTATCAGGGAAGTCACAAATTGAAAAACTGCAGCTCAATCTTTGACAATATGCCTACCTACCCATGTGCCAGGCCAAAGAGCGTCCCAGGATACTTCAGATTGATGAAAAAAGAAAAGAAAAGAAGGGTTGGAAAAGAAATGTCCTGTTAATTATTCAACTTTCAGCCCTCCTTCAAAAAAAGCCTCTCAGATCTGCTTTAATGGCAGAGGGGAATCTCCATTTTTTAAGCAGGATGGGGTTGCTAATAGGAAGTCTTAGTTTGTTCAAATGAACTTCAGCATGATTGAATAGCTCTGAAGAGATGAGATGGGTGTTCAGTGAGAGTCTAAATTGCTACCCAAGAAGCAGCCAAAAGATCATCAAGATTCTCAGATTCCTAATTCTTCTCAGGAACAAATAAATGAGAAAAGTCCTTTCTACTGGAGAAAACACAACAGGGAAATGTGATTTGCTGACAGGATGGTTGGAGGAAGTAAAATGGGCCTTTGGATACCAGGAAACTGACTAAAAAGAGGTTAGACTTTTAGGGAGCAAAGGTGACAGGGAAAGAGTATGAGGACAGAGACTTCCTATTTATTTTGAAAATATATGTTTGAAGCTTGATGTCTCTTGGCCTGACCTCATTTACTCCCAGCTCAGGGCCAGAGCTAGTGTGTGTGGCTGGTGTAACTCAACCCAGTACCAACTTGTCAGATGGCTGTGGTCCCCTGGGACTTTCCAGGCACTGTGCAGGGAGAAGCAGACTGGGAGCATGCAGGTGCCTCTGCCTCTGGATTCCAGGGGGCACAGCAGGGCAGGGAGGAAGAGGGTGGCAGGAGGAGACAAGGGGCATCAGCTAATTACCAATTACCAGGCCCTTTGCAAACACAAAGCCTCCACCTGAATGATAAACGTTATTAATCCAGCTCCATTTTGCCAACCGCAATGTTTCTACTTGCAAATTTAGAGAATTCTCCAAGGGAGCAGCAGATTGCTTATCCCACAAAACTTCCATCTTAGCTCATATACTGACTGGCTGAGGCCTGCAGGATAAAATTCTCCTTGGCAAACTATCTACAACACAAGTTGCATAACATCTATGCAAATAACAGAGAAGAGAAACTTTAAGAAACATGCCATATATGTTTTTACCTAAACACAGTTACTCACATTTTTAAGGCACTTTAAAACTTATAAAATACATGCATATTCAGTGCCTTACTTAGTCCTATTAACCTTCTTTGAAGCAATATTATCCTTCTTTTATCAGATGAGAAAACAGTGGCTCAAAGAGGGATAGAGACGTGCCCAAGGTCACAATAGAAATGTGCAAAAAGGAATGAATATGGGCCTACAGATAAATTTCTGGCTCAAAATTCCCCTGCAAAGAGTGTGTGTGTGTGTGTGTGTGTGTGTGTGCCCACGTGCATGCACACGCACGCATGTGCTGCTAACAAATAGGTTGCTAATAAGTCAGCATCAACATCTATAAAGGCTGAAATCCTATACTAGAGCCAATGTGTTTTCTGCGTATGCCCCTTCATTATTAGGAAAGTAACACATAAATATTGTAGGAAATTTAGGAAATATATGAAAGTACAAAGAAAAAAGTAAAAACCATTCATATAAGCTTACCACCCAGACATCTCATGTTTACACCAAGAAAACATCTCAATCTGAATCACCCTCCATCCAGTTTTTCTACCCAGTCCCATGCTTGTGTAAACAGAGAATTTAGAAGGAGAAGGAACCCAGCACAGAGGTGAGGAGCATAGGCCTTGGAGCCTGAGAGCCTAGGCACAATCCTGGTTCCATGAGGTGGTGGCTCTGTGTCCCCCAGGGAATTATTTAGCCTCTGATATTAGTTTCCACATCTGTGAAATACGGTAAAATTATATCTGTCTGTGGGACCGATAAGAGAAATTCACAATTCGATATTTACAAAGTGCTTAGAAGCTTGCCTGTAATGACAATAAACACTGTACTGTACAGGTGTTTGTTAAATAAAGAGGTTATCTAACTTCAACATACAAATTTCAAGCTCCCTTTCAAAGAATTCCCCTTGGAAAACCACCCAGAATGTATCAGATACTCAAACAATGTAGGTTATATCCAATCAAACAGCTTTGCCTGAGGAGCTCTGTGGAATGAGACAGCACAATTTAAGGGAGATACAAGGGGTTAGGATCTGGCTCCAGCTCAAGTATACATTAAGCTGTGTGACCATATACAAATCACTTAACCTCTCTGAGCACTATAAATCTGTTAAATGAGGTAACTCCACCAGCTTAGAAAGATAATGTAGGTGATATTCTCTAAACTGCAAATCCTCAACCATTAACGGTTATTTTTCTCATTGTTGGTATTATTCAAAGGTGATGGCCAAGATCTACTTTACTTAGATAATTAAATGTATCAAGCCCAGTCTGGATACAATACCAAGGGAGTTCAGAAAGCTCTAAACTGACCAGGTGAATCAGTTCCAGATCTTCCAGCTAACTGCTGCAGTGCATAACATGATTTACATTACATTATTTTTATGTATTAACATTATTTCTTGGTATTCCAGATGAATATTATCAGGGGTTCTGCATAAATTAGGGCTCATCTTCTCTGAGCCTTCATCTTTTCCTCCATAAGATGAGATAATTCATTCTTTGGAAGCAATAAATACCTTTAGGCAATGTGCACACTGTACTGTAATTTTTTCTGGAGAGCTTCTTCCAAAAGCTGCACCCTAGCTATGCAAATATTGATGACTGACATTACTGCAGTTTATGTTAACGTTCTCTCTCAAATGTGGAATGGCATTAAGGCTAAAAAGAAAAGGAAATGAGCAGAATAGAAAGAAGGTATTTGAGTCATGGAAAAGCTCTTAAAATAATATTTGCCCAGGACCAGGATGTACATGGGATTCTGATAGACACAGATAAAAGTAATTCTCTCCTCCAACCTCTCTGGAGCATTTTTTTAAAAGATCATCTTTCTACTGTCAAGGGGCTATCACAGTATTATTTACTATGTTCCTTCAGTAAAAGGGTAAAATATTGTATTTGTGCACTATTCAATTGAGAAACTTAAAAGTTCGATTAAGAGCTCTGGGAGAAGACTGTCACAACACTGCTTACAGCCTGTTCTTATCAGTGGGCCCTAATCCTCAAGAAAGCAATCATTTCAATGTACTCCTGGGATGCAATCCCATCTCCAAAACTGGCTTCTCCCAAGTGCTCCTCTCCACAGCTCTGTAAGGGCTCTTTGATGAGGTGAAACTGGAAAACACTGGGTTAAACAAAGTTAAACAGACATCTTTACTGGATGCAGGAATGCTTAGAGCCACAGCAAATTCCTACGAAGAGGAGGAAAGAGGCAACATTTTCCAAATATTTGACTACAAAACTGTTGATCCACGTGCTTAGTGTTCCATGGAATGTGTTTGGGAAAATTTGGCTTGATTACAGTCTTCATCTTTAAAAGAATATCACAGCAGTCCTCAAAAATCTAGACTCATCGATTTTTCTGGAAGACCCCTATGCTGAGAAAGAACAATAACATAGTAAATACAAATAAAGATTATACAGATTTCCTATTCCTATATAGATTATGAGATTTCCTATATAATATTAGGAAGTGATGATCTTGAATATTCTAATCCAAAATCTTACATCAGGAGGAATACGGACTTAGTTCAAGTCACAAACACAAACACAATTTTCTGAGTACTTTCCCTATCCATCCAGACACTTTTCCAGGCTAACATTGCATTCATTCCTACTGACCATCACCCTACGTGCTTTTCCCTTATGGAAGCAAAACACTGGGATTGAGACTCTTTAAAAGAATTTCCAGAAGGAATTGGAAAATAACTGAGGAATAAAACATATTCTTGCAAAGGTAATTAGGAAAGTGCCCCCGTGGACTGAGGGAAGACCTAACAATATGAATCTCAGTTCATCTAATAAACTGTTTAACTATATTTTTTGACAATAAGAGCTGCTGATCTCTAGGAAAACAACTGCCCACTACTGGGCTTGGAGGAGATACAGGTGTCCTAGGGTGGAGGTCAGAAAGACAAGAAGAGCCATCCACATAGATCATGATAAGCTCAGCCATTCAGCTCTTAGGCTTTCCTGTAAGCCCAAAGGAAGGGCCAAGTTCCAGCTATAAATTAAATCTGCAGAGACGGGAGACGGGAATGAGCACAGAGCTGATGTGCTCTCTATGGCTACACTGTCCATCACCTGCCACTGGGGCTGAGCTATCACCTTTTATGACATCAGTGGAATTCTTGAGCTGAGTTACAGCCATGCCCTCTTTCCAAACCCATCAGTTATTCAATAAGTGATGTGTGACCTCTGGGAGTGGTGTGAATGGTGAGATCTCGGTTTGCATTTATCTCCCAAGTATGAGTGCCAGCCAACAAACTGTTGAGCCAAAAAGGAAGGGAAAAAAACCACCTTACAAACTTTGCCAAATCCACCTACTTTCTGGAATACTATCAACAACTCTCAGAAAGTATTTTGTTTTCTTCCCCTTGGTGTTTCTGAAATCAAAGTATGCAAATGAGTATCCACACTTCTAATTGCATATAATTACATCTTACATAATATTATATTTTATTGTGTTTAATTATGTTTTGAACATCATAATAACTGCATAATCATTATTATGGTGCCAGCAATATGGCATGGTGGTGAGGAGCTGAGTCTCTGAAGATGGACTGCCTGGGTTTGAACCTAGCTCTATCTTCTACGGTGTTACCCTCCCTGAGACGCTAAATCTCAAAAAGCCAATCTCTTGGTGTTTCTTTAACTATTCACCGGAGATAAAATCATTATCTCACAAAGTTGTGTTGTGGATTAAATGACATAATTCACGTAAAGTGCTGGGTTCTATATTCAACAACACGGACAACATGTATCACTAAAGTATGTGTTCATTAACACAAAGTGTAGTTACTTGGCATAATTTCAGAAAAATAAGAAAGGCAAAAATAAGTACAGTAAAATCCTTTCCACTAATACTAATCTGCTGGTTAATGTCTAAGTTTCCACCTTTAAAGCATCATCAAATTTAACTTCAGGTCCTGATCTCTATTAATATGCAAATACTCCAGGGAAGAATAAGGGTTTAGCTGCTTCCAGTTGCCCCCACATTAGCAGGTTTCGCGGGGACTCAGAGAATCGCCAGGGGAAAGGCCATGAGTGCACTGCTTACCAAAGGAAAGGCAATGACACAAACCAAAGCAAAAGACCCCACGATAACTGTCACAAAAATACGCCAGGGAAACCCTTCTCACCATACACTTACCACTTCTTCAAACCATTAATGATCAGTTTAATGTCCACATCAAAGAAATGCATGCTGGAGAATTAAGGTCAAAACAAAACCAGATGGTAGACTTCAGAGAATAAATCAGGTGGCTGCCAGCCTGGGGTCAATTAATGATACTGGCCATTACTTTTTAGTTGGGGATTTAAGGGGAGTAAAATTTGATGAGTGTGAATTAGTTTGTGTCCAGCCATTTATTTCCATCTATGGAGGGAAGGCAACGCAGTAAATCTTCATAAACCTTCAAGGAGAGCATTGTCCAGACAGTGAGAAAGAAACTGGGTGTCAGGAGACTCATTTGGGCCCCACCTCTGCCCCATATCGATGGTGTGACCCTGGAAAACTTATGCAGCTTCTCAAGGCCTCAGTTACTTCAATTCAAAACAATGAACTGAGCAACATCACCTCTGGAACATAGTTTTAAGTTTTAAATTACATTTAAAATAAATGATCAATTCCACAAGCAATCAAAGATCATAGTGTCCTTAGGAAAAGGCTGAAATATTATGGTTAAAGTCACCCTTGACCACCATATTGAATCCAAACCCATCACTTCTATCCAACATAACCCTTGTTACTGGTTTATAAATGTCTTTCCATTTTTCATCTTACATACTCATATATCTGGCCCCTAAAATATCTTTTAAATTAGTTTGTATTTTTTTGAGACAAAGTCTTGCTCTGTCGTCCGGGCTGGAATGCAGTGGTATGATCTTGGCTCACTGCAACTGCCTCCCAGATTCAAGCAATCCTCCTGCCTCAGCCTCCCGAGTAGCTGGGATTACTGGTACCTGCCACCACGCCTGGTTAATTTTTGTATTTTTAGTAGAGACGGGGTTTCACCATGCTGGTCAGGCTGGTCTCAAACCCCTGAACTCAGGTGATCCTCTCGCCTCGGCCTCCCAAAGTGCTGGGATTACAGGCATGAGCCACTGCACCTGGTCTAGTTTGCATTTTTAAAGTAACCTAAACAGTATCATATTGGACAATATTCTAAAGATTATTTATTTCCCCTCAGGACATGTCTAGAAGATTTGTCTATTTCACCACATATGGATCCATCTCAGTCTTTTAACTGTGAGATGATGCTCTCAGCATGAATATTCTGTAGTTCATTTGGCCATTCTTCTAGTGTGCATGCATGTGGTTTCCTATGTTGTGATTTATAAACAGTGCTACAGTAACCTCCTTGTACATGTGTGTGAGTAATTTTCTAGGTTAGATACTGAGCAGAAGAATCGCTGGGTTATATATAGGCAGAGTATAATTTATTACTCAAACCACAACATTTTGAGAGATAGTAATAATTATACCAGTATCGCAAATATAAACTGGGACTGTCCTAGACAAAACAGGATGTGCAGTCTCCCAAGACAAGGATCATATGTGGTTTCTGTATTTTTAAAATTTTAATAGTAACAAATGCCATCCAAAGCAAATTGAACAGGATATTTTTAAGCTTTCAAATTCTACTAAGGTTTGACTTTTTCCCCCAAAATAGGAAGGGTAGAATATCAGAAGTTTATGCTAATCCTCAGATCCCAGCTAAATACCTTTCCTTGCTGAAAGGCAGAATTCTGTAACGAGAACACACATTAGCTCAGGGCTCCTTTCAGTCCTGGTTTTGATAGTTTGTAAGTCCCTCTGCCCTGAAATGAGACACCATTCTTTATTTAATGTCCCATTTCAGTTTCCAGAATGAAATACCAGTGGAAAGGGAAGACCAGCTTTAGCACAATAACTCCTCCTTAATTACCAGTCTTATCTCTCCACTGCAAGGTCATCATTTTCTGTGTGGTAGGGCCAGAAAAAATCCCTTTCTGAGTGTGACATTATGTCTTCTGTCATCTTCAATTATCTTCCCTGTGGACCTACCCTAGGGACATGTTCTCCCCTTCATTTCTCTTTCTATGCATGTCTGATTCCTTTGGGACTTTCTAGTGTTTCGCAATCACCAAAAAACAGCAAGCAATCGATTAGAAAATCATCAACAAACAACATTCAATTTTCATTTTATCCTACACTTCTCTTGATGGGAAGTCAAAGGTCTTCCACAGAGCCTCAGCTATGATGATTTCATTATCAAAAAATAATCTGCTCCACTGATAGTCACAGTAATTAAAAAGCACTAGAGCTCAAACTTTGCACCAAAGGAAACTCTAGAATCCCTATTTTTACTACTGGAAAAAAATCTCTAAGCAATGAGGGCTACTGGTGTCAGGGTGCAAAACAAACAAATGGAGTCAATTCATTCATTGGTATTTATTGACACTTGGGTGTCATGGGAGATGAGCAATTATATTGGCCTGGTCTACTAGGAGTTTATAATGTGGTTGTGGAATCAACCCTAGTGAGAATGACTGAGAATGAGGTGGCAAGAATCACCTGGAATCCCTACCCAGATTGGTTGCTGTGAATTTTCCTTCACTAAAAAAGGTTGTCTTTTGTCCAAAGAAATGCTGAGATTTGGTGGCTTGATCATACGTCAACTCCACTGACTTTAAGCTGTGAGTAGTAAGAGAGGCATATAGGTGCCCATTTTCTGCCTCAGGCTCTCTGAGATCCACCATATTTGCAATGAACGAATTCAGTCCTGGATTTGGAAGAGTAATGACGATGGCTATTTGCATTTCTTTACAGCATAGTGGCTAAAATTATGGGTTCCAGAGACTGTTGCTTGCTTTCAAATCTAGGCCCCATTACTTACTAGCTATGTGACTTGGGCATATTACTAACATTTCTACACTCCAGTTTTCTCAACTGAAAATAAAGGTAATAATATTACCTTGTATATTCTGAAAATCAAATGACTTATATATGCCAAATTCTTGTACTGGTGCCTGGCACATAAAATGGACCAAAATACTGGCTGTTGTTATTAAAAAGTCTCTCATATTTTGAAAAGTTACCAATCCCTAACCTAATACCTACTATGTGCCAGGTACTCTTCTAAGCACTTTAAATATATTAACTTGTTTCATCCTATGAAGGAGGTACTATCATTGTCTCCACTTTATAAATAAGGGAGGCACAGGAAGGTTGCCCAATAGCTAGTCAGTGGCAGAGCCATGGTTCCAATTCTAGCGTCCATCCCCTTCATCACTTTGCTATGCTGCTCTCACTCTCTAAGTGCATTTGTCCCCATGGCAAGGTTTCTTCAGCTCCAGAACAGGGGTGATAGGAGGGCCAGAAATTGACTAAGACATTGATGAGCCTGATGAAAGGCCACCTGTCAAAGTGGCTGGTTCCTTAGATCCATGCATGTGCAGACACAAATCCCAAGTCACAGGCTCCTGTTGGACAAACACACCTAGAATTATTTTGTCCCACATTTCAGAGGTAACTTGTTTAGAAGAGGTTCCGTATGAATCCCACACTCTTAAAAGACTCTATTTTCAGAATTTAAGCAGCTTCTGCTTCTGCCCGGTAGAGTAAATCCCGGGAATCAGGAAGACCTCAAATCTAGTTTGAATTCTCATTAACTGCCTGGCAATCCTCTATTCAGCCCTCTGAGTTCCCATACTTCTAATCTAAACATGAGAAAATGAGAAAGGGAGAATCTGAGAACATTTGTAATATTTCTGGTCTAGTGTGACATGTTTTTTATCATCTTACAGAATTCAGCATAACGTTTCTTAAGAGTAGGATTTTCCCTGATACATTGTTTTTCTAAACCAATGTATACCATTTAATCAGATTTGCTATGGGGATCAAATCCCAAGTCATCAATCTCACACCTGCATTTCTTAGATTTATGTACCAGCTCAGTTTTGGGATATCATTGATTTCCATATGTAGACTCTTCAGTAAAACACTTTGCTCATTGGCCCTTGATGGTTTAAAATGGCTGAATTGACTATGCTGACAATTGCCTTTAAATGTTGAAAATAGATCTAAATAATGAACATCAGTGGAGAAATAATCTGTTCAGTCTCTGTCTGTCTCTGTCTCTCTCTCTCCCCTCCCTCCCTCTGTGTGTGTGTGTGTGTGTGTGTGTGTGTGTGTGTGTGTGTGTGTTCCCTGTCAATTCCTCAAATATTTTCTCTATATAGCCAGGCAAATTGGAAATGAGTCAAAATCATTAAAACATCTGAGATTCAATATATTAGTTACATGACCTTGGGTAAATGACTTAATCTCTTTGGTTTTCAGTTTTCCACCAGCAAAATGGGAGCAGTGGGTTAAATGAAATAGACAAACACAATAAGCCTGCAATTAATATTAGTGCTTACTGGTGCTTTTGCTGATGATTTTGAGTAAAGATTTTCAAAGTACCAAAAACTAACTTTAAAACTGGTAATAATTAGCATTATTCCTCCAAATATTACACAGCCTTTATTTGCTTTTACCCGAAAGTTCTCTCCTTATTCATTTCTGATTTGTTTGGCTTCCACCAGAGACAACTTCTGATTTTCTAGTTTTGTTAGTTTTATCCACTTGTGCTAAATCTCTTGAAATTTTCAAGTAGTGGGGCCTCAACATCAAGGCCTAGAATTGATTCTAAGTGGCTCTGGGGTGAAGACAGCTGGTCGCTGTCCAGGGACTGACTGTGCTGTGAGTTTGCCTTGCAATGATGGAGCCTCCTCTGGGGTCAGGCAGATTCTCTTTGTCTGGCTGCCAGCTCTGGGCAGGCGCTGCCTGTGGGAAGAGGCCACAGCAATGCACAGGAAGCCAGACAACAACAGTTATGTCAGTCTGTGAAGGGACTTTGTAGATCATTTACTCCATGGGATGCAAAAGTGTCTATAGAGGTCAACAGATCATGTACATGAGTGTAGCTGGCTGGGCATGAGAAGGCATGGTTGAGGCAAAGGTGGCTAAAAGACCCTGCCCCACCAGAAGGCTACAGAACTGCTCCTCCTGCAGGGATTGATGCCTTAGATGGGGATGTGGGCCCAGGTTACTACTAAGATGCCAGAAATCCAGGTTGTTTTCTATGTGGAAACTCTTGATCTTAAAATGCTACCAATGAATTCAATTTTTAAGACACTGTGCAGGCCAGATTAGATATAACCATTTCCCATATCTGCCAGTTTTAACATTCTGATTTAGCCTTGGTCTTTTGAATCCAAGTTCAGAGTTCTCCAATAATCAATCCCTCCACCCAAAACTGAAAGCCCCATAAAACAGGAGCCTGTTGGTCTGGTTCACGGATATTCCCCAAGAGCAGTTCCTGGCTCAGAGTAGGCACTTAGTATTGTATTCTTTTCTGAATGAAGGAATCAGTGAGATTAACCAAAGAAAGGTTTAGGAAGAGAATATCTATATGGGTTATGAAAGAATCAGAAAGAATGGGGTAAGGTGAATTGAGTTTTAGAACATAGTATGAGGAGAGCATCAAGTTGAAAAATCCACAAATTTTGGGAACTGGGGAGAGTTAGGTCAAAGAGAAGAAAGGAGCTTTGTTGGAGCCAAGGTTTGCTTTGAAGGGTTGTCTTCAGGATGTATAATATCTATACAAAAGGCGTTCTGAGGGACCAGAGCATGCATATTTTTTCTTCAGTCAAAAGCTTCATTTGAAAGGGCATCTTTAGTAAACATCTTTGGGTGTCCATCAAAGTCTATTAGTAAACTGCTGTGTGATATGGGTCAGGACACGTGAGTTTTCTGAGCCTATTTCTTCATCTGTAGAAATGGACACAATCTCATTTTCTTTATCATCTTGGCAACTGGAATTTAGGATTAAAAGAGATAATGTCCTCTAAGCTTCTTGCTCAGTATACAAAAAGTTCTTAAATGGGATCAACATTGTAGTTGTTATTCTAATAGCGAAGCATCTAATTCCTCATTGATCAAAAATAAGAGGGTTAGACCAATTAGATCACTTTGTAGACCTAATTTGGCTAGAAAATGTCCAGGCAGAGGGCGTGGTAAGACTGCACTTTCTCCACTGAATTTCACAACAAAGTGTGAAATAGCTCTGCTCATAAGCTGCATACTCCCAGAAAGCCAAGAGCATACAAACCACTGCAGATATCAGGGAATTTCAATATGTTTATTTTTATTTTTGTTTTATTTCAAATTTTCTAGAGCTCCTTTTGAGTAATGCATTTAAACACCATCTCCCAACAAGTCAAAGAAGCCAGTAGAAAATAGGACCAAACAGTACTTTACTGCCAGGGAGTTTCCTTGGCAATGAGCTTGTTCTATTCCCAGGGTGTTTTTGGAGAAAGAGGAGGGGAGGTGAATTATAAACAGGTTCTAGGGAGCTTCTATATAGTTCTAGCCATAGATCAGGCTGATAAATAAAACTCAGGCAGAGTGGAATTGAAGTGAAACAACTTTCTGTACAAAGAGAAAGATTATCTCTACTCTTGGGATGAGTAGAGCCGAATAGTTTCCATCAGGAACTGCAAAGCTCTATAAACTTCAATAGCACATTCCGACTCCGCTAGAACACTAATGAAATTGTGAAAGTATAGTTGTCCTTTAAATGTTTGTGCCTGAAGTTATGACCTGTTTCAAATGACAGGAAACTAGAGACAACACTTTAATGGTTATGAATGCATTTAGAAAGAAGGCTTGCTGTCTAATGAGTGTGGAGAAGGCACTACAATTGAGGAACAATTTACTACCAAGAAATCAATTTGAAAATTCTATACAAAATTATCACCCATTAAATTGTCTTTCTTCAAAACTGCAGACCCTAAAATGTTACTTCTAGACAAGGAATTTTACAAACAATAAATGCTAATTAAGTAATCTATTCAAATGAGTTGATTGAAAAAAAAAAGAAGTACCTCCTAGAAAAAAAAAATCTCAACACTCTGGTTATACTGCTGCTCCTGCTGCTGCCACCCTGCTATGTTTGATCCTCCTTTCTTTACCAAAAACTACATGGCATTGGACAATAAGCTGGACCACTCCATTTTCCTACTACCTTCATACATTATGGGTATAATGCAACATGAATGAATGTACCCACCTGCATCTCACACACACACACACACACATACACTCCACCACACACAGTGGCACATAAAGAATTCTGTTTACAACGTAATGGTTTTAAGTGGAAAGAAAGTTATGGATTGGAGTAGTTATTAAGACAGGGGAGAATGCTGATGTCTCAATAAGACCCTAAGAAAACACATATGTGCACACACACATACACGTGCCAAAAGATGAATTTGTGTGTGGCTAAGACTATTAAAGACCCTTCGCAAGTAGAGCAACAATCCTGAAAGCCAATAGACAATGATAAGAAAGGGCATGTAAATAAGAGCCACCCTTCAACCAAGGAACCCAATACACTTGTAAATCAAACATAAATAACGGCTTGGGCTCAGGAGTTTGACATCAGCCTGGGCAACACAGTGAGACCCCATTTTCTAAATAAATAAATAAAATAATAAATAAATAAAAGCCTGGCCTATAACTGAAAGACAAAACAAAAGAAGAAAGAAGGAGAAGAAAAAATAATAGTCGCTTTCCTTTTTTTATACCCAGGGTCCCTTGTATCACCAAGAGTGGCTCAGTGGATGCCATTGTCTCAAAGAGCAAGGTGCTTTGGTTGTTCAACAGCCTGATGTGCATAGGTACGCAGTTAGCCCATGCCCTCTAGTGTTAGGGATCTTGGCTTATGCAATCATTCTAGAGAGAACAATTTCAACCTAGGAAACATCATGGAAATGAAAACAGAAAGATATTTAATAGCCCCATGAGACTCTGGTAGTGAAGATGACAGTGGGGCATTATTTTTCCCAGCAGTTGGTAGAAAACACTTCCCTCCCTTTATTTTCTTTCCTGGCATCTAGGCTTTCCGTGGAACTTGCTGATGTAACTTGGTGACCCAATATGCCACCTGTCTTGTGTTGGTTTTGCACAATCAGATAAAGGGTTTGAAGTCAATTTTTACCATCTCTGTAGCACCAACTTCTTGGCTAATTATAGGAAACTTTAATATTGTGGCCTTTAACTTGAAGGCAGACAGAAAAGAATTGAATATGAGTATTGATTTAGCACCACGTGAAATGAAGCCTGAAGGGTATTATGTCCTCATAAAGTATAATTACTCCTAAAGTTTTATCTCAAACTGTCTCAGGAACTCTCACCAGCAGGTAATAAACAGACTTGGAAAAATGTCACTGGCCACATTAAACATCCCCAGTCTGGACATGGAGGGCAATCTTATGTACAGCTCAGTGTAGTGGGAACAGCTCTAGGTTCTAAAAGCTCCACTGGCTCTGATGTCCTGTGAACGCCATAGCATGAAAAGAGAAGTGAAGGAGAGTTCTCTAATAAACAGAAATTCATACACGATTGGTATGTGTGTGGAATGCAGCAGAGGCGTAATAAGGATCTGAGAAAGGCATGAAACTCTAATAATGATCATCCTTTTTTTCTTATCCTCTGTTTCAAAGCACAGCACATACCTGACCTGTTAAATCAACTGGCCGACTAGGGGCCATTTTGTCAGTGAAAAATAATAAAATAAAATAAAAACATTAATGAAGAAATAAACCTAGAAAAGAACTGATGTCACTGAGATTTAGTGGCCAGAACAACAGCTGCCTGCTAGTGGACCAACGAGCATCAGCAAAGGTAGAAATGCTTTTCCTGGGGCCTTGGAGGCACCTGAGGGTTTCACTTATTATTCTCACTTCCAAGTGGCTCATACCCCAGATATAGGAAGGACTCAGAAATTGTGCCTTGTGAGGATAGTGTTCTGAGGACAAATGGTTAACCAACCCCCTGCAGGAGAAACCGACTAGGTGGGCTGGAGAGAGCCTACTGGGGGCTGGAGCCAGTGACTGACCTCACCAGAAGCAGAAGGGGCACCTGCCATTTCTCAAGAAAGCTGTGACCTAAAAAGTTTAGTCATCAGTCCAAATTCCTCCAGGAGACCATTAGAAACTGCCTCTCTGTTTCCCTGAGTCTTGTAGCTAGAGATGTAACAGGTCATTTTGGGGACTTCATTGCCGTGGCCCCTGCTGGGTCATCTGCTGTGAACATGACATATCGTTTTCACTCAGTGCCAAACACTTAGTGCAGTGAACCTCGGAGGAGCTCCCTGGGCACACAGGGAAAGGATGCTGAAAACAGGTCAGTCATGTTTTATGAATCAGGCCTGAGAAAAGGTAAGCACGCCTCCAACCACAGGCGGCACAATCAATCTGCTGATCTTTTTTTAAAAAGTTAAGAGAGTAAGCAATAAATCAGCACTGAGGGGGTAGATCCTCTGCCATCGAACTGTCTTGAGATGCAATTTTAAATGACTTTGTAGTGACCTTGCTTACCTAATTACAGGGCTCAAAAGAGATCTTCCTTACATATTCCATGCGGTGGTAACCGGCTTGGAACAATGTCCTGTTTGTCTCAGATGGCCACTTCTAACATGAAAGGCCTGTCTGATGACTGTCCTCTTCTTTGCAAATGGACAGACTTGGGATCTGGATCTGCGGTACTAATCATCTAGAACTGAGAGAGCCATCTGGGCCAGGAACATATGGCTCAGCTAACACCAGGCCACAGACATGGAAATAAGCCTGGCTTTGGTGCCATTCAGAGTAAACATTAAGTGTCCTCATGGCAAATTTGTTCCAATGGCTGAGAGAAAGGCACCCTGATGACTTGCAGAGTCATTAAAAAAAATGCTGGTGCAGAATTTGAGTGGCATTTTGTGGCTCAAGCTGCACAAGGGTCAATTGTGGGACTGAGAAGAAAAGAGAGGATTAGCCCCAAGTAAACAACTCAGTGATATTCACCATAAAGTATGTCTCAGGTGATTTTCCCACTGTTTATCTACTCAGACCATTCTAGAAGTTCCAAATCTGGATGATAATAATCCTTGTAAGTGATCATCTTGGATTGTATTTTATTCACAGTGACACTGGCTTTGGGATAGAACCAAAATTCTGTTTGTTGAGGACTCACAGTGCAGAGTAAAGTAGATGTATTATAGGTTTAGAGGGCAGATTTGAGTTTGAATTCTTGCTCTGCAACTTAGAAGATATGTATGTTGGTCAAGTAACTAAACCTGTTTCTTAATCCAAAAGAAACATTTTGCAGATAATAATACTCACCTTGCAGGACTGACATAAAGATAAGCACAGGGAAATATTCCCACTCTGGTACCTGATGGAGTGTGAATCCAAAACCAAATATTTAGACTTTCTTCTTCAAAAAGAAAAAACTTAGATTTTTTTAAATTCATTGCAAATTGGATAGCATCTTTCTGAAATATTCTATGTCCCACTGATTTCATTTCCTTAATCACTCTGATCCAGTGCTACTGAATAGAAAGAAATGTTCTATACTGTTGAACATGGTAGCCACCAGCAACACTGGGCTATTAGCACTTGAAATGCAGCTAATGTGACCCAGGAACTAAAATTTTAATTAATTTAAATTTAGATAGCTTCATGTGGTACAAGGTTCCCATACTGGACAGCACATCATAGCTGAGCCCTGATAGATAAAGAATGAAGGCTTTAGAAATGGAGGCACAGCAAAGGTGATGAAATCATCCACAGACTCTCCTCACATCAGCAGCAGCTACTGAAAGCAGGCAGCCTGGCTCAGCCTCGCTCACATTCACTCTAGGGGCTGACAATTATGACAGAAATAGCACCAGACAGTGGCTCTCTCTGCCAGAGGCAAGTTCTGTGACCTTGGACATAATTCCTAATTTTTCTGAACCTGTTTTCTCATCTGCAAAATGGGGCTAATGCCTCAGGGTTGTTTTGAAGGTGAAATGCAATAATGTAGTGGGGGCCTGTAGTCCCAGTTACTCAGGAGGCTGAGGCAGGAGAATTGCTTGAACCTGGGAGGCAGAGGTTGCAGTGAGCTGACATCACACCACTGCACTCTATCCTGGGCGACAGAGTGAGACTCGGTCTCAAAAAAAAAAAAAAAAAAAGAAAAAAGAAAAGAGAAAAATGCATTGAAACCTGTAAAATGAAGAACAACTACAAACATAGTTCACTGTATCCTTAGTTTTGCAACATTGGTCATGATTCCATATTGCAATATGTTGCTTGGCATTTATAGATAGACAAAAACGTCCAGGACCCATATGCTTTAAGGATTTATTTTCCTCTAGCAGGTGGGAACCTATTTGTGTTCATTTCTCTATTCATTCCAATCCTTGCCCATCTCATAACTTGGGGGCCATATTCAGAAGACCAAATGTCATGATTTGGGGATTAGTTTTAAAACATGGAGCAGGGGAAAGCATATTCTTAGAGCATGTATGAGTATGCCTATATGCATGTGAGTAATCAGAATTATATTTGCAAATAACACAAGAATCGCATGTGCTTATATACTTTATTGATTTGCCTCAGCTGTTCAAAATGTCCCAATAAATCTAGTTGCCACCAAGGGACCAGCTATAAAAATAAAACTGAGCTTAAATTAAAGGTGAAGCTATTAACATTTGTCCTGCAGCCTGTAAGGCATTAATGAATTCCTTTCTGGCATTAGTGAACTTGAACCTTAACTGAAATGGGGCTGCAGAATACATTGGGCTTTCCCTTGCTCTGTTGTTCAATGAAAGCTTTTCCTGGGGATGGCTTGATCTAAATTGTTCCATCACAGCTTCTAGATGAAGGCAGAGCAAGAGAGGAGATAAAGACAACACTTCAGTGGAGACTGGGAATATTGTACAAAATGCAAAATGTTTTGGCAAGAAGTGCCTGCACAAGAGATGTTTACCGACACGGACTGGCCAACGGTTCCTGTGTGTTGTAGGATGTTTAGAGCATCCCTGCCCTCTACCCACTAGATGCCAGTAGCACCCCCTCCCAGTTGTGGCAAACAAAAATGTCTCCAGACTTTTCCAAATGTCCCTGTAAGGTTGCAGAGTGGGGGCAAAGTCACCCCTAGTTGAAAACCACTGCTCTAGAGAAAGTCAGGCCTGGTTCATTTCCCCCTCTGCCATTTTCCAGCTGTGTGATCTTGAGCAAGAATTTGACCTCTCTGAGCCTTAATTTTCTTGTGTGTAGAACAGAGGTAATTGAACTTTCCAACATACTGGGTTGTTTGTGAGGATTCAATTAGATAATGCCTGTAAAGCCTCTGCCACTATGACTGGCAACTAGTCTTCGCTAAGTGGTGGTTACCATTATCATTAACTACTTTGACTTTCTAAAATGTTCCAAGCAAACAAGCCACAGATTTTAGCTGCTTCTCTGCAGGAGCCCAATTATCAGCCACTTAAACCCAGCAGAGAGTAAACAGGAACTAGACTAGAACTGGCCAGAGGATCTTTCCAAGAGCTCCCTTCTAGAAATACATGGTTACTGCCTCCAGATGAAAGCAGAATCTTCTCCTAAAATTGGGCGTGTTCATCTGACTTGGGCACATCGCTGTATCTTCAGTATCCCTAAGAATGACGCAAACCAAATGCAAAATCAAGTTGCCTGCCAATAAGCAGAAAATATTTCACTGGTGACCAAAATGCCTCAGCAGCCATCAGATATGGGTCCCAGATGCATCCCCGGCCATATCTTTCGATTGATTTCAACTGGCGTTCCTAAAACCTCATATTTATGTTTGGCATCTTTTCACCTACAGGATTGTGACAGACCATAAGCTCAGTGAGAGCAGGGACCCTGCTCTGTTCACTGCTGTAGTCCCAGTCCCTAGGACAGTGCCTGACTCATAGCAGAACTCAATAAATATTTATTGAATGATAGTATTTCCCTCTAGACAGCATTTGCTTTCTCAGCACCATCAGCACCAGCCTCATGCACATTTCCAGCAGGACAGAGGCGGCTAGCAGTCTTTCTACTTCAGGCCCTAATTTCCCTATAGACTTTCCAGAGCTTAAACCAGAACCACCCTTCAATTCTTTCTGACAGTAAAGCAAGGAGGTCAGGAATGGTCTTCCCTGTGATTTGGCAGAAAGATAATGGGCTTAGATGACTGGTCAATCCCAGCTCCAGCTCAGGTATGTGACTTTCATCAAGGTAATTTGTCACAGCAAAACTCAGTTTTGGCCAGGCATGGGTGGCTCATACCCGTAACCCCAGCACTTTGGGAGGCTAAGGCAGGAGGATAGCTTGAACCCAGGAACTTAAGACCAGCCTGGGAAACATAGGGAGACCCTGTCTCTACAAATAAAATGAAATAACATAACATAACGTAACAAAATAAAATAAATTTTAAAAATCTAAAAATCTCAGTTTGCTCCTATGTTAGAAGTGGGGATAACAGTACCAAGCCCAAATGATGGTGGTTTTAATTGAGATGAACGCCCGTTTGCTGGCTAATGCTTATTGAATGCTGGCCATGTGCACACACTGGCTTGGGAGCCTTTGAAATAATCAGTAGTCAGTACTATGATCATACTCATTTTACATATGAGGAAACTGAGGCTCTCTTAGCTGACAGTAAAGCTTGCGTTTGACGTCAGAAAGAACTTTCTGACTATCCACGGCCCCGGGCACAATGCCTGGCATGTAGTAATCGCTCATTGAGGATTTACTGCACGAATGAATGTAAAGAAGGTCGAACTCAGGACCGTTTGGTAACTCTTAGTGTAAGAAAAATGTCTTTGCATTCATTTATAATTAGTACCCCATCTACTTCCAACCAGTCAACACCTGCTGAGATATTAAACCTTGTGTAAGAGAAAATGTTGATGGGTAAAGTAGAATAGAGGCTTTCTGAACGAAGGCAACAGACATTTTAGATACAGTCAGGTTCAAGACAGCTGTTTTTAGGAAATCAGCTTGACTGTGAATGAATGTTTAGACATCCTCTTGTCAGAAAGTAAATCTTCCTGGCTGCTACATCTGCCCCAAAGTGTTCTCACTTTGTTCAAGTCCAAAAAGGACAGAGGACCAATCGCAGCTGTGGTGAGCCCTGCACACCTGGGTGGTTTGCAGTTCCTGGGTGCAGACGCTGCCATTTAGTGGCCCCTCCCAGAGGTGCTGTATGACAGCACACAGCCTGGATGGTTTGTCCAGTCCCTGCCTACCCCACACCCATCCCTCTCTATTTCAGTTCCATTCTGGACATCATTCAAGCCCGTATACAGGACTTGAAGAGCGAGTGACATTACCCTCAGAGAGGTGGGGGCATTAAATTATTTTGCCACAAACTGTCCTCTCCCAACATACTCTGCCTGGCAGCCTCGAGCTATTTATACTGAGGACCCAATTTTAAACCACTTCTTGCAGAAAGAAAAAGCAAGAGGTTGCCAAGGGGCAGCTGGCTTTCAGATGTGTTTGGTTTGCCCCCAGATGATTTTAAAAGCTTAATTCAGTCTCCAACATTTAAAAGTTGGGATATTTAACACAGAGTTCTGGCTTCTCCTGAAAAAAAAAAAAAACACTGGCTCTAACAGTACTGCTCCTGGGTTTCATTCACCAACTGGGGCTGCAGCTGACAGCAGGGGTCCCCTTTGTGGCACATTTCTCTCTGCCTAGCTTGCTCCCAGCTGGCTTCACCCACTTGTGTCACCCTGAAGCCATGTGAGTTTGCAACCCTTCCTAAACCCACTGTAGAAAATACATGCCAGCACCTCATATTTACTGAGCACTCTGCACGGCCTCCCTGAATCCTGACCTCAGCCCCATGAGAGTGTCATGACTACTATCTTCATTTTCATATGAGTGACTGAGGCTCAGGGAGGTTCAGTTGCTTAGTCAAGGTCACACAGCTAGGGAGTGGCAGAGCTGGGATTCAAACCCGGGTCTCTCGGGTTCCAGAGCCGGTTTCTTCCCTCACACTGAGCTGCTCCAGCCGTGGAGCAGTGAAGGTGCCATAGTCTTCTGGGCAGGCCCTCCCACACAGAAATGTGTTGCTACTAGGAGTGACTTGGGGATTAGCAAACCCACAAATTAGCTCCATACAGTGTCACTGATGGAAATTCCAATGTAGCTAATACAGTTAATGCTCGCTGAGCTGAGGCCACCCTCGGTATCTGTCAGACTTATTGTCTGTTTAAATGATGGGAAGCCTTCTTAAAGGACTGCGGGGCCCTCACTAGGGGGAGAGGCTGGTTGGAAGGCCTCCATGTGAATGAGAGAGAATGAGATGATGGTGCTGCTGAGGTCGCCAGCACTCTAAAGGCCTGAGCTCTCTGCCAACCCCTTCCCACCTCACTCCCTCAGGCCCTCCCCTGCCTGTCTGCACCCTTCCCCACCACCCCCATTAAAGGGAAGCTGCCCAGAAGTGAGACTTTGGAGAGGTGTTTGAACACACTGGTAGAAATTCCATAGACAGGTAGGTGATTTAGAGAGAACAAGTTGCTCTTTAAAAAATACAACACATCTCAGCTACTCAGCAAGCCCAGCGTTGCAAGAAAAAGGAAGGGACAACTAGCATTAAGACTGAGGGGAAAGCCCTCCTTGCTTTCAAGTACTTGCTTGAAGCCAAGCAGTACTGTCTCTTGGGAACCAAATCATCAGGCTTCTTGCCAAAGGCTAGGTCAGTATGCTGCTTTTACCCAAGAAAGTACAAAGGATCTAGGCAGCCCCAGAAAATGTCTTACCTTCTCCTCCCCTAAACTTTTTTTTTTTTTTTTTTTTTGAGACGAAGTCTTGCTCTGTTGCCCAGGCTGGAGTCAATGGAACGATCTCGGCTCACTGCAACCTCTGCCTCCCAGGCTCAAGCAATTCTCATGCCTCAGCCCTCCCGAGTAACTGGGATTACAGGACCACGCCCAGCTAATTTTTGTATTTTTTGTAGAGGCAGAGCTTCGCCATGTTGGCCAGGCTGGTCTCGAACTCCTGACCTCAGGTGATTCACCTGCCTCGGCCTCCCAAAGTGCTGGGATTACAGGCATGAGCCACTCCGCCCAGTTTCTCCTCCCCTAAAACCCACTGGAGGCTTCCACTGCTCTTAGGGTTAAGTCCAAACTTCCTGCTACAGTGACCGAGCTCTCACCCACCTTTCTCCAAACTTACTTCTTTTCTCCCCCTGCCCCGAGTAAGTTCGACCCTCTAGGAAGTCTGAACTTCTATCAGTTCCACAAAAGAGCCCTGCTTCCTCTTATCTCCATACTTGGAGGCCTTTGTACCTACTGTGTCCTGAAGTGACTTCCCTTCTCCCATCTCCCCACTTGTGCCCACCCGAACGCCCCCTGCCCCCCGGCCCCCGCTGGCTCCTACTCTCTTCCAAGCTCACAATAGACAACCCTGCCCTTGAGGAGGCTCCCTTAGCCACCAGCCTTCACACTCACACCACCACAGAAACATATCAGGGATGCATGCTGCTCCAAGGGACTCCTGCGGCACCCCGACTTCCTCTTGGTGGGTATTTACCACCCTGCTCTTAACTTTTTCCTTTTCCTTTTTTTTTTTTTTTTTTATTGTTGTTGTTGTTGTTTTTTAGAGATGGGGATCTCACTGTGTTGCTCAGGCTGGAGTGCACTGGCTATTAATAGGTGCGATCATAGCTCACTGTAGCCTCAAATTCCTGGGCTGAAAAGATCCTCCCACCTCAGCTTCCCCAGTAGCTGAGACTACAGATATGCACCATGACCACCTTACATTGAAATTCACCCCTTTCTTTCTTTTTTTTTTGAGATGGAGTCTTGCTCTGTCGCCAGGCTGGAGTACAGTGGCGTGATCTCAGCTCACTGCAACCTCCACCTCCTTTGTTCAAGCGATTCTCCTGCCTCAGCCTCCCGAGTAGCTGGGACTACAGGCATGTGCCACCACACCCAGCTAATTTTTGTATTTTTAGTAGAGACAGGGTTTCACCATGTTGGCCAAGATGGTCTCGATCTCTTGACCTTGTGATCCGCCTGCCTCGGCCTCCCAAACTGTTGGGATTACAGGCGTGAGCCACCACGCCTGGCCTCACCCCTTTCTTTTATGTCTCCCTCACTACTCTGTGGGCTCTGGGAGAATGTCTGAGCTCACTGCCGTGTCCCTAGTACCCAACCCATTTTCTGCAGATTAAGGGTGCTCAGAAGGATTTGAGGAAAAAATACAGTCAGGAATGAGGCTTCCCTCTCTGTGGAACACTCAGCATCATGCCAGGAACCCAGCTTCCCAAATGGCCCCAGGGAGCCTCAGCGGGGTGCAGTCTACAAAACAGCTGACCCTCAGTATTTCCCACTTTTCTCAACCCAGGTCAAGGCTGTCCCTTCCAGAAACCACTCTACTTGACCTTAATAGCCTGTGGCCTCTTGCTACAGAATCACGTAGTGGATAAGAGCATGACCCCTGGAGCACAAGGCCCTGCTGGACTATTCACTACTGTGGTGGCTTGGCAAAATCACTAAACTTCTTTGTGCCTCAGCTTTCTAAAATGTGGCTCACTGGGAACATGAGGATCATATAAAATAGCACAGCCTTAAAAAGATGGCCTCGTCCACAGTCACCACCAAGTGATGCTGGTTATCATTGTGCCTCTTTGCTCCTGTGACAGCTTTTCTCAGCAGTTCATCAGCTCTTTTGTAGGGGAGTTAAACACGACTAGACTAACTGGTTATTCCCCTCCTGGACTTTCCTTGACCTTTTCAGTGTTTTTGTGGTATTTCTGATAGATGGCATTAACCCTACAGATCAAGATGCAGCCTCATTTGTGTTTTTGGTTTCTGTGGTTTCCTTGGCACACAGAGAGGGAGAAACAAACCGTTTGACTGATTGGGCATCTGGGTGGTCTCTTACTTCTGAAGGCCAATGCCTGATATGGTATGGTGTACACCACTCATGCTCCAAACTTGAGGGTAGGAGAGGGCACTGTGGTCCCCAGAGCCATGTGTTCTTGCAAGGCGGCCACCATGCAGAGGAAGGGGTAGCTTCTTCTCCAACAGATGCAAGCAAACATGGTGGTAACACCATAGCACATGGCTGAGGGTCCAGAAAACCCCTCCATTTGGCTCTGGGAAAGCCTATTAGAAGCCATCATTCTAGGTGTCTCAAAATGTTGCCTTCTAAGTCAAATCCACTCAAATCAAATTAATTTCCTTTCTCTACATCTTTCCGCCTCACACTTCAACTCTAACTAATGTAATACTCAGTGTTTTTGAGTTTATCCAGTTCTCATCATCTTACTGTTACCACCTTGCCATCATCATGTGTTACCTGGACGACTGTTACAGCCTCCCCACTGGTTCATCCTGCTTCCACTTTTGCCCCATCCAGTCCATTTTCTCAGAAAAACCAGAAAAATCATTTTAAAATGCAAACGTGTTAATATACCTCTCTCCTACACACACATGCACGCATGCATGCCCACACACACACACACCCTTCGTAAACCTCTTGAAGTCATTCTGTTTTCAAAAATCAACCAAAAGACTTAATGTGGCCTTCAGGACCAATATCATCACTCCTGCCTAACTCTTCAAGACCAACTGTGGCCTGCTCTCTGGATTCCATCCAAGCTGGCCTTTCCTTTAGCTGTTACAAAGGCCAAATACCTTTCTTGCATCAGAGCCAGTGTGCACAATGTTCGTTTGCCTGGACACCCTCTTTTCATGCCCATCCCATCACCTCAATCACACCCACCATCCCTCCTCAATGCAAACATCACTTCTTCATAAGGCACTTCCCTTACCCACAATGTCAATTAGGACTCATGATTCTCCCACCGGCCTCTATTTTTTGGTCACAACATCTAGCACGTTTTATAAATCCATGTTTACTTGGATGTTTGTTCACTTAATATCAGCCTTTCCTACCCGTAACTAAGTTCCAAAATAGACAGGACCTTGGCTGTTTGGTACACCAGTTGTATCTCAAGGTGAAGACAGTTCTAGATATATGGTGAACTCCTAATCGATGATTTGCTGGGTTTTATCACTTTACTTACAGTCAATTCCAGGCAGGCTATATCTGTATCTTGGTAATAGGAGGAAATATTTTTCAGTTTTTCCACCACCAAGAGCTTCTTTGCGGCTCTCCCTCTCCCCACTGACTTGGTGTATTGAAAGATAGTGGGCAACAACTCTACACATTAAGTCATAATTAGCTTATTTTATCATTTTGTTCATCCAAAGCATGTAATACTGCTAATCGAAGCTTCTAATTAGAAGTAGTGCATGAAGGAGTCAATACTCTTAATATTACAGCCCAAAGGAGAGAGACTCGACATTTAGGTTTGCTTTGTAAATGTACAGCTTGCCTAAGCTTTAAGATGTTGAAATCACTCCAGAAGATCTGTTTGGCCAATAAGGTCCTTCATGCCATGCCTCCTGCCAGCCAGTCTTCTCCTGACATTTGCCACTATCTCGCCCAGCCACGATAATTAAGTTTATGTGGAAGGAAAAACTTCCATTTCACGTCTAGACTCAAGGCACACCTTTGAACCTGCTTCTTCCTTCTTTCAATGACTTGAACTCCTAGTCATCATAGAAAGCCTGGCTCAGATGTCCCCTCCATCAGGGGACAACAGGTTAGGGTTGTCTAAAGGTCCCAACAGGTTAGGGCCTGGGATGGTGGATTTCTACAATACCTGACCTTGCTTAAAGCTTGCGTCTTACCGTGCTGCCTATTACCTGCCCATCTCCTCCTTTAGATCTGAGAGCTTGGAGGTGTTCCTGATGCCCAGCACAATGTTTGGCACATAGTGGGTGCTTAGTAGAAGGAAAGGAAGAAAGGCTAAATGGAGAGAGGGAAGGAGGAAAGAAGAGAAAAGACAGCTTGTGGTTTCGAGTGCTGGAGACCCTGAAGTGAATACAATGGACAGTTTGTGAGACTCTCATGATCTTAGTGGAAGGAAATGACATAACTGAAAATCAGTATCAAGTAATACATGATTAGGGCAGATGCCTGATAGCATTAATTAGGGCTGTAAGAGTCTGCTTAATTTTTTTCTGGAAAATCTGAGAGTAAAGAAAGTAAGAATAAAAACTTATGGAGTCAACAAAAGGCACAACACTGTGAACACATTGGGGAAATTCATGTGTTATGCAGTCTTTGTATGCCAACAAGGAATGGAAAGGAACATTGAAAGTCTCACTTTGGATGGCAATACCATCTCCCAACAAAACGTGGTATGTAGAGAGGTCTATTTCCAGGACACTAACATCGAACAAAAGCAATTCAAAGCCCAGGGCCTTCCTAGTCCTGCTCCAAACCTGAGTGCCCAAGCAGCTCTGCACAAACATTTATATTCTCCATTATTGATCTTTTGGCCCTTCTATCCTCAAGTCCATTTGAGGCAAGCAAGACTGAGAAACCAAGGCTCATTTTTGACCTGCAATCATTGATGCTGGTGCTGACTTGCCATCCTATTTATAGGTAGGTGGTAGGCAGGCTCTCCCTCCAGGGTCTCATTGAACCTGATTCTTGGCATGGAGAAAGAATATGAATTGGCTGCACTTTACAGAGAGTGAGAGAAGTCTCAAGGCAGGAAGTCAGGCACTCTGAGGATCTAAGACTCTTGCTCTTCCTAATGAGCCATACTGTCTGGGCGTGCTGAAGGCAAAAGGAGGCTGTGGTTCAATTCAGTTTAGTTCACTTCAGCAGCCACCTTGTCATCATTCTCCTCTTTGCTAACATTTTTTGAGCTCTTACTAGATGCCTGGCACCATGTCTAATATCTCTTCTAATCCACAAATCAGCCATTTGAGAAAGGTCCCTTTTACTTGCCATCTTGCACTTTATGTATTAGGAAGCCAAGTCTCAGAGAGCAAACACCATTCACCAGCCAGGTTTGAAACCAGACCTGTTCTACTTCACAGACTGAGTTCTTAACTTCTGGATGCTGCTGTTGAATCCACCATTCTACCACCTTTTGCTTCTTCACTTTAGTCTCTGTGGTTGCTCATTTCCATCTGGTTCTCTGACTTGCTGCTTTACACAACGGCAGCAAACTACCGTCCACGGGCCAAATCTTGCCTGCTACCTGTTTGGGTAAATTCAGTTTAATTGGAATATCACTATGCTTGTTCATTTACATATTGCCCATGTGTGCTTTCAGGCTACAACGGTAGAGTTGAGTACTTGAAAAAAGACCACATGGCCTACACAGCTGCAAATATTTACTGTCTAACCCTTGATTGAAAGAGTTTTTTGACCCCTGATATAGTAGATAAGATAGACACTATGTTAAGAGCTTAACTGTCATTCTTTCATTGAACTCATACTGCAATCCGGTGTGTGTTGTTGTTGTTGTTGTTGTTGTTGTTGTTGTTTTGTGTGTGTGTGTGCATGTAGAGGATACTCCTATCAATCCCATGTTACAGATAAGAAAACTGAGGCTCAAAGAGTTGAAACATCCTGACCAAGGTCACAGAGCTAGTAAATGAGACAGCTGGATTTTAAACCCAGGCAGCCTGGCTCTAGAACCTATGCTCCTAACCATACAGTACACCTGGCTGCTGTGGGCCCAACACTGTGCAGGCACCAATCACATGGTGCTGAGCAATATATGGCCCTTCCCAAGCGGAGCCCCCATGAGAAAGGAGACCATGGCAGCCAGTTGATGGGCAGAGGAGAGCTGGGGTAGAGCTGTGGGAGCCCCAGGGACACATACTTGTTCATGCAGCCTCAGTCAGCCCCAGAAGCTCAGAACGTACTGATGAAAGCTGGGACACACAAAGGAAGAACAACACACAAGAAGGTTGGTGGCAGGTGACAGAGTCACTTCTGACAGGGGACTCTCTCCCCAAATCCACTCACAATTGCTCAGCCGAATTATTTCCTAATACTCTTCATCTTAAAGAATCATTTTAAAAAGTGATTTGATTGCTCTAGCTAGCCTGCTCCTTTATTTCTAGGGGAGCAGCTTTGTAGGAAATGGTTTTTATTAGAGTTGTTCATCTGCGTTCAAGGGAGGAAAGCTCAGCTCTTCTTTTGAGAGTCCACTCCTCTATTACATAGACCTGGAGAAAATTAAAGTATCCTGGGATGAAGGAATCATCTCTTTGCTCTCTAAGAATGCAGTGAGAGCTTCCCCATGTGGCCCTGACGATGGCCTTCTAGACAAATGCTTGCATGGACAGGGAGCTCACCCCGTCACAAGGCAGAGTTGCATTACTTGAGTTTGAGGGAACTTCTGTCTTTAGCTGAAACTCAGTTTGCATCCCCAGGCTCTCAACCATGGGGCTGTGGTTCTGTCTCTGGAAATATTACAGGGCAACCCTACTTCCCACTTGATACAGTAGTGAAGTCTTTAAAGGGACCATCATGTCTTTCCGTTTGCTCTTCTCTTGGTTAAAGAGCTCACATTCCTGGCCGAGTACGGTGGCTCACACTTGTAATCCTAGCACTTTGGGAGGAAGAGGCAGGAGGATCATGTGGTTAGGAGATCGAGACCATCCCTTCCAACATGGTGAAATCCTGTCTCTACTTAAAAAAATACAAAAATGGTTAGCTGGGTGTGGTGGTGTGTGCCTGTAATCCCAGCTACTTGGGAGGCTGAGGCACGAGAATTGCTTGAACCCAGGAGGTGGAAGGTGCAGTGAGCCGAGATCATGCCAATGCACTCCAGCCTGGTGGCAGAGCAAGACTCTGTCTCAAAAAAAAAGAGCTCACATTTCTTCAACCATTTTTATTGTGATACTTTCCAAATCTCATAAGGATTCTCTTTCTCATAGAGAAAGCCTAAAATTTTAGATGTGTAAATAAATTCATAATAAATATTCTTATGATAATTTTCTCTTAGAGTTCAAGGCTACAAAAGAAGGTTGTTACTCATGATGAAATGTCTAGCACTAAGCACTAAGTAATGACAAAAATATGTCTTACTATATTCCCTTTCTGCCTTGGTTTACTAGGAAGCTCACGTCAAAGTTGATGCTCAGTTTTTCTCCTCTTTATTAACTTTATTTTTTACCTCTCATCTTCTGTCATCTACTAATTGCTTTTAGTTCTATGGCATCTGCATTTTATTATAAACATTTATCCTCTTCTACATTATCAATCGACTCCCACACCCACTGTGAGCAGCGGGTAGGGACTATATCATAAATATTCCTGCTTCACACAGATGAGAGTTTGAGTGGCGACTAGTGAGTGATAGAAATCTTTGCTGGTTCTCACACTTTGATAATAATAATGATGATACTGCCTATAGTAATAATGCTAGTAATCATAATAGGAGCCAAAGTTTATTAAGTGGTTCCAGCCTGACAGGCGCTTTTCTGAAAGATTTATGAGTGTGTCACCTCGTTTAAATCTTACAGCCAGCTTCTTAAGTAATATTATTAGCTACATCTTCTTAAGTAATATTATTAGCCACATATTACAGATGAGAAAATCATAGCCCAGAGAGGTTAAGTAATTTACCCTCCAACAAAGATGCAGAAAATGGCAGAGCCAGCATTGAAATCTAAGCCGTCTGTTTTCAGAATGCAAGCTCTTGTCCACCATGCCACACTACCTAAATTATCAGACCACCCCCAGCCACTCCACATGGGATTTAAGGGGTCCCGGTACTTCAGATAAACTCTGAACCCATAAGATTCTGGATCTCATCCAGAATGGGGAATGTTGATGTGAGCTTTAAGAAGTTGCTCACTGCTGACTGCCTCCCCGCCCCCCGACCCCAGGAGCAACGGTTTCTGGCTCTTTCACCATCTGCCTGCACGCTCTGGGAGCTCCTTCCAATCCCTGTGCCCCAGTGCAGCCAATCAGGCTCAGACATGGGACTGGGAAACAGAAAGGCTGTCCTGGTCGTTGGCCCAGAAAGGATCATGGAGGGTGGCCAAGGCCAGGCTTGAGATCATAGCATTCACATAAAGGTCCCTGTTCAGGCAAGACAAGGGTAGTGGTAATCGGGGACATCTCCAGGCCAGAAAATAGGGAAGAAGGAAGGAAGGTTGGAAGCCAAGAGGTCTGCTGGCTGATTCTTACTATATCTATTATGTGCCAGGCACTGCGTTATGTGAGCCAAATGCTCCTTTCATTTTCAAATGAGGAAACTGAGAACCCAGATATGAGATGACTTGTCCTAGGTCATTCAGCAAGTTTAGGTGTAAGTGCATGAATAACTCTTTGTAAGAGAAAGGCTTTGCCAAGTCATGATAAGTATTTCATTCCAGGAGATGGAATGTCACCCTGCTCTCGGGGGCTGTGGTTACAATAGGTAACGTGGAGGGAAGGTGGAACCCCCAGTGGCTGGAGTCAGGGTGAAAGCATGGGGCACCGAAGGAGCTTTAGGGAGTGTGATCCTACCCCCAAAAGAAGAGGATGCGTGAATGCTGGCTGCTGGCTGCTTTTCTCTAGGGGCAGGGGAGAAGACTCAGGTGAGTATAGGTGGTTAGGAGTGAGACCACCCCCTGTCCCCGGATCTCCAGGAAAGTTCTCCACCCAGCTCAGTGCCTTTCCTAGTCTCCTATCCTGGAGAGTGAGAAGTGGGGTTGAGGCTGGGTGGTTCTCTCTACCATATGCTCTTCCCTTTGCAAGAAACAAGAGAGGGAAGGAGGAGGGAGAGAAAGGAAGGGAGGAAAGGAGAAAGAAGGAAGGGGGACATTTAAACTTGAGCTTTTATACTTCTGGATTTGACCAGCATCCATGAGAAAAAGGATATCCTTTGTCATTAGGCAAACACCGTGAGCCCATCAGGTGAGAGGCAATTAAAGGTGTGCTACACAGCCTGTGATTTGCATGGGAGGTGGATGGGGCTTCACAGCTTGTACAGGCAGAGAGCCTAAGTCCCAGAATGCAACATCGATTCCAGCAATGGTCTGAGATTCCTGCACGAGAGGAGGAAATGAATGACAAAAAGCCACAGAGATGTTCTTGGCCCCTTAAGAAATGGCAGACCTCACGGGGGGCCACAACACCAAAACCAGCAGACGGGACATTTGGCAGCATTTTCTCCTTGAGTTTCGTTTTTATTACTTCTGCCTTTTAATGTTACTTGAGATTTGCCACAACCCCCGCATGGACTCTCAAAACCTGGGATTTTGTCCCGTCTCTGTGTAACCTGGGGCCCAGTGCATAATGGTAACCATGGTAAAGATAAGAACAGTGGAAGTCACCATTTACTGAGCACCTACTGTGTGTTGCACATGCTGCTGGGCACGCTGTTTACTCATCTCAGAAATGAAGAGTGGGCTCTTTAATGGCACTGCAGTCATGCGCTTTTGCAAACTGCTTGTGCCACCGAGTTCTCTGTTCATCTGTGATTAGATCAGACCATAAACTTCCCCCCTTCTCTTCCCCTTGTGAAAATTCTTCAGTGTAGGCAGGGATCCAGAAGTGGGAAAACCTTCATTGCAGCTGCCTGCCAATGCTTTGCTGTACCAGGGTGGATGGCGCACTGCAGAGTCCAGGGCCCAACAGTTGTCCTTGGTGGGTGTGCAATGTGTATCTATGTCAGGAGAAGGGGGTACTTCCAAGTCATGCTGTGGGCCAATCCTGCCAGCCCCCACCCAAGGCACCTCTAAGAGGCACCCAGCTTCTTCTGGCCTCCATTAGAAGCTCTCTGATCTAATGAAATTTCTGCTGTCCTTTTGGTCCTGCCAGACCACCTTCATCTTGGGCAAATCTCGCACCTCTCTACCAGTTCCCTCATCTGCAAAATGGGAGTGATAATGCCTAGTCTTGGCAAAACTTGTTGTGAGGTGGAAAAGGGCTAGTAAATCTAAAAATGCTTTGAAAACTTTGGCAGTGCTATTGACAAGCAAGGGGTCACTGGAGTCTGTCGTTTTTAGTACAACGACTAGTATTTTAATCAGCCAAATGTGTGTGACTGGTCTATACTGGAGCATAGGTCCCTTCAGAATGGAAAGACTTTTCCAATTTTATTCATAATTTCTTTAGACAATCTACAGGAAGAGATTGTCAAGTGTAAACAGAGTTTCCAAGTACCACAAAACCACAGAAAGTGATGCTGAGATGGAAAACGATTTTCCTGCCTTCTTCCATTCCAACTGGATCCCTCTCCCATGTGGAAAATGTTGACACGTCAACATTGAAAAATAACTTAGAAGTGGCCTGTGCCAACTCTGTACCCTATGAGTAAATCTGTTCACAGCAATGCAAATCATTGTCTGTCTGGCTTCCTGTTGTTTTTTTCTGGATGGAGCTTATGGAGAAGAGGGGTGAAACATGACCACCCACTTCTGCTCTCTCCCTTCCATCTGACACACAGAGCTATTCCTCTGACAACAAATCAAAAAGATTCTAGATTCTTCTATCTGTTTGAGCAGGCAGCTCCCCCAGTGTTTGACCCCAGGAAAAATAAATCAAATTATTTAAAGTCAAAAAGTGGTATGACCTAAAAAAAAAAAAAAGGGTAAGAAAATGTCCCCAGTTATGTAGTGAAAAACAAATGGATTGAAAAATATCAGAAAAATCTCTGGAGAGAAATCAAAATGCTGAGAAATACAGAGATAATATTAAGCCAATGCCCTTTCTTCTATGAGAAGCTGGATGAATTGGCCAGCAGTTGCATCTGGTGGTAGTAAAGGCTTTCCCCTGGAGAAAGCAAGCTGGAGGTGACCTTTCAGATTCAGCAGCAGCAGCAGCAGCAGCCAATGCCTCTGGCTAGAGGGGTGAATGTACCACAGAATTGTCCCTACAGGGCAGGTGCCCTGAGGCTTGCAAAAGAGGAAATTCAAGAGATGCTGATTCCCCACCCTTGACATAGAATAGCCAAAGGAATGAATCACTGACCCTAAAACATTTATGAAGATGCAAGAGAGAAGGAGAAGGCAAGAGAAGGGGCTAGAGAGGAACAAAAGAAATGAAGGAAGAGGAAGGGCAGGGTGTGGAAAAGAGGAGGGCAAGAAAGGTGGTGAGACAAAGAGCAGGGAGGAGAGGGGAGAAATGAAATGGGGAGCCATGCTGGAGAAAACAGAAGAGAAGAAGGGGAAAAGAAGGAGTGAAGACAGAGGGAAACACAATAAAAGAGAAAGGAGAGAGGAAATCCAGAGGATAATCCAGCTAGATTTGTAACCTTTCATGTCTTAGGCTGGTCATGTTTGTTATGTTCACTCTACTGTCCTCTGTGCTGTCTTGCACACCTGAAACATTTTATTATGTTTTTGAAAAAAGAAAGATAAGGTAGAAGAAAGGATAAAAATGAAGAGGAGGTAGAGGTAGATGGTAGTCATATCTCCCTGGGTGTCTGTGACAAATGCAATTAGAGGGTTGGAGTGGTAGAAAAAAATAGCATTAGTGGCTTGCCCATCCATCGGAGAGGCCTCTGGGATCAGAAAGCCTGTCTTCTCCACTAGGTCTGTTTCCAAATGAGGCACCTGAGCTGGAACCAGGTGGGCCATGGCCCTCAACCTTTCTCACTGGTGTACTGGAGAAGAGGAGAACCTGGATTGACATTAGTTCCACTTCTGCCTTCAACTCAATGTGTCACTTGTGCAGTTCCACAAATGTTCACCTAGCTCCTGCTCCATGCTAGAAGCTGTGCGGGTGTAGGGGATACACACCAGCAAGTTTGTTCTTCTTGAAGCATTTGCAGGTAGAAGACAGCTGCTCAGAGTCTCAGTTTCCCCATCTCTATAATGAGGGGGGTTGTCTTCATGGTTTTTAGGTTTGCTTTGAGTCCCAGGACTGAGTCCCCTACATTTTCTAGAACAACTCCACTTTATTGTGTTTTAGATATTGGAATTGTGCTTAAGCTTGGATTTGGAAGGCTGATTTTACCGCTAAAGGAATTTTGAAAATCATTAAATAAGATTCTCCCCAAGGTCTAAAGTTTGTTGTAGTGGTTGTTGTTGTTTTTCTTTTCTTTTTTCTTTTTCTTTTTTTTTTTTTTTTTGGGACGGAATCTCGCACTGTTGCCCAGGCTGGAGTGCAATGGCACAATCTCGGCTCACTGCAACCTCCGCCTCCCAGGTTCAAGCGATTCTCTTTGCCTCAGCCTGCCAAGTAGCTGGGATTACAGGTGCCTGCCACCACACTCAGAGAATTTTTTTGTATTTTTAGTAGAGATGTGGTTTCACTATGTTGCCCAAGCTGGTCCAAGCTGGTCTTGAACTCCTGACCTTGTGATCCACCTGCCTTGACCTCCCAAAGTGCTGGGATTATGGGTGTGAACCACCGTGCCCGGCTGACTTTGTTCTTTTTGAAGCACTTGCAGGTAGAAGACAGCTGCTCAGAGTCTTAGTTTCCCCATCTCTATAATGAGGGGGGTTGTCTTCGTGGTTTTTAGGTTTGCTTTGAGTCCCAGGACTGAGTCCCCTACATTTTCTAGAACAACTCCACTTTATTCTGTTTTAGATATTGGAATTGTGCTTAAGCTTGGATTTGGAAAGCTGATTTTACTGCTAAGGGAATTTTGAAAATCGTTAAATAAGATTCTACCCAAGATCTAAAGTTTTAAACTTCTCTGTTCTATTTCTAAGGTTGTATGATTCCTTGAAGCCTCTAACTATAAGAATTTACTCTATTCATTCATTCAACAAATACTAAAGTTCTTCAATAAATGGGAGCAGAGACAGATAATACACAAATAAGCTAATAGGACAGGGTTTTGCTGCACAGAGGGACACGGAAGGGGAGAGGGGGTCAGGGAGTGTCTCCTGGAGATAACAGGCTTGGAAGGATCTGGGGAAAGAGGAGTCCTAACAAAAGGAATAGCAGATTTGAAAGCCAGATGATGAGAATGAATCTAGCATGTTCAGGGCCAGGGACCATGTCACAGAAAAGGGGGAAAGTGGCATGAGATGAGATGGGACAAGGAAGGTAGACAGGGGCCAGATGACATAGGGTTGTGGCTTGTGTTCAAGGTTGTGGCCCTGAAAGTTATGGAACTAGTTTGGATTTTAATTTAAATGTAGTGGGACACCTTTGCAGGGTTTCAAAGAGGGGCCTGATGTGATCTGATTAAATATTATCAAGATTACTGTGGCTGCTGTGTGGAGGACAGATGGTAAAGAGGACAAGAGAGGGGGACACTCACAGTGATACAGGTGAGAGATGATGGAGACCTGGGTGTGAATACCAGAATTTGTGCAAAAAAGTCAAACATGGTATATAGAAAGATGAGAACAAGATTTCACAATCAGCACATATCCAACATCTTTCAGGGTCCCAAATATATAAGTCTGGATCTTAACCTCACCTTTTGGTGCCCAATTTTTTCCTCAAGTCAACCCATGTGCTATAAAGAAAGTCAATTCCCTTTGTTTCTTTGACCACTTACAACAGAATGTAGATTTAGGCAGACCCCCAAAATATACCCTTTTCCTTACTGAGAAAGCTGCCGGAAAGGGGTATATTTTTGGAATATATAATTTGGAAAATTAGCTTTCCAAATTTCAAATTGGAAAGATAAGTGGATACTTGGACCACAAGCATTAACCCTTTGATTTCAGATGAGTATGGAATAACCCTTACCAACAGATTTGACCAAGCAATTAACTGAAGACAAATGGAAGGAAAACAAACTTTGAACCACAAGGCCCAGAGGTGAATGATCAACAGTAAATGGCTCCTTAAAGACTCAGCACTGTGCTTAGGACTTTGGAGGATAGAAAAAGAGTGGAAGACATATCCCTACACTTTAGAAATGCATCCTGTAACTGAGGAAACAGGACTAACACATAAAGTAATTAGATGTCTGGCCAGCTAAATGGAGGAAGAGTCGGGGTCTCCACCAGAGCCCCGAGGCTGGCAGCAGGAAGACAGGGTTCCAGTCTACCTCTGTGACTTAGGACAAGTCATCGAGTCCTTCTGGATTGAATTCGTCTTCTTTAAAACAGGGATAATGCTTCCCAGCCTCCCTAGTGGGGATTACATGGGATTTGAAAATGCTTTATAAGTTGTAAAGTGTGGTGTAAACAGTAAAGGTTATTATTACTAAGTTCAGAGAAGGGACACGGCAATGTGTCAGCAAACAAAGCCTCCTCTGAAAAACAACCTAATCAAGAGCCTCCTGCTCAAAAACCACCAATGACTTCCCAGTGCCTAAAGCGGAGGTTGTCAAACTATGGCTCCCAGGCCAAATCCATTCAGTTGCATATTTTATAAATAAAGTTTTATTGGAACACAACCAGAGCCATTTGTTTACATATTGTCTATGACTTATTTCTTGCCACAATGGCAGATCTGAATGGTTGCAACAGAAACTGTGTGGCCAGCAAAGATGGAAATATTTACTATCTGGCCCTTTAAAGAAAAAACTTGCTGACTCCTGGCGTAAAGGATAGTCTGAACCCCAGTTAACACGTAAAGCACCCTGTTATGTAAGGCAGAATTTGGATGCATGAAATGAATCAGATACCTTCCTCTAAGTCTTCCCCTACCCTGTACAACGTTTTGTAGCAATTCTTAGGAACAGATTCCATATGAGGTTGGCATTACAAGGTCCTTTCTTAGTGCTACAATAGGGATCAGGTCTTTTTCCTCCTTGGAATCTCCACAGTATTTATTACAGTGCCCACCTCACAACAGAATCTAAATAAAGTTTAACCAAATTAAAGCTGCCGTAAATAGAGAAAGCATAGTAGACTAGAAAACAGACATGAGACCTACTGATAATAAATCTTTGAAAGGAAAAAAAATGTTGGAAGTGAATTAATTCCTTCACTCTTAATTAGTTATGCAAATATTTATTCCATGCAACTATCCAACTATTCCATGTCTTAGAAGCTAAGGCAAATTAGATAATACAGGATTATATTCATTTGTTTTACAAGAGTTTATATAAGACCCTCTCTGTGTCAAGCGGAGGGGTAAGGACTCAGAGTAGACCATTACCACATGTCTCTCAAGGAGCTTAGAGTCTAGTTGAAGAGGCTAGAAGTCAGCAGATCATCACAATATAGAGAGACAAGCACAATGCTAAAGACACAAAGTACAGAGACGGCAGGGAGATAGGACTTCTTGCACAAAGGAATGCCATCTTTGTACATTCCTTCCCATGAATGCACCTACAGTTTACTATCCCAAGGGAAAGAGGAGGGACAAAGACAAATTCACAAGTGTCTCATGGCTACCAGCTGGGTTCTATCTGAAGAGTGAACACTGACTATCCTGACCATTTCATATAGATTATTTCATTTAATTCTCACAACCAGTTTAGGCGGTTTTACAAAGATCAAGTCACTTGTTCCAAGTCAATAGTCAGAAAGTGGAAGAGTCTCATCTACGTAGATCTTAAGCAAAAGCCTATGCACTTAACCCCTCACTGTATGGCCTAAAGATACTGAGAAAAGAGGACTGGGCAGGAATTCCAGAGAAAGCCTACAGTTTGCAACCTACAGAGATATTGTCCAATGTTTCTGTATCTACTGAATGGACACTGATTCCATGAGGACCATTTGCTGTGGGCCAAAGGCATAGATGGAACATAAACAGTTGGTTCATGTTCACTAAAGTCAATAATCAAGGGAGGACAGAATAAAGTGTTGCAAAGATCAGTAATAATTCCAGCCGTAGGGCAGCTGTGACCACCTGTGGGGAACGATTCTGGATCCTGGGCCAGGATATTAATTTAGCCCTAACCACCAATGCCTAGGGAAATGTGAATTAATGGACAATTGGGAGCCCATAAGACTTAAGGGCCTCCAGAGGGTGCTTTTAGCCAGGTGTATTCCCCACGATGTGTCTGTGCAAGGGTCATGGTGGACATCAAGGGCAGGAGAGTTCCGACACAAAATATTTTTGTCAAGAGAAAATTTTGTATTTCCTAAACTTCCTAGGCTCTGTCTAAAAATACGAGAGTTTCCACATTCGTTTGACTATTCAAATTTTCATTTTCAACTTTTCAGCCTTTATTTGTATCAAACGTTGTGTAAAACCAATAAACATGTGAAAAAATGTCCACTCATATAAATTCCATATCGAGAATAATGAGATACAATTTCTTTTCTACTTTATTGGCAATGATTAAAAACAATCATCATAAATTGACCAGGCACAGTAACAAAGAGGTTCTGGTGAAAGACCTTCTCATGCAGTAATGGCAGAGTTGCACGTTAGTAGAACTTCATAGAAGGATGAGTGGTAACATGGTAGTATCAACGAAATCTAAAATGCACAGCTACTTTGACTCACTAATTCTTCTTCTAGGCATTTATTTCAAGAAGATAATTAGACAAGAGCTCCAAGATTTACATAAAAATGTTTATTTATAGACTTTTAAATAATACCAAATATTTAGAAACAACCTAAATATCCACAAAAATACTATTTAAATAGATAATTGTATAACTAGACAAATTCATGTTAGCCTACTTAAAAGGACAGTGTGATCTGTACACCATAATGTGTAACTTTCTCCAGGTTGTTCAGTGAACAAAAGGCTTTCTGTCCATAAGCTTGTCTGTGTATGCAATTTCTGTGCAAGCATTGCACAGGGAGAAGGCTAGAATGAATGTCACCAAATTGTTGGTGCACTGTGGCTCTTTCTGGGTGGTAAGATTTCAGGTGATTTTTTTCTTCCTTTTGTTGTTTATTTGTATTATTTGAATTTTTACAATGAACAAATAATATCTTTATAAGCAGAAAACCAACTGCTTTTAAAGATCAAAAGAAAACATCTAAAGGATACATAAACTTCCTGGAGAAAAGGCAGGGCTAACACCAGAATAATGACTGACTTTCAGAATGAAAATGTGGAGGGAGTTTGAAACCTGCTTGCTAGCCTTGCACAAAAATATTAATCTTTCCAGTCCTGAAGAAGGCAGGAAGGCCCAATGGTGAGAAGCCTGTGCTTCAGGGTCAGTCTGTGGGTCCAAATGACAGCTCCATCACTTATCAGTGTGAATAACTTGGTATAAATATATTCATCTTCTGTGCCTCAGTTCCCTCATTTATAAAGTGGGGAACTGATCGCACCTGCCTCTACGAGTGTCATAGGATTAAGGAAGAGAGTAAATGAAACATACCAATCACAATGCCTGGCACATAATCAATGCACTAGACATTAGCTCTTATGAAAACCAGCCTCAGACAATCATAGCCTGTGTGAGTTATCGTTCCCAGAATGAAGTGCTAATGAGCAGTTAAGAAGAAAGCAAAAAACAATTAGTCAAGGAAACCCTCAAAAGTAGACATATAAATACCTAGGCTCTGCAGTACAAAGATGAAGAGTATGAACTGCATGTTTTTAAGCATGCGACCATCTCACAAATTTCAACTGCTTACTCTGCAAAACGGGGATAATATACAGGAGGTTATTTTGAGGATTAAATGCCAGGTGCTAACATAGCATTTAACAGTGAGTTGTTAATACATATTTGTTACTATTAATGAAAATAACTATTATGGACTAGGGAATTGGGTACTGAGCTCCCCATTATCATAGGTATCCAGGCAGGCTTAATTATTATCTGAGGAGGAAGATGCAGAAAGGATTTAGTCATGGACTGAGGAAATTGTCTCTGGGATTCTCCCAGACCTAAAAGTCCTACACAAAGTCATTGAAACATAGAACCAATTCTAAAAGTTGCATTGTTTGGAATTTTTATGTAAAGCAACTCGGGACCAGTAGGTTCATCTCCTCAGAGAGGTATGTGACAATGCCACTCTCAGAAGCCAACCCTGCTCTTCAAACAGGCAAGGCAAATGAGGAACCACCTGCTCATGAAACTCTGCTCATTCTGTCCCAGGATGGCTCATTTTGTTCTCACGCCACTAATAAAGACATACCAGAGACTGTGTAATTTATAAAGAAAAAGAGGGGTTTTTTTCTTTATAAAGAGAGATGCAGATCACTCCAGATCTGCAAGGGTCTTTTACCCTTGTTCTTAGCAACTGTCAACATATCATGCAGATCCCAAAAGGGCAGAGTCATAACTTCATAGTTAAGAATGCAGACTTTGGAATGACAGACACCTGGGTTCAAATTCTAGCTCCTCTACTGAGTACTTACCCTCTCTAAGCTTCAATTTCCCCGTAAGTCTAAGGGGGATAATGGCACCTCATGGATTTTTTGTAAGGATTAAATGAGATAATGCAATATTGGAAAAGCAGTAGGATATGTTTAGGCAAGTTACTTAACCCTTCTGGGCCTCGGTTTATTCAACTGTAAATGGGGACAAAAATATTATCTACCTTATAGAGTAGTTTGTGATTAATGAATGAGTTATGGCTTGGAAAGCGCTTAGAACAGCATCTGTCACATTAGTTAGTACTCAGTAAATATGAGTTGTTTTAATTAATGCATGTAAAGTCCTCAGCATGGTAAAAGTATGTGCTCAATAAATGGTGGCTATTATTATTATGAGGTAGTTGTTCCTCAGAGAAGTTCATGCACATTTATCTCCTGAAAAGCAATAAGAAATGAAGACATCAGGGGAGAATTTTGTCCTTAAATAAATGTTGCAGTCATAGCAGAACGAGTTCACAGGTCCTGTTGCCCTAGCAGGATACCCTAGGACCTTCACTCCTCTTCATGCCCAGGCTCTCTTTAATTCACAAGGACCTGCCCTTCATCCAACCATCCACTTTTTCAACAAATTCTGCTTAAGCACCTATAGTGAGCCAGAAAGAGGGCTAGGAATGCTCAAGCAGTGAATGAGATGGTTCCAGCCTCTGCCCTCCGGAGTCTACAGGGTAGTGGAGGAGATGCACATTAAATAAATACATACACAAATGCTTATTTAATAACAGTTGCAATTTGTATTGTGAAAAATGTGACGAGGATGTACAATGGGTCCTGATGTGGTCTTGGCACTGGGTGTGTGAGTAAGAGGGAGACATTGTAAAGGCTGCCTGAGAAATTGCTGGGACTTGACTGATGAACAGGAGTTGGCTGAGTGCTGTGCAGAAATGGAGAGAGAAAAGGGTCCAGGCAGACAGGCATTTTGTTCCAAGGCCTTGCACCCACAAAGCACCTGGTTCACAAAGAGAACCGAGAGAAAGGCCACGTGGTTGACTTATTCCTAGACCCTCCACTCAAAATACTCAGCTAGGAAGTTAGAATTTGAAGAGAAATCCAGGTCCACAGAAACTGCCTTCTCATTGGCCACTGTTGTCTCTTCCCTTTCAGGTGCTCCTCGCCTGCTTGCAGATATCAGACCCCAGCTCATCTCAGACCTCAGCCCCTGAGGCCAAGCAAACATACATCATCATGGAGGCTGCAGACGTAGCTCACCGTGCCCACATGTGAACTTCGGCCAACACACCACAACAGGGACTCTGCCCACTGAATCCCCTGTGATTCCTCAATCCTGTCCTGGTCATACCCCACTGGGTTTTGTGAGGCTATTTAGGAAGATAAGTTTCCCTCACTGAAGAAAAGAGAGACAGCATGAAAGAAAACAATGGCCCCAAAGGAGGAATTTGTGATTGACATAAATGGGAATGTTCCCTTGGGAGCATCATGTATCATCAAACAAGCAAACCTCCAGGTCATTTATTTCTCCACCTGTTTACCTGCTATGGAAAGAAGATGCATTTAAGTTTCCTGCAGTTTCACCCTGGAAATTAATGCTCTGGGAAACAAAAAGCTGTATGTTCTAGACGTAGCAGGTTTCTTTTGGAATTCACTCATTGGGAGTCTGGCACTACCCCCTAAATGGTACTTTTGTTGTCTTTTTGTTCAAGACAGCCAGCTTCTTCCAAGATCAGAACCGCGTGCCAGCCTCCCTTGATAAACCGCCTACCAGCTCTCTTGGTAGATCAGATGTTTAATAGTTAGCCTAACTCATTTGTTTTTCCAAGGAGCAATTATGACTACAATGAATTAATATTTTAACTGCAGGGAAAGCATTACAGATAGTTCCTACGTAGACTCTAGAGGCTGGGAATGGCCAACAGGATTTCCCATACTAAGAGGAGAGGACCACTCCATCCTGGCCAGCAGTTCTCTATGATTGAAATACTATCATTAGATACTGCTCCAAAGACCTAAGGGGAGATGTGCCTAGGAGAAGTGTATGGTCCTGATCCTTCCCACTGAGGCTCAATGGCCCAGCAAAATATGAAAGTGAGACCTGTGCTTCTAAAGCGTAACAGTCTAGAATCAGTGGAGTTTGTGAAACAACCTCACCACCGCAGGAGCAAATCCCAGCAGGTGAGATTCAAGGAAGATGGGACCACTAAGAATCCAACTGGCCTAGCTGAGGTTGACGTCCAAACTCCAGAAGACCCGGCTGTGATGGGGAAGACTCAAGCAACCAGGCACCATCTTCCCCCCACCTACTCGCTCTCCTTCCCCAGGTCCCAGAAGGCAGGGGGCTTTCGCAACATTGCAATCCAAACTTCCCCCAGTCTCAGGAAGCATTTCCCAGTTTTCAAAAGGAAGAGACTCACAGCCAGTAAGTCCCTGGTGGAAATGCCAACAGCCTCCCAAAGTGCCATCCAGGTCAACGGTAACCTCTCTGAACAGGACATTGTGTCTTCTGACCTTGCCTACTTAAGGTTGGCTCAGCATCTTGAGGATGGGCCTCGAAGGGTCAAGGTGTCCCATGCATTCCTCCCAAGGGTCCCCAAGGTGCAAAGCAATGGTCCTGTTAGCATATGCTTGGAAGCAGGAACTTGGAGGTCCTTAGAGAAAGCCACAGCTGCCATTCAGGTTCCAGATGATATTTATCACAGTCCTTCCTGGGAAGCTAGAGAGTCTGCTCTCAGCCCAGACAGGTCAGCTGAAGTAAGTAACTCCATACACCCTTTGGATGACACACGTCCAGGTGATGGGAGAAGGGTGACTCCACTAGATTCAGAAAAATCCACCTCCTGCTTAAATGCCACCAGCGTTGCCAGCCACACACCAGGCACAGAGGAACTTAAACCTGAATTGCTTTTGCCCAAAGACAACTCAGATGACAAAGACCTTGGCTCACTGTCATCTCAGTCAAAGGAAACGTGTGTTCCTTCATCTCCACGGACTCACAGTTCCCCCTCACAAGGCTCCCACAGCCAGCCAGCCCACCCAGGAAGAGCCTCAGACTGTCCTTCATCAAGTAACAATCACCAGAATCTGGTGTCACTCAAAACTAACAGTGCATCGAAATCTGCCCCTGGGTGTCAGGAGCAGACGGCAAACAACCCCACCGAGTCAGACACACTGGAGTTTCCAAATTGTCCAGGAAGTAATCATCTCCCATCCTCTCTTTCAAGGAGTGAGACCAAACTTCAGAGCAACAGGGAGATTAGTGACATTAATCAAATTCACCTGGCACGGGGTGAACTCTGCGACCTCCAAGGCCGACTGCAATCTGTGGAGGAATCTCTGCACTCGAACCAAGAGAAAATTAAAGTCCTTTTGAATGTAATTCAAGACTTGGAGAAAGCTCGAGCTCTCACTGAAGGGTAAGGAGATTTTTTTTTCATATTAAAAATGACTGGGTGAAGTCATTTGCCAACACAGGGGCAGAGACAGCTTTGGTTTCTTTTAGTAAAAATGTCTCCAAAATGTTTGAAGCACTGTTGTTTCTCCAAATCATAACCACAGACCTCCCTTTTCTCTAATGGAATTTCATTTAGTTCTAGGCTTTGGTGGATTTCTGTGGATTTCTACTGCTGTTTGTTTTCGTTTTCAGGTGTTAACAGAATGGGGAAAGGCAGCAATGGAGCAGTAAGATCAAAAATGATTTTTATGAAGATGAGGGTTCTATTGATACATGATGGGGGAAAATGATAGCAGGAAGGCACTTCCCCATCCCCCTCCTCTTAGCAAGCTACTGCATTTGTACAGTATTTCTGTTCTTCATGTCATTGTGACAAAGGACTTGAGATGGCCACTCAGCTTACTATTGACCTTCCCCTGTACTGACTACTTTGATGACGGGCTGGCCCATCAATGACCAACTAATTGGAACTGAAATGAGATCACAATTCATTTTGCACAATTCATTTTCGGCAAAGAGAAAAAAAGTCACAAAATGCTTTCCTGGGTGACTCAGCACCAGTATAGGAGGAAAAGGCAGTTATTTGTTTAGATGCGAAATGCTCGTCCCTGCAGAAAGTGCTCTCTAAAGACAAAGAAGAAGCAATGGCTAAAGCTCATCAAAAACAGTAGGAGAGAGAAGTCATTAACTGCTGTTTGCTGTATGAATCAGAATCAGCACTGCCGTATAGGAGAGAAACACTGTGATGATGCAGAATGAAATGTACTGAACTAAGAGGTCAGGAGTTTTAATAACCTCCCTTCCACTCACCTGCAGAATCCCTCATCTCACAACAGGATTGTTGTCAGCATGAAAAAACTCTCAGCTTGAGAAATCTTTAACACGTATAAAGCCTTCTAGACATGTGAGCTCCTATTGTCGTGACATTCTTGTTTCCTTATTTGTAATGGCCGTGCAACTTCAGAGCACCGTGAATGCTGTGCTATAGGGACTAAGGGACAAGTAGGTTGAATGTTTGTGGCCCACGTGACTTTTGCCCATAGATTTATCCAGCAAATGCTCTGTCTTGCAGGCGCAACTTTTATCGAACTGGCCAAGATCTCAACAATTGCAGTACCTGCCAGAACACGGCGTGCATCATATACAGGTACCTGGCCACAAGCGAGGCCTGCTCTGTAGACCATAAAGCCATAGGGTCCGCTGAACACTCTAGCAAACTTTTAAATGCAAAAAGTCAAGAGAGGCAAAAACAAGGTATTTAACTATGAAATGTTAACATCTGGTTCCAAGGCAGGGATTGCTTTGTTTCCTTAGAACAAAGTCTATGAGCATACCCTTTTGATGTAATCATCCCTAGGCTTATCAAACACTAAGTGCAGGCATCATGGTAAGCTTGGCATGCACATTTGCATCTCATTCCACCTTCAGGAAAGTTAAGGCATTCGGTCTCGCTCACACAGAGCATTTTCCTAGAGCAGAAAGGGCCAAACTCAGGACTCACATCCAGATTTTTCAAATCCCAAACCTGTGATCTTAATTATTCCACCACACTGCCTCTTCCTCAACAGTAGCTATGCTATGCCAAGCCCTTACTTGGCACAGTCAAGAACCATGATAAGAACTTTATGTTCATTTCTAAGTATGTCATTTCCTTCTAGCACAGAGTAAGTTTGCTGCAGTAAATTTTTATAAGTGACAAAAGGGAAACATGATATACAGTGTAAACTTGGAGTCAAAGATCTGTGTTTTAATCCCCAAGTCTGCCATCAGCTAACTTAATCTGGGCTCACTTTCCTTATCTGAATAGGGAACAATTATCCCTATTCAGAGTTGCCATGAAGACCAAATGAAATAATATATGTGAATGTGTTTTGTAACTGCAAACCTCTGAACAAATGCAAGGGTTTATACCTGTTTTTACTAGAAAGATCAATGCCCCCTTAGCTGGAAGCCCACTTTCCATGGCATAGTAGAAAAGTGGTCAAAAGCAGTAATTTCCGTTGACGACATCTAATTTTGTTGACCAAAGTGAACAGTTTTGCTTTCTCTATTACACTTCTCTTTTTGTTGAAAACTGGCAGCTTAGGGCCTGAGCAAACTGGAGCCTAATTGGGTTGCCTATGTCTTCTTTTAAAACTTCTCATTCTCTCTGGCAGAATCCTGAAATTTCAATGAGTAAGAGACCATATGCCTGGAAGGCAGAAGGTGCTTGCACTTAGGCAGGGCCTTGAGCATCTTTTCATTGAACCCATCAGCTCCTTACAAAGAGGAACCACCTGTTTTTAATCAAATAACAGAAGCGTCAGGACTGCTCACAGATAAATGCCTTTCACCTCAATGTGAAGTCTTCCTTTAAAAAAGAGGGCCCCGGAAGAGCCCTGCAGCATTGGAAAGCCTAAGCAGAAGTTTCATCAATTGCTCTCTTTTTGCTGCTTCTTTTTTTATATCTTCTAACTTGAACAAATTTTCTAATCATTAGAAGGGACAAAAATTATTAAATGTCTAGACAGAGAGGACAAAACTATTCATCATAAACAAGAAGAATTAATTTGAACTAACCTCCATTTAAATTTTGGATAGTCTCTCTTCTTTTCCGGAGCCAGATAATGTATTTTCTGTTACCTTAAAATGATTTTATATTTGGCCTATATAAGTAAAAAGGGCAAGGGGTGATTTCCAAGTCTACTATGAGTTTCATGACCTCGCCTTGGGCAAATCATTTTCCCCATCTGAAAAATGAGGGTCTTTAATTAAATGGCCCCAAGAGTCCCTTTTAGTTCTGACATTCTGATATTCTAAACCGAATTAAAAGTGACAATATTTGGCTAAACTATGACCTTCCAACATGTCTGAGAATGTTTGCATTTTTCTAGCACTTAATTCAAACATCTCCAGCAAACATTCTAAATTAAGTTACACCCCTGGTTGGGTTAGCAAACCTTCATGCACACCATCCTTTCCAGAAGAACAGCAATTGTATGCATATATCCCTCATTACCATTCAAAGCCAGACTGTTCTCCCAGAAAGAATCTATATCCTTGTATCTAAGCCATTGCAAGGGAACGGGCAATTAATTTGATGAAAGCAGAGATCTGAACAGCCCCATCGTAGTAACAGTGGGAAGATGAGAGTTGTCATTTTTTTTTAGAAAACATTCAAATGACTTCAAACTTGCGTTGTGTTCTGGAAAGTCAGATCTTAGAAACGAATGAATAAGTGATGTGAAATACTCATCCCCAGGCCTTGTTAAGCCGTGATCTCTCTCCCCGATGATGGATGCGCTCAGTGCATGTCACTGTACATAAAGCAGCATGATCCAGCGCATGATGGATTGCCCACTGGGTCTTCTTCTCTGGAGATGTTGCTGCTAAATTAGCCATGCATACGGTTTCCTAAGTGGTATTTCCCAGAGGCTCCAGCAGCTGGAGGCTATGGCTATGCTGCTTGCTCTTATCAAGACATGTGGGGTCATCTGGTTCTATCTAACTCCTTCTCTCTGCTCCCTAAGCCTCCTTGGCTCTCCTCTTACCATTGAACACTTGGATACATCCTATCTCACCAAGAGCACAGACCCAACACCAATGCCTAGAGATTCTATCCATGGCTCTCAGGAGCTTGCAGGGATTTCCGTACATAAAGGTGAATGGATCCTTTGGTTTTGACTACTGTAGACTCCACAGGAAGTGAGTGGCAATTGGCTCTAAACCACCAGCTGATTCCAGGCTGTTTTGGCCCCAATCACTCCCTTCACTTCTCCTTAGCATTAATCCTAGCACAAGTTACCCAAAGGGTTGAGTGAATGCCACCATAGCATCCAAGATTAAATAACATTAAATTACTTAGTAAGAAAGTTGTTCTCTTTTCAAATTTATTTCAATCCTTCCAATAACCTAGAGGGGAAAATCTGAGTTTGGTACTAGAACGTCTTTAAAACCTTCCTAATGCTGGCTTATCACATTTCTCTGCAAAGAAAGAGCAGGTCTCAGTTTCACAGCCCTGAGCAAGCAATAGTTATCTAGCTAGAATACAATCATTTTTACTTTTTTTATTGAAGGCTTTAACTTCTAAAACTAGTCCTTTTAAATACTTTTTGTAATTGATGCAGGTCTGCATTTCCAAAAGTGATATTGCCTGTTTTACATAAAACATGTTTTTAAATTTAAAAAGCGAATGGATTTAGAGAAAAAAAGTGAAGTGAATAACTGTGTAGATGGTATGGGGAATCTTGCAAAAACCATGAAGGTGGAGAATGAGTGATTGAAGTTTGGGAAATGGTGCCCTAAGGAATCGGCTCCTTTTCACCTTCTCAAGGGCACGAGGTCCCTCTAAGCCACTTGCTCCTCCTTCCCTCACTCCCTTCTCTACTTTTCCAGTCATATCTCCAGCATTCATCTTTATGTTTATGCTAAAAATAGTCAGCAGTGCTTCTTTAGAGGTCTTTGATTACAGAGATCACGCATTTCTTTTCTAGACATAACTCCCAGGAAAAAACTGCTTGGTTTCAGTTGTAAAATGTCTCCAATATGTTTTAAAGGAAAATAATAAGAGGTCTTTCCCAGAAAACTTTTCATCTCCCATCCAAGCATGCTGTTCAGGAATTGGAAAGACAGAGTTGCAACCTTACGGTTTTCGGTGGGTGAAGAGAGAGATTGGCCATGTAGGATTTGAAAGGTGCTAGAGAGGTGAGAGAAATAGAAGAGGTTTTGTTTGTCCAGGGTCCACCTGGACAGACTGCTCCTCGTCTTATCCTTAGTTTCTTCCCATCACTTCAACTGCACTCATGGACTTTATTTCTGTGGCACCACTTTCTGCTACCTTTTATCTGATATCTATATCAATCTATCTATCTATCTATCTAAAATTTTCAAGCAACTACATGCAGACATTTCCACTTCATATCCCAAGGCAACTCAAATTTGTCATATCCCCAAACACACCTATTTCACCACAAAATTAATTTTCTTCCCATATTTACTTTGTTCAACACCATTGACCAAGAGGCAACTCCATAAAGATATCACAATCCCTCTTGACTTTCTCTTCATATGCCAAATAAGCTACTGATTCCAACTGCTCAATCCAACCCCTTCACTCCAATTCCTCTGCCGCAGGTTCAGAAAAGGCTCTCATCATTTGTCACTTGAACGTGAATTGACCTTTTTGACACAGGTCTCTTTTCCCTTATCTCAAGTAATCCTCCATGCAGATTGCTAACTTGCACCTGAAAAATAGAATCTGACCATGTCACTCCCCCGCTAAACAATCTTGTCCTGATTCAGGTAGTCTGTGGCTCCTCTCCAGCCATGGGGAACTAGGTGCTCAGCTGGTGGTTCTGTCATTCCTCTGTGCCTTTACATAAGTTCCTTTGCTTTCCTGGGACGTCTTTTCTGCCCTGCTTTGTGTGGATATTTCTTAGTCTTGCAGCTTAAATGTCAGTTATCTGGACAACCTCACAATCCAATCCTTCCCCAGAAGGACCCCCATGCCATGAGCCCTCATCTGCTAGGTCACTGATCCTATTGCATTGTAATATGGTGTTTATAAGTTTCTTTCCTTCAGCAAATGGCTAGTCTCTCAAAGTCATGGATCAGTGTCTCATACATACTTGGTGCTCAGTAGGTTCTTATTAAAGAAAGAAATGACTCTATTAACTAGGAGAGGAAGGAAAACCAGTAGTGGACTTGAGACAGCTGTTTAAATTGTCCAGAAGTAAAGTCATTGTTACTATTAGTGTACACCACCACTCCTGGGTGAGGAAATGAAGGATTAAGCAAATATTCTTATTAGGAAGGAGGGCTTCTATGTAACTGGTTCTCAATGGGTCTTTTTAAGCTGAATGTAAGCCCGTAGGTTGCCAGTTTCAAAATAACTGGAATGCCACATACTTTCAACAAGAGAGAACCTTTCTTTGATGACTCAGAGAGCTTGCTGCACTTTCATAGGACATTGAAACCCTTGTTCTTCCAGGCCATCAGACATTATTGCCCAGGACTTCTGTCCTGACTGTAGTGGGAAAGGCAAAGTTTGACTGTGGGGAACCACAAAACTCCCTCCAGGTGAAAATATCTCCCTTCTCTGGTGTCTGAATTGTCCCAGTGATCTCTTTGGGAGAATGAGTTAGAACATCAGATCTTCAGGTTCTCTTGCTAAATGTCTAATGCTAAATATCAAAACCCAGGCTTGTAGGCAAAATAATGCCTAAGGTGTCCACATCCTACAGACCCTCTGCATATGTGACCTTATTTGGCAAAAGGGACTTTGCAGATGAAATGAAGTGAAGGACTTCAAAGGAGGAGAGCAGGGTGGGTTGTCTGGTGGGCCCAGTGTAATCACAAGGGCCGCAGAGAAAGAGGGAGGCCAGAGGATCAGAGTCAGAGAAGGAGATGTGACGCCAGAGGCAAAGGTCAGAGTGCCGTGGTCACAAGCCAGGAGGCATGGCAGACCCCAAAAGTGAGAGAAGGCAAGGGATGTTTTCTCTCCTAGAGCCTCCAGAAAGAGCACAGCTCTGCTGACACTCTGATTTACAGCTCTGGAGGACTTCTGCCCTCCAGAACTGTAAGAGTAAAATCTATGTTGTTTTAAGCCATTAAATTTGTGGTAATTTCAACAAAGGGACATAAGTACACTCAGAATAAATCCTCATAATTGGAGGCCAGTTTATTTGCCTTTAACTGATGATTTTTACAATGATAACAGCTGACGAAAGAGATCTGTTGGGCTGAAACTTAAGGGAAAGAAAGAAGAGAGCTACCACTTACCGAGGATCCATTATTTACTGATCACTTGAAGTACCTTTTGTTTTCACACTTAATCCTCACAATGATGAGATTGATTAAAGTACCCCCATGTTACAGATGAAGGAACTGTTGCTCAGGAAGGGTCAGGCACTTGCTCAACATTCAGATTAGGCAATTGAAGCTGAGAGAGGCGAGGCACTTGCACAATTATTCTGGAAATAGTAATTGCAACGGCCACAGCAGAACACAGTTCTGTCTTCCAACAAGCCAGATTCCACAGCATGCTGCCTTCCAGATGCCAGACTCATCTGAAGGATATTAGGTCTCAGTGGAATGTTCGATTGTCACTGAGTTCCACTCAGCCAAGGGCATCGTGAGGGTTTACATTGAAGATGTAGGCCCTAGACAGTGCTCCCAAAGCGTGGTCGTGGACCATCTGCATCGGAACCTCCTGGGTGTCTATGGAAACTTGTTGCTGGGTTTCAGCCCCAAAGCCACTGAATCAGAGAGTGTGGGGTGGAGGATGGGAATCCGCAGTTGCAGCAAGCTCCCTGGGAATGGTTGGTTCAAATAAAGCAGAAGGATTTTTTTAGGTAAAAAATCAGGGTCTTGAAAGAAGATACTTGATTTACTAGAAAGTTTTGTGACAACCAGCCCATGAATAAAAAATACTTGCTTGTAAAATAGCCCAGAGAGTAGCTTTAGTTCTTACTACATCTTTGGAAAGATGAATTACCTTTCTGCTTGGCTTTGATTTTAGGGTTAGATGATCATATATAGACCTAATTATATATGTTGGGTAAAGGTGAGAATGGAGGCAAGGGCGAGGGAAGGAAGAGAGAGGAGAGGATTACTCATGGAGCAGGCATATCTTCTGATGCCTCCTGTTTCCAATGAGAAGAGAAAAGGAGTCCCTCTCAGGCCTTTCTGGGGCCCAGGCTTACATTATGCAATACTTGGGAGATTCAGCTGTAACCGTTCCTTCCTCCCACCTCTCTCAGTCCCTCAGGCCTCATCTGAGATCAGAAACTGATTGGCAATCCAGGCTGACATTTTTCCTCCAACAAAGGTTGAGAGTAATTAAAGCCTAATTCTGCTCCCTGGCCAAGGGACCAAACGCTAAGAACGGCCCTCTGGTGGGCCCTAGAGGGTCAACAGCAGACACGTGTAAAAGGTGGGTGTCCAAATGCTGACCATTACCACTACATTCCCACTTCAGGATAGGGGTATGGTCACCCCTTGCTTGGGAACCAAGGACCATGCATGAAGCTAAATGCCACGCAGAATCTGCCACCACCACCCGCTCATTTTCCATTTTCTCAAACTCCACAGACCACCAATTGCTTTTTTTTTTTTTTTTTTTTTTGAGACAGAGTCTCACTGTCGCCTAGGCTGGAGTGCAGTTGCACAATCTCGGCTCACTGCAACCTCTGCCTCCCAGGTTTAAGCGATTTTTCTGCCTCAGCCTCCTGAGTAGCTGGGATTATAGGTGCCCGCCACCACACCCAGCTAATTTTTGTATTATTAGTAGAGACGGGGTTTCACCATGTTGGCCAGGCTGGTCTTGAACCCCTGACCTCAAGTGATCCACTGACCTTGGCCTCCCAAAGTGTTGGGATTACAGGCATGAGCCACCACACCCGGCCGCTTTTTTATTTTAATCATTATTGATGCATCCACTCATAAATTCTTCTGGACCAGACAGAGAAGAACTTATGGATTCTGTAAAGGAGATTCTCTGCAAGAGCCTCCCTTTGTATCTAGCAACCAGCATTCTCGTTCCTAGCACGTCCCCCTCACAGTTTTCATATTCAGAGTATGACAAGGAGGCTCCCTGGAATGCAGGCCAAAGCCTCACAGCTGTGCACCCTGCAAGAGAAAAGCAAGGGCTTCACATCACTGAGGAGAGAGAGGCTCCAGAGAGCTGTGTGAGCCGCTTGAGGTCACACGGTTGGAGGTCTGAGAGTGCTTCTGGGAGTTTCCTTCTTGGTTAAGCGATTTGGCCACTGAGCTCTGGCCTTGCCTGCCACTCAAAGCTATTACCTAACCAGAGAAAAAGGCATTTCTCTAGAAATGCAATATGCACTCAGTCCTATGGGTTTAGCAGCCAACTTTTCACTTAAATTGTTTAGTATTTTCCTTTCATCTGCTTATGACAGTGTCCCAGCGTGGAGCCAGGTGAACTCTTGAGAACCTTGTCTTCCAGCCACAGTCCTCCCTCTGGCCAGCAATGAAGTCCACAGTAAAAAATAATGATAAAGGCACACAGCATATCTGTTATTCTAGTAATCACAGATGCATTTGCAGCTCTCATCAAATTCCAATATGGACTGAGCCACACTATTTCAAATGCTGGGCCGTGAACGTCATAGCAATGCCCTCGAGCATCTCCAAAACAACCAATAGCAAACACAGCTTAAATGTCTCTTTGGGAAACAGCTATGAAGTTTGGGGTACATGTAAAATGTAAAAGGTAAAATTTCTCTGAGTCCCAACAGGAGATTCCCAAGACATTTTTCTCTATTCCCTGATTCTCTTGAATGGCTTTACCCCTTTCTTTTTCTCCCTAGAGTGTAAAGGAAAAGAAGTAGGATTTACAGCATCAGCAATTTATCTGTAATAAAAAATGAAACCTATTTTAATGCATTAATAGCAAAAGAGGCTGACACATGCCATAAATATAAAATTACACGAGTTGAATATTTCAGAGGAATAACAAATGAGTGGCTGCTGGCACAGAGGCCACAGGTGATCACAGAGTGATCCGATCTTTATTTCTCCATCAAGTTAGTGTAATAATCATTACCATTTGTTGAATCAGCCACTGCACTAGGCATTTTGCCCAACACTATATGTCTATCGTTTCATTCCAGACTCCTAACCATCCTAAAATGTGGATAGGATTAACATTCCCATTTTACAGATGAGGAAACTGAGGCTCAGAGAGGTTAAGTGATCTGCCCAAGATCCCAGGGAGCCAGGGCTCAAAACTAGGTCCTACTTTCAGAAGACTTTCCTGTCCCTTCCCCTCTTTCCTTGTGACCTTGCATCGTCAGTGAATAAGTGTGTTAACTTTCTCGGAGATGATCTACCCTTTCTGAGGGTTTCACATGCAGATCTTACTGGCACAGAGTCACAGAACCCAAAACACAGATTTCTTTCAGATATAGCTATCAGCAGAGATTTCTGCAGCTTGATCCCATTTATATACATGCCAAGAAGAGAACCTGTGATTTTCTGAAGACCCAACAGCAGATAGATGCCCTAGGAGAAGGGGTAGACTTGCCAATTTGAAATAGCTGCAAGTTGTGAAGCACAAAATTAAACCCTATAAAAAATGAGCAAACTTGTCATTAGGAGAAAGTTTTAGGAACAATATCCCTTCCAGGCTGGGGAGAGAAAAACATACAAACTAAAGTTCCTGTGATCCGAGACTGTAATTCTTCCCCAGAGATGCCTTCCAAAGTGTCATGATTTATCCAAATGGACGAGAACCAAACTACTCTCGCTGCATCCATTGATTCTTACAGCTAATTCTTTAAAAGAGAAAGTTGCAGGAGGTCAGTAAATCAGTGGTGCACCTGGGTTCTGTAGAAACAGGGACCACAGAAATGTTCCAACAAGAGATGAAGAAGAAGTGGAGGGGAATTTGGAAGATGGTTTGTCTTCAGGGAGACGCCATGAATCATTCACTTCTCGGCCAACTTGCTTAGAGTGTAGTTGATGGCAGTGGCTTGTTGGCATGCCTGTTTATAAAAGAGCAGGACCCACTGCTGAGAAGGAAGTGCAAAATGGCTCACTGGAGACATCAGCAGGCTATACCAGACCCAAGATTGCTGACCCCAGATATTATCTTCAATAGGCTGCCTCCTTAGAAGGAGAGCACCTTTTTTGGGTATGCAGCCTCCCTTTCAAGGCTGCCCTGAAATTGAGAAAGAGTATTCCAAGGTGGACTGGTCAGCTGGTCCATAAAGCGTCCCCCATGCACCCCAGCCCTAGTTTAGGTCTGGTTCCACAGGGGACTGTGAGGTCATCCAGGAGCACCAGGCCTTGGCCACCACCTCCACCCCCACCACCCTACATATTTTGCAATCAGAATTTCATACAGATGCAGATTACTATGTTATTTCAGTCCAGTGCATCTTAGTGTAGAAGCTTTGGGGCTAGACTGTCAGGGTTCGGATTCTGACTCTGTCACTTATATTTACATGCCCTTGGCAGAATATTTAACCTCTCTTTGCCTCAGTTTTCTCATTTATAAAATGAAGGTAATATTATTTATCCCATGGGATTGTGAGAATTCATGAGAGAAGGAGTGTAAACTTGTAGCATAGTGTCTAGCACATAGATTTCATTCCATAAATGACCATCATTCTTTTTATCATAATTATTATTTTTGCCCATTTAAATTACCATGTATCCTAATCTAATGTGGCCCAGGTACTCTCTTTTTGTTTCTTCTCCTTAGAATAAAATGCTGGAAAGAGTTAGGTCCATGGCTAAAACATTTGGTCCTTCTTTAAGCAGAAAAATCAAAGGACTAGGTATCAGGAAACTAGGTGAATAGACTGAATGTTTGTGTACCCTTCAAATTCAGATTAATTCCTAATGCCCCATGTGATGATATTTGGAGGTAGAAACTTTGGAAGGTGATTAGGTCATGAACTTGGAGTCCTCGTGAATGGGATTAGTGCCCTTATAAAGAGAACTCAGAGAGGTCCCTCTCCCCTTTCTGCCACGTGAGGACACAGCAAGGGAATACAGCTGTCTGTAGACCAGGAAGAGGGCCCTTACCAGACACCCAACTAACAGCACTTTGATTTTCAACTTCCCACCTCCAGAACTGTGAGAAATAAAGTGTATGTATGTATGTATAAGCCACCCAGTCTGTAGTATTTTGTTATAGCAACCCAAGCAGACTAAGACATAGGGTTTAGATTCTGCTTGTAACTTACAGTATGACTTCCCTTTGCCAACTTGCTTGTCTGTTTAAATGGGCAACAACCTTCCTATCTTCCTGGGCTATCATGAGGATAAAATAAAAACACAGACCTAATGCTAAATGATGAGTTAATGGGTGCAGCATACCAACATGGCACATGTTTACATGTGTAACAAACCTGCACATTGTGCACATGTACCCTAAAACTTAAAGTATAATAATAATAAAATTTTAAAAAATCAAAAAATTAAAAAAAGAAGAAAAAAACCCACAGATCTAAAATACTTTGCAAATTCAAAAGTTATATACAACTGAGAGGCTTCTGTTATTTCTTTCTACATCAATTTTTATCTCCTTTTGGCTCACCCAACTTCAGTTTACCCAGCCAAGATCCTGCATCCAGAACCTCGCTCTGTTGTTTGCTCATGAGCTTATCTATTTTTTGCTATTTGTTACTCACTGTTTCTTCTTCCAGCCAAGTCATGACTTGGGGCTCTTGCTGCTTCCAATTACCTAGAAAAACATCTTTCTGCTTTTCAGCGAGCATGATGGCTGGAGCACTGATCTGTAAGCCAGATTAGTGAGGTACCCCCAAGAGGGAAACCTGAAAGTTCTTACCATTTCTGGTTTACACATAGCTCACTCTCTAAATGCAACGTGGCTCCGTGTTCAGACATCTCCTTGGATGTGAAGGGCTCTAAGGCACCTCAGGCAGTTAACTGAGCATCCCTAAACCACAGGTCCCATGTCCCATGCATCCTCAGGAAGACCAACTCACATACCATGAATGCCCTGGACTATCTCAAGGGCTCGTGTCCGGAATTTTGCATTGTAACAATTTCTTAACTACTATTTGCCCTCCACTGTAAGCCAGGGTTCTGCAAACTCAGCACTCTGCACCTATCTTCCTTCTTACGATCCTGCATGGAATATACAGCATATGTGAAATATGGATGGTGGAAGATGGTAAGGATGGGAGGGTACAGAGAGTAGGTGGAAGCAGTGAAAGCGAGGTGAGGTCAGAAAAGTTATTGGTGTGCTATTTGGATCCTTGGGCTGAAACCCAAAGCAGAGAGTCTCTCCCACTGTCTGCAAACAACGCTCTGCTAAGAATTAACTTCAATTTTCACCAAGTTGGCAACTTACTCCTTTTTGCAAGGGGTTGCTAAGCATGGTGTAGTAGCTAAGTAAGAAGTAGAAATGCATCTTCTCTTTTCTACCCAGCCTCAAGATAAAAAGCAGATGAGAGGGCTCTGTCCCTCCCCATTTATAAGGCAGCTGCCACCAAAGCAAAATATACTCCCTCTCCTCCCTTCCAAACTGTAGTGTGTCAAACGGATGAATAAAAAGAAAAGTGGCAATTTTCCTTTATGTTAATAAATTGCTTTGGCCTAAAAAACATTAATCAATTTCTTTCCGAAGCACACACACTTCTCCATATTCTGCTATTTGCCTGGCCTTGAAAAGAAAGTTACTTTCAATCCCCTTTAAATTGTTCAAGACCAGTGGGGGCAGTCACAAGAGGGGAGTGGGGAGCTCCCTAAATCCCAGTGATTATAATGAAACCCTGCTGTGTTTCCATAGAAACATAAAGAGTGTGTTCTTCCCTGAATGTAGATGGTGGGGAGGGGTGAGGAGTGATGCTGCTGGTAAGGTGCGCAGCTACTGAAGAGCTGAAGGTTGATGCGAGGAGCTGAGATGGGAAGGCAAAGGACCTAGTGAGGAAGAGTGGAGTGGGCCAAGACAGTGTTCCATGTGCAGTGATTTCAGCTGCTATTGCATCCCATCTGCACAGCCACCCAGCGAGGAAGCTAGTGTAACTCCCAAGTTCAACTGAGCCGTGGGAAGAGAAGAAACTTGCCCAGGGTCACCCAGCCAGGAAGTGCTGCAGCCTCCATTCAAACCCAAGAGCATTCAGCTCTGGGGCCCTCACTCCATCCTCTATGTTGGGCTGGGCTTCAAGTTGTGATGGTGAGATAAAGTTTCCGTTCCATCTCCCGGTCTTTTCTACCCAGGCCTGCAAGTTCCATACACATTCTAGAATCATCCAGAGCATTAATATCATTTTCTTTTTGAGATGGGGACAACTCAATCTCTCACCTGGGCTGGAGTGCAGTGGTGCACTCATAGCTAATTGCAGCCACAATTTCCTGGGCTGAAGTGATCCTCTCACCTCAGCCTCCCAAGTAGCTGGGATCACAGTTGCACACCACCACACATGGCTAATTTTTTACTTTTTGTAGAGATGGTGTCTCGCTATGTTGCCCAGGCTGGTCTCAAACTCCTGACCTCAAGGAATCCTCCCACCTGGGTCTTTCGAAGTGCTGGGATTACAGGCATGAGCCACTGCGCCCAGCCTATTTTTATTAAACAGGTATTAGGACACTTGTAAATCTTGTCAAACTCAGCTGGTTTGTTGTCATTGTTTGTTTATTTGAATTATGAAGTCAGAGACACTTCACATATAAGGAGAGGAAGGCAGTTGGTGCATGTGTGTATTCATATAATTTGGTGGAAGCATATGGATGAAGAATTGGAAAGTAGGAGTAGTTCAGAGAAATAAGAAGTACATTTTGAAAGCAATTGTTACTTAATCACCTATCTCAAACACACTGGGGACAGTATCCACATCTGTCTAACTTACTGTTGTGTTCCTGGAACCTGGTACAGTGTCAGGCCCAGAGCAGGATGGACTGATGATGGATGGAATGTTTTGTACAAGAAAATCTTAGACTCCTAAAATCTTAGAGGGGGTACCCACTCTCTTTGGCTCTATCTGGTACTCTATGATGAAGATTGTTTTTCTGTCACAGTAGGGAGGGCAGGGCTATTTCAGGAGCTAGGAGCATTGTGAATATAGATGTTCCCTATCTGTGAACTATGTGTGTTCCTGGTGCTAGAGGGGCGAGAATCAGAGCTTGCAACTCACCATGTTAAAGTCCTTCCTTGCTGCAATGCAGGGGTTGCCTAGGCTCTCAATCCATCTCCAGTTTCCACTGGGGAGAATGAAGTATAGGTGGTGCAGACAGAAACCCACTCCACCACACCCCAGACAAATAGGGGTGCAGTACCAGGTGATGCCTCCTGGAAGAAGAGACTGTGATGTTATGATTATATATGTGTGTATGTGTGCGATCTATGTGTGTGGGGGGATCAATAGATAGAGACAAATAGATGCTAGAGGTAGATAGATAGATAGATAGATAGATGATAGATAATGATACATGATAGATGGATAGATAACGATAGATGACAGATAGATGATAGATAATAGATACTGATAGATGATAGATACATGATAGATGATAGATGATAGATAGATAAATAGATAATAGATGATAGATTAGATAGATGATAGATGGATGGATCAATAGATAGACAGACAGATAGATAGATAGACAGACAGACAGACAGACAGACAGACAGAGAGGTTTTCACCCATGGTTCCTGGCTCATAACTCCCATAGCCCTTGTTACAATCTTTTGTTATCACGTTGGGTGAGTTAGGCCTCAGGAGCAGGCCTCAGGAAACAAAGTCTCTTTCTCTGACCTTCTCCTGTCCTCCTGTCACCTGCCTAAGGCCGGAATCTAATCTGATTGTGGGTCAAGAGACTGATTCCAGAGTGGGTCCTGCCCATACCCTGGAGGAATGAGTGCTACACAGGGGCTGAAGCCCCCACACATCTCTTCATCTGTATCCTTTGCAATATCCTTTATGATACACCAGTAAACGTAAGGAAGTGTTTCCCTGAGTTCTGTGAACCACTCCAGCAAATTAATCAAACCCAAAGAAGGGGTTTTGGGAACCCCAACTTGAAGCTAGTCAGTCAGAAGTTCCAAGGTCCCGGACTTGTAAGTGGGGGGAAGTCTTGTGGGATTGAGCCCCCAATCTATGGAATCTGATGCTATCTCTGGGTAGATAGTACTGGAACTGAATTGGAAGACACCCAACTGGTGGCCACTGCTTGGTAGTGGGGAGAAACTCCCACACATTTGGTCATAGAAGTCTTCTTCTGTGTTGATGGTTGTTGTGGTGTGAGAGCAGAGGAAAAACATGGTTTCAGAGTTTTTCCTGAAATAGAGACTCCTGAAATAGACAGTCAGTATGTGAGTCTGCACATGCCTCTGCCCACTGGCCTGGCAAATTCTGGGCTTTGGCTAGAAGGTCTCTAACAGCTACTGATGCCAGCACTGAGGACACAGATTCACTGGATTAGCAGTGCCAGGAGGCCAGGGAGATTGTCTGCCTACCATTCCTTCCTCAGCAGCCAGAACAGGGCCTGCCACAAAGAAGATGCTCAATAAATGTTTGTCGAGTGACTGACTGGATACTTGGTGCCTACTCTATGCTGCGTGTTGTATATGCACATGGCATTTAAGCTTCACTGAGGTCCTTTGCGTAGGCACTACTCATTTTGCAGATGAGGACACCATAGCCTGGAAGTGGGAAATGACTTCCCCAAGATCTCACAGTGAAACTGTGGGGCTTTGCTTTAAAAACCACAGCCTATGTTTCATCCACAATACAATTCTAATTTAATATAATGATGGCCTATAGGTCATCCAGCCAGGATTATGTCCCCATAGAGAGGGCCAGAGAGAACAGAAAGAGAAGGCATGTAAGTGGAGGAGAAGCAAGCCTGGATGAAAAATGCAGAAACAAAACAATCAGATACCCTTTCCTAGTGCTCCCTAAGAACTAACACCCCATCAGTCTTGCTATAAAACAGGCCCCCTCGCCCCTCTGACTCTTCAGCCCTGCAACAACCCATCAGTCTTGCTATAAAACAGGCCCCCTCGCCCCTCTGACTCTTCAGCCCTGCCTCTTCCATCTCAGAATGCTCAGGGACGAGGCACTCTTTGGGGCTCCATTCGTCATGCATGGCAACGGCAACATGCCTTTGCAGCAGCATGAACTCGGGTCCCCGGCCCTGGGAGGTGACATGGGGAGAGTAAGCAAGGGCAGATGTCCCTTTAATGACAGCTGTTTTCCAGCCCTTGCTGGGTATAAAGGCACTGGCCAGTCATGCCACATCATAAACCAACATGGGGTCTTTGGTCTCCCAGATGCAACATTTCATTTTCCTTCTGGCTAAACAAGGAGAATGCACTGTTTTCATGACCACGTTTCCTCCACTTCCCACACTCCCACGCTGGCTCCTCATCCTTGGGCCTTCTGAGACCCCTGGTATGAAACCAGGTAACAAACACATCAAAAAGCTTAAGAGCTTTCTTATAAGCATCTTGGCACTGAAAACTCCTCTGTAAGTAAATCCTCCTCATGGAGGAAAGACAATTAAGGACAGAGGGAACCCGTGCTCAGCCCACAGGGATGTCTAAGAGGATTCGTTTTTTCTGCCCCGGCTCTCTGGGTTCTGGGGAGGGTGAACCAGAGTGAGGAAGCAGGCTGAGAGTCCCTGAGGTCTGCTGGCCTGACTTCCAGACATGCAGAGGTCACAGACAGCATCAGCACCCACTCCCTACAGGCCAGGCTTCTGTTCAACGCCCACCTCCCCTGACCTCAGGGACCCCTGCTCTGCGACAGGTTCACTTTTACCTCCTCAATGTTTGTGATAATCAGCACGGGACAATGCAGTCCGTATGTTAATGACACCAAAACACACAAGTAAAATAGCCAACAACAACAACAACGAAAAAGAGGTTGGGAATGTCCATCCATCAGTAGAGGAATATTTAAATACACTGTATTGAGGAATACTACAAGGCAGTCTTACATGTAAAGCTCTCCAAGATATATCTTGAAGTTGAGATGCAATTCAAAGAGCAAGACGTAATATATTGGTAGAAATTATGTTAATGATGATGATGATAGCGGTAATAGAAGCTAACACATACGGAGGACTTAGCGCACGCCAGGCACTACTCTGAGCATTTCATTTATATTATCTCAGTTTACACACATTAATTCCAAAGAAAGCCTTTGAGATAGGTGCTCTTATTACCCCCATTTTACAGATAATGAAACTGAGCTGTCAGTTTTCTTGTCTGTTCCTCTGCATTATCTCAATTTTTTAATAATGAGACAGTTTTCATGCATAACACATGCCAAAACCCCATTAATGATTAAGAGAGAGACTGGAGCCAATATTTACAGAACACTTGCCATCAGGTCTCACTGACCCTTAATAACATCCCTGTGAGGAAGGCATTACAGGTGCCAATTCAATCACTGAAGAACTAGAGGTTCAGAGAGGTGGCATCACTTTCCCAAGGTCAAAGAGCCAGTAGGTACCTAAGGATCTAGGATTTGATCCCAAAGCTCATGCTCTTCCATATTAGTTGGGGCTGAGAGATGCTTAATCAGTCTGTGCTGATTCGAATTCACTTTCCTTCCTTCCTCTCTGTGTTTTTCAGTGTAGAGTATGATTTTCGGCAGCAGGAAGGCAGGTTCCATGAAGTTTTGCAGAGTCTGGAGGAAGCAGAGCCAGTTGAGGAGGCATCGCCCCCACCAAAGTCCCCAGCAGAACCCCCAGCCCCGGAAAAGCAGGACTTAAGGCGGAAAACCAAGAAGGTGAAAAAGAAATGCTTCTGGTGGATCTGAGCTGGTTGGGACCATCCCCCAGCCCCCCAACTCCACGCACTTCCCTGAGATGGGAAATCCACTGCACTTAAGGCCTGCCCTGCTTCTTTGCAAAGGCCCTGGGCTGTGAGCCCCTTGGCCTGTGAAACAGAAGAGCCTTGGAGCTGATGTAGCCGCTGCTGGACACCTGACCACGATCCTTACCTGAGTGCGTGCGACTGCTTGCTGAGGGCTTCACGGACACTAGAGTGACCGCTTGCCAAGTTCCCTGTCACACTCAGCCAGAACTCATGCTGAGTTTTAAGACCAGATTCCCACCACGAGCAAAACCCCACACTACACCTTCCAACACCTCCAAGATGCCAAGCACTTCCTTCCCATCCTGGGTTCATAAACCCAAAAGAAAAAAATAGTGTTGTGCAGACCCGGAAGGTAGAGGGAGGTTATAGGTTATAAGCAGGTACCATAGAAAAAAATGAGATAAACTGGCAGTTTTCTAAGATATCAGCATACATAATAAGCACAAGAGAAGTGGGCAGGGCATAAAATGCTTATGCAAGATCACCCTGGTGTGTTGGGTTGTTTTCCTTTTTAATTAGCCCCTTGATCCCAAATTAAGGCTCTGTCATCTCATGGTGCATGCACCTTTCTGCCTGTGGCAGAGTCAGGCCACCCCAGGGTATAAACTTGTTGGTGTGGCTGTGCTGGATAAGTGTAATTCAAAGAGGATTTCAGCAGCTGTAGCTGTTCCAGGGCCCACCCTAAACCATCATGCTTCTTCTCTGCCTAGGGCCTGAGACCACCTGGCAAATGGGTGGAATCTGTTTTTGGTGTGAACTTTAAGACTCCATAGTTAACTTACCTGCAATATTTAAAATCATGAGATCCAGCAACCTGTCCATCAGTTACATCTTATGAGTAACATAGATAAGGCTAAGATAAAACACAACACTGTTTCTCATCCCTTCATCCCAGAAACAGCCGTGTAGATAGGTTCAAACATATATTAATCGACACAGTCTCCCTTCCTGGTGACCAGACAATGGTCACCTGATTGAAAAACTAGCAGGACTATGGATGAGGATATAGTTTTTTCTATTTGAGGTTTAAATATCTTTCCATCCCAAAGTCTGAGTTATTCAAGGTCTGGCTCATTCTGTTGACAAGACCTACATACATGTGGATCCAGTCAAACTTGCATGGCTGAACAAACTACTAAAGTAATATAATTAAGTAATTGCTATATACTCTTGTGGATGAGGGGTAGGATGGAAAGGCTCAGATTCCTTCTGGTTGAATTAAAATCTCTATCAGCATGTGGTTAGATTGACATTGCTAGAAAGGGAGCCTGAAACTAAACATACATTAAACGAAGAAGGTATTTTGTAATTCCCTTGGCTGAAGATCCAGTGTCTAAGCTAGAATCTTTGCAGAGCACAGAATCCTGTGTGTTCGTGGGATGTACCTACCCCACTGCAAATTGAGCCTAATTGAGCAAACCACTCCGATGGTTTCACCTTCCCCTGTCATAGTGATGCAGTGAACAAAGCTATTTCAGTGAGAATGAAAGGGAAATTTGGCAAGGAATATCAGCTTGCACTATTTAAGTCTTGGAATGTCATTCAAGATGTTCTTGTTCTGTTTCTAGTGTAATGTTTAAGCCCACAGAATCAGACCGGAATATATAACGTCATGTTAGAATTAAGATAAATACACTTGTCATACTTAAGAAGCCACATTTCAATAAGATATGCTACCACTGGCTAAAAGCCACAGATTTTTTTTTTCCTGTATCCATACGATCAACTGTCAGTTGGCCCCAGCAATGGAAAAGAACAGAATAGAGGATAATCCAATAAAGTGAAATCATTTGGGACCTCTTATGTAATTTTATCTTGTAGTAGAGCTTCCATCTTAATTTGCTTTGCTTACGCTAATTTCATGTGAATTTATATTCTCGGGCATCATGCTAGAATGTAAATAACCCTGTTCCCAGAATTAAGAGATCCAGGCAACCAAGCAGTCTATACCACTAGCCTTTGGCAAATGGCTTAAATTTCCCGGCCTGTTTGTCCATTCTTGAATACAGATAAGAACATATGCTTTCCTACTTTATAAACTCTTAGCACGTTCCACATTATGTGAGCTGAGTGACTCAGAGCTGAGCTGGATTACTGGCCAAAGTTAGCCTGGGAAGATAAAGAGATGTTTGAGGTACCTCACACAAAATTAATAAGCTGATGTGGTCATAGATATGTTTCCAGTTGAGGCCCTCACATGAACCCTTAACTGAATTAAATAAAACTGGGACTAGAAAATGTTGACATTTTCTGCACTTCCCCAACAAAAAAAAAAGAAAAGAAAAGAAAAGAAAAAAATAAATAAAATGTTGACATTTCTAGAAATACAGCCAAACAAGGCTGTACTGATTCTACACCAAAGCACAACACCGCATTGCTTGGGCCACTGACCTGAAACTGGGAAGGAGTTCTCTTCTGAAAAATTGATATTTAAAATCATTATGAGGAAATAGGATTCCATAAACATTTTCCTGATGAACAAAAATGGTCGTCTCTATGTTTAAAACACCACACACACATATACCAAAACTGCATACTCACTTATTCATGTGAAAATCACTGCTTCTTTGTAAAATATTACGTAACATCTACCATGATATTCTACAGAAATGCTGTACTTGAGGTTATCTGGTTTGCTGGAGAGATATTAACTTAGCAAAAATTACTTTTATAAAATTGAAAGGAAAAAGACCAATACATCAACTTAAATTGCAGGAGTTTATGTAGCTGCTTTCTCTGTAGTTTAAAAAGCAATGCATAAATGCATACTCACTATCCTTGGAACTTAATACCAGCTCATCTATAGAGCACCTTCTTAAAGACGATGTACTGATGTAAGGTTTTGTAAATTTCTAAACTGTTTTAAACGGGATATTATCTTTTGCAATAAACTTACATATTTTTTCTAGGTTTTAAGACTCCATTACTAGCTTGGGTTGATTTCAGTTATAAAATGTATGCTTAAGAAGGACACCTCAATGGTCCTAAGGGCAAGTATGGCTTTCATTATAATTGCTTCTATATATTTCTAAGGGAAATAAATAAAGAGCAGATTCAGAACTTAGTGTCACGATGATCACATGAAGCCCCGCGTGTCCCGTGAGTGAGGGAGGCAGCATGAATAAATGGAGAGCTGCTCCCAGCCTCATTCCATGGATGTACAGGCATGATTTGTATCATTATACTCAGACACCTGAACTCTAATTTATCCAGTACTTTTCTTTATTTCCCCCTTAATTTTTTTCCTTAAAAGGCAAATTTATATCGCCAATGTGAAGAAAAACAATATCATGTTCCAAAAATAGAATATGAAATAAAAATATCTTATTAAGTTCTTGCTAAACCCTGTTGCTATTGAGGCTGCTAAGCCTGAGACCAGCTCTCTGTTAAGATGGGAGATTAGCAAATATTCAACACATACGAAAGGCACATTCACACCAAGCCCATTTTCTACTTGACTAAACAGGATGTTTGAGAGAGAATTGAAAAGAAAACAACTTTCCTGTCATGTGATTCAGTATTCCTTTTCCTGCCTTCTCCACGAACCATCTAAAACCAGCTTGGGTTTACACCTGGAGAGTGAGTCTCCCACTTTGGGAAACATCAATTTAGAGAAACAATAACAAAAACAAACCCTGGACATAGAATCAGAAGTCTTGGGTTTGACAGCAGTCTGCTATCTTATTTTTGCTGCATAAACTTGAGCAAGTTGCTTAGTTTCTGTGAGCCTCTGATTCCTCTGATATACCCCCTGCCTCCCAAGAGTGCCTTGACAATGAACTGAGTGACAGCCAAGAACACAATGTAGGGTACACATTGGGCCAGGTGCTCAACAAGCACATATTCAGTCATTTGTGGATTGAAGTAAATTGGGAGAGAGAAAGGAAGATACCTCCGTGAAGCTGCAGTGGTTTTCAGAAACAGGTTTTTCTCGGGGCAAGGGAAGAACACTTTCTGTGGGCACGATGGCTCACACCTGTAATACCAACACTTTGGGAAGCCAAGGTAGGAGGATTGCTTGAGCTCAGGAGTTTGAGACCAACCTGGGCAAAGTAGTGAGACCCCGTCAAACAATTAAAAAATTAGTCAAGAGTGTGGCTCACACCTCTGGTCCCCACTAATCAGGAGGCTGAGGCAGGAGGATAGCTTAAACCCAAGAGGGCTGGAGTTAGCTGTGACCATGCCACTGCACTCCAACCTAGGTGACGGAGCAATAGTCTGTCTCAAAAAAAAAAAAGAAAAAAAAAAAAAAAAAGAAGGATCCACCAGAAACCACGACAGTTAATGTTAAGTAATAAAGTCGCCCATGATTCAAAAGAGCACATGGGCACATAAAATACAGCACAGCACTCCGGGAATTAAAGATTCTTGTTGTGTGGAATCAAATATCCTAGAGGTAAAAGAGACTTTAAGAGCCAGGTCCCTTCCATTTTAAGCACAAGTCAATTAAGGAAGGCTAAATGATTTGTCCAAGGGCTTATAGCAATCCTGTGGGGAAGTAGGTGTTGGGAGCAATGTGGTTGGTGGGTGGAATGTGTGAGGGGCCAGGGCCATTCCAGGAAGCATAAGGCTAGACTTGAAACCCGTTCTTACCTTCATTAGCTGAGCTGAATCCTCAATATAACCTTCACTTGAAAAGGCTCTCATTTTAAGCTGCTCAAGGCAACTTGCTGTATGCTAAAAATGTATTTCTTTTTATAAATGCCAAGAAACAAAGATGTTTTATGATCACTACGCCCATCAAGCATTGCTTGCAAGAAAAAGTGCGGGGGACAAATCCTAATCCAACACTGTCAGCATTCAGCACAAACCACATTTGACTGGTTTAATGAACATAATCCCATTTTTGAGTACTTTCACCTCAACTTCCTCCCCATCTTCTTTTCACCAATTTACAGCCTAAATTTCGATGGACCATATCATACCACCCCTACTCCTGAGGTTTTGCAAATGTCTAATTTCTCTCTGCCTCCTACAGAACTCTCAGCCCATAAAGAGCAGGGATGCATCCGTTGGCAACACACAGAGTTTGGTTCTCTCATTGCCAGACTAAGCCAAGTTCTCAGGTCAGCGTGCCTCTCCACTGTGGGCATCCTGTTCTAAACCCACTTCATTTCTCAACTGGCCTCTGCAGGAACCTCCCCAACAGGTCTCCCCACATGCAATCTCTTCTTTTATACTTATTTTTTAAATATATTTTGAAACAGGGTCTCACTCTGTCACCCAGGCTGAAGTGCAGTGGCACTATCATAGCTCACTGCAGCCTAAAACTCCTAGGCTCCAGCAATCCTTTCACCTCAGCCTCCCCAGTAACTGGGATTACAGGTGCTTACCACCACAACCCACTAATGTTTTTTTTAAAATAATTATTTTCTGTAAAGACTGAGCCTTGCTATGTTGTCCAAGCTGGTCTCAAACTCCTGGCTCAAGCAATCCTCCTGCCTCAACCTCCCAAAGTGCTGGGATTACAGGTGCACGACACCGTACCCAGCCCCTCTCTCACTTCTCAAATATCTTCTCCACATAGCAGCCAAAGCAATCATTGCAAAATTTGGATGGGAATAACATTACACTCTGACTTAGAACTGTTCAGTGGCTTCCCAATATACTTAGGAAGTAAGACTAGGTATGTTGCTCTGGCCCGAAGCCCTGCACATCCTGCCCTGCCTCTCCTGTAAGCTCCCACCACAGGCCCTTCCGGTGTTTGTCTTCCAGTCTCAGCCAGCCTTCTTGGCTTTCTTGGACCTACCACGCCTTCAGTCCCTGAAGGCTCCTGTTCCTCCTGCCTTCAATACTCCCCACCTACACCACCCTCCCTGCCCAGCAGCTCTGTTGGGGTTTCCCAGGTCATGCCTCCCATGGCTACCACCAACTCAGCCCAGACCATGCCAAATACCCCTCTTAGACATTTGCCTGGCACAAGGGACCTTACCATCGAAGTCCTTGGCGCAGTTGTCCTTGTACATATATCTGCGTCATTCTTTGATCAAGGTATCTATCTAGACTGAAGTCTTCCTAAGGAAGCCATCTCGCTTATTCTTGCTTGCCTTTGTATCTCCATCATGTACCACCATGGGGTTTAAATACTCATTGCAGAAATAAATTATTGAGTACATTAGATTCACTGGGCATACACCAGTTTATCCCTGGTCCTTCAGTCCTCATATTAGGATGGTACCATAGTGAGTACAGTCCTGAATGATATATGGTATAAATCTATACATAAAGAAACAATTCTCTCTATCCTCATTCTGCTCCCCACCAAAACCAAAAGGATCTTCAGAAACTTAACACTTATCAAATATAAAACCAACGTATATAAACAGAATACTTATCTTTTTAATTGAGAATATCTGCATTCAAGTTATTTCATAGTATATTCCCAAAATGATTGATTATTTAATTCCTAGAATTAAATGATCTATTATTGTGGTTTTGGTTTATGTACGTGTGATTTTCTTTTTTCTTTTTTTTTTTTTTAGTTTTGTTCCCAGAACAAATAACCAGTCTTCTCAAAGAGAGACTTAAGTCCCTGAGGAATAGAAAGAGCAATTTTTCCATCTTCTCACCATCATGCCCTAGTCTCAGCTCTTTATAGAAATTAGGGTCTGCCACTGGTAATATGCCCAAGGCTTCTAACTCTCCTGAGGTGAGAGTGTAATGTTATTCCCATCCAAATTTTGCAATGATTGCTTTGGCTGCTATGTGGAGAAGATATTTGAGAAGTGAGAGAGGGGCCGGGTACGGTGTCGTGCACCTGTAATCCCTGAGGTCTACATGGCATTCAGGACCCAGGAATAAAAAGACACTAATGTTTGCTCCCAGTACCCTTCCCCCTGCCAAGATCTTTGTCCTGAATATTGATGGTCCAGTTTCACATTGTTTCAGAATAAATTGTCATCATAAGTAAATCCCAATGCATTCTGCACATTTTACCAGATACTGCCTTACCATATCAAAGAGTAAATGACTTTTGAAATTAAAGCAGATTGTTGACTATTTTCCCTGTAATGTTTCTATTAAAATGCCAGAATTTATTACATGTGACCTAGTCCATTCTGGAGAAAATGCAATTTAAGAGACAAGGTCTAACTAAAGGAACATTTTGGGCAAAGCATTTTGCCTTGGCTCAAAGCAGAACTAAAATGAAAAGACAGTAAAATCGCACCAAAAGATCATTTGCTTGGAAGCAAATAAGAGTTTTATTATCATAAATGGCTTTCACAAATTCTTAGAATCCGTAAGTATACTATATTAGATTTTACTCAAATGAAACCCATATGTTTGCTCCTGACAAAAACCTTTATTTCTTAAATCATTAGTTAAACATGGTGACCTCTACTTGGTGCTTCATCTTGGTTTCCCAGGTAGCAGACACACTGCTATGATACCCTGGTTATGCTGACAGAAAAGCCTTCTTGCTCATGAACCAAGTGCTGAGTCATGTTAACTGCTGAACTTGAGAGTGATTCACACAGTGTTTCCACTGAGCACACCAAGCCCGATGAAATTCAATTCTACAAACAGAAATCACGGATGGGTGATGGAGGTGATGAGAAGTTACTTGCTGGTGTCATTGTCTTTGGTGTGCTTTTTTGTTTTAAAATAAAAAACAATATACCTTCAGTAGCTGAGAGTCAGGGATCAAAGGGAACAAAATCAAAGCAACACAAAACATCAGCACTCATAAACTCAGGCTGCTGACCTGGAGTGGGTTTCAAGGATTGAAGCTCTACCTCATCTCCACTAATATGCACCCCTCAGCTCCAAAAATCTCAGATGAACCTCAGTCTGTATTCACTTTTTTCAGTAAACAGTCATCAAGCCCCTTATCTCTGCCAGGTGAGGTGCCAAGGACACTGAGCGGAAAATGCAGTGCAGACACTACCCTAGTACCAAAGAGCTCAGGGGCTGGTGGGCAGCTTCTGACAATAAGCAGGTGTCTTTTTCTGATTCACCCCACCTGAATGTCACATTGCCTCCTTTTGAACCCATCCAAATGCTATTCTTGTATTCTGATATGGTTAGGTTTTGTGTCCCCACCCAAATCTCATCTTGAGTTGTAATCCCCAGATGTTGACAGAGAGACCTGGTGAGAGGTGATTGGATCATGGGGCCAGTTTTCCCCAGGCTGTTCTCATGATAGCAAGTGAGATCTCATGAGATCTGATGGTTTTATAAGAGGCTCTTCCCCCTTCGCTCCTCACTGCTCTCTCTCTCCTGCTGCCATGTGAAGAAGGTCCTTGCTTTCCCTTTGCCTTCTGCCATGATTGTAAGTTTCCTGAGGCCTCCCCAGCCACATGGAACTGTGAGTAAATTAAACCTCTTTTCTTTATAAATTAGCCAGTCTCAGGTATGTCTTTATCACAGTGTTAAAACAGACCAATACATATTCTCTTGTGGCTCTTTCTCATTACCTTCCCCTTTTCCCACCATACGTTAAACTCCAAGAGTAGGAGCAGCTTTCCTCATCTTGTAATGTCCAAATCCAGGAAGTGTTGTTTAGTTTAATTGAAAGACTTCACCATTGGGATCCTTGGTCTCTTCCATGTAGACCCCTGCACTGTTCTTCAACATCTATGTTCTCTTACCATTTTCCACCCCCTCACAGCTGCCTGGGGCCTCTCTCTAAGACACACATCTAGCAATGTCATTCCCTGGTTTTTATATCTCTAGTTGCATCCCACTACCATCCTAGAGCATAAAAATTCCTTCCCCTACAAATAAGTCTCCTTATAATCTAACGCCACTCTAGCGCTTATAGCCTAACTTCCTACTGGTCTACTTCCCCCAACCCCATCTCCTTGCCACTTTCCAAAAAGTCAGAGGCTGCTACATATCAGTAACTTTGCAAATTCTGTTTTCCCTACCAGGGACACTATTCCATTACCTATCTACCACAGGAAATAATTTTAATTTAGAGGAAAGAAAAGGAGAGTCGCATTATTACTACTGATAGTGATAATAAAAACTCTAGTTTCTTGAAGTTACAATGAGCTGTTACTAAAGGCTTTGCCTGCATTATCTCATTTATTCTTCAAAAAAATTACCACAAGGTAGTTTATGATTACCCCCATTTTCCAGAAGAGCAAATGGAGGCTTAGGGGGAGATAAGTAATCTGTCAGAGTACACAGGTAGGAGGTGGTGAAGGCTGGAGTTCTTTGAGGGTCTGCCAAGCTTGGGAGCCTGGGCTCCTAACTCCGATGCCAGACAGTAAGTTGCAATTTAAATGTCACCTCCTCTCTATAACTTTTTCTGGTCATCCCCCGTTGCTACCATGGAATTAGTCACTCCATCCTCCAAGTACCCAGAGCACATTGTGCAGGCTGCCACTTTTCATATTATATTGACATTTCTTTTGTCAATCTCTCATGCTCATCTCCACCAGAAAGAAAATTCTGGGGGGACACAATTGTCATTTCCATCTCTGGGACTCTCCAAGGGCTTCTCAAATTGCCTGAGATGCTGTAAATGCTTTGTATATGTTTATTGAATGAATTGGGAGAATATATGATAATGGAGACATTTCAAGGAAAAGCAGTCCAGGGGAAGAGAGACAGACCAGGACAGGCTGGGGGTCCTGACTTCTGCCCCTGACTTTCTGCATAATTTTGAATAATATCTTCACCTCCACACATCACCTCTATCATTAAAATGAAACCCTGTGCCTCTCTGGCTTTACAGACTGTTCAGAAGAAAAGTGAAATTATATACATGAAAGTGTTACAGGGCTGGGCATGGTGGCTCACACCTGTAATCCCAGAACTTGGGAGGCTGAGGCAGGCAGATTACTTGAGGTCAGGAGTTCAAGGCCAGCCTGGCCAATGTGGTGAAACCCCGTCTCTACTAAAATACAAAAATTAGTAGGGCATGGTGGTGGGTACCTGTAATCCCACTTACTAAGGAGGCTGAGGCTCAAGAATCCCTTGAACCTGGGAGGTGGAGGTTGCAGTGAACTGAGATCATGCCACTGCACTCCAGCCTGGGCAACACAGTGAGACTTTGTCTCAAAAAAAAAAAAAAATGTTTCAGTAAGTTTGACTGTCCCCTTAATTCCTATTTTTAAAGAAATAGTGTCAAAGTTGTTTTTGGCTGGGTGCAGTGGCTCACACCTGTAATCCCAGCACTTTGGGAGGCCGAGGTGGGCGGATCACGAGGTCAGGAGATTGAGACCATGGTGAAACCCCATCTCTACTAATAACACAAAAAATTAGCCCAGCATGGTGGTGGGCGCCTGTAGTCCCAGCTACTCGGGAGGCTGAGGCAGGAGAATGGTGTGAACCCGGGAGGCAGAGCTTGCAGTGAGCCGAGATTGCACCACTGCACTCCAGCCTGGGTGACAGAATGAGACTCTGTCTACCACAAAAAAAAAAAAAAAAAAAAAAAAAAAAAAAAAAAAAAAAAAAAAGTTGTTTTTCCTGATTATAGAAGGAAAGTGAAATTGTTTTAAAAGTAAAACTCCAGAAATATGCAAGTCATGTTCCCTTTAAGCAGAAGATGCTAACACAATGTGAGCCTTAGAACATGTTCTGAGCTCTGGGAGATCGAAGCCCTCTGGTGAGGGGCCATATTTCTTTCCCCTCCTTGAACTTCAGTTTCCTTGATGACTTTATTGTTATTATTGTTGTTGTCGTTGCTGCTTCATTCCTGCAACCCTCTCTCTACATAGAATTCACAGAATAGTCTTGTGTTGTTAAAAATCATCATAAATATCATTTAATGGCTACACAAATGCATCACTGCATGAATGTAACATAAATCTGGAAAAATGGGTTTTGATTTTGAAGGATCATTTGACAGAATTGATTCCTTTGAGTCACTTAAAGCCAGTGCCCTGGACGGGGGCGATGGGCCTGAGATTTGTGAGAAAGCCTATTTCATTAGCAGTTGTTCCAACAGGATTTTCCCAGGGGCAGTGGATTAGTCCATTTTCCTGCTGCTAAGAAACACATACCTGAGACTGGACAATGTACAAAACAAAGAGGCCTATTGGACTTACAGTTCCACTTGGCTGGGGAGTCCTCCCAATCATGGTGGAAGATAAAAGGCACATCTCACATGGTGGCAGACAAAAGAGCACTTGTGCAGGGAAACTCCCCTTTTTAAAGCCATCAGATCTCATGAGACTTATTCACTACCATGAAAACAGCATGGAAAAGACCTGCCTGGCTGATTCAATTACCTCCTACCAGGTCCCTCCCACAACACATGGGAATTCAAGATGAGATTTGGGTGGGGACACAGCCAAACCATATCAGGAATTGTCAGACCCTCAACAACACCCCCAGGGAAGGACACTCATGATAGGATTTCTCCTTCCAATGTGTGTTCCAGGCCTTCACAGCAGACACAGTGTGCCTTATTGTATTTCACAGAGGCTTTCTTCACAGCCCAGCCATAGCAACAGCTGAACATTACTTCACAAATGCAGGAAAGATTGAAAGGCAGGCCTGTAAAATAATTTGTAATCTTATTCCTGACACTTGTGTCAAAGCAGGGAGAGGAGCCCACAAGAGGAATAATAATGGCTATTATTAACCAAGGGCCTACTATGTGTTAAGCCTTGTGAAGTGAGCTTCAAACATGTTTTTATTCAGTCTTCACCACAAGCTTGGCAGGTAATGACCATTACTAGCCCCACTTTACAGAGAAGCAAAATGGGGATCTGCACTGTGAAGAGACTTTCTAGCTGTGGAATGAGGAGACCTCCTCCCTTCTTGAGGAAAGGAGGACACTGGCTCCCAGCCTGTCAACTCCTTTCAAACCACATAGCTTGTCCCCAGTTCCACAGCACTTGGAAAGCAATGTCAGGGATGGAGGTACTCAGCCAACGCCCAAATGGCAGATACGCTGTTTCTCAAGTTCTCCAAGGACAAGAAAAAGCTGGCCCCTCTTCCACTGCCAGGAAATAGGACAAGAGATACAGTGGAGTCTTACCTTTAAGAACACGCTTAAAATTACTTGTCTCAAATCAGATTTGTCCAGCTCCACTAACAGAAGCTGAAAGGCACCGAGATATTTGGAGGTAATTTCATTAGGATTTGATGATGGACCAGTCATTCTTCTGTGTGACTGCATTTCCCAGCTCTTGCTGAACAATTTCCAAACTCTATTTCTCTCTCTTTCCCTCTCTCTCTCTGTGCTGACAGCTGCAGTCCCTATGTGGCCAATGAAGGCCCCAGCTTTGGCACCAGCTTCCCCAGGGCCTGAATTTACCTACTCTGCAGAAACACGAGGCATGGTGATATGGTTTTGCTGTGTCCCCACCCAAATCTCATCTCGAATTGTAATCCCCATAATCCCCATGTGTTGAGGGAGGGACCTGGTGGGAGGTGATTGGATCATGGGGGTAGTTTTCCCCAGGCTGTTCTCATGCTAGTGAGTGACTTCTCATGAGATCTGATGGTTTTATAAAGGGGCTCTTCCCCCTTCTCTCTCTCCCTCTCTCCTGCCACCGTGTAAAACCTCCCTGCTTCCCCTTCCACCATGATTGTAAGTTTCCTAAGCTCTCCCCAGCCATGAGAAACTGTGAGTCAATTAAATCTCTTTCCTTTATAAATTACTCAATCTTGGGCAGTTCTTTATAGCAGTGTGAAAACAGACTAATACACATATGTACTGAGTCAAGTGAAACTTTCATGGCAACAGCAGCAGCAGCAACAGCAATGGCAGCAGTGACATCATCATCATTATCTAGGAGCACTCCCTACCCATAGCAAAGGTCTGCTCCATTGGACACAGCAGGGAGAATGCAGTAGCTATCTTAACAAATCAAGGAACCTCATATTCCCTCTTAATTCTCATTTCTGCAGCAGCTAATCATGGGATGGAAGAAAGATTTGGAGAATGAAGCATGCTCTTTTATGCTCCAGCTGTCATATTTTAGTTTGCCTGAAAAAATTCTGTCACCCAGAGCTAGTAAGGTATTTGGGAATTTTATATTTTAAAAAATCTTTACAGGAAAGATTGGCATGAAACAAAACTTTATTCACATTATTTTTTAAATTGAACTTTGTAAAGCTTGTCATTAATTTGTTCCTTCAATTAGTTTGTTCTTTCCATTAATTTACTGCCATAGCTTGAATTGAGTGCCTGCTACACACCACGGATGGAAGGATGAATGGAAAGATAAAAGGAAGTGGTCCCTTCCCACATGGGTCTCACTTTACTGTGGAGCACAGATAGGTAAAGAGAAAATTCCAATACATGTGGTAATGTTGTAACTGAAACAAGGACAACGAACAACCGGAAAGATGGCCTAGCAGAATGACGAGAGTTTCGCAGACTGCAAGAAGGCATAGGGCAAGAAATGCTCCTCCCACTTAAAATGCACCAAGCCTTCCTCTCCAGCCATTAAAGTTTTTCGTGGCATTCAAGACCCAGTTCCAGTTCCGTGAAGTCTACCTTGATAAATGACTTCCGTCCAGACATGCTACAGGTCCTTTGAAAATTGAGATATGAATCTATGTTTTGTATATATATTTTAGGCCTAGTATGCCCTGATATGTGTTCACCAAAGTCCTTATTAAGGCAATGCTTCCGCCTCCAGAAAACTTGCACACCATCCATATTACCATATTAAGCTGCAACCAAGCTACCCCAAGCTCACAATGCCACCTTTTGGCTACAAACTGTCATTTCAAGTCTCTTGTCTAATTTTTTTTACTATTTTCTTTCTTAACTTGATTCTTTCCCTGATCTCCCCTTAACACACATACACATACACACAAACAGGTACACATATATATGACACAAACATACCCTTGCACATACACTTTCAGGAATTTTCTCAATTAAATTAATTTTACCTCAGGAAAACAAGTTCCTAGACACATACAGTGAGCTGCTTAAGAAGATGGGCTTTGAGCCCTGGCAGACTCGGATGGGATACAAATCCTAGCTTCCTCCTTCCCAGGCTTGCAATGCTGGGAAGGCGTTCAAGCTCTCTAATGGCCATTTCCTCTTTGAGATGAGACAGTAATTATTGCCAACCTCACTGACTAAATTAGAGAATGCCCTTAAAGTGCTTGGTACCATCTTGGTCACATAAACGGTCCATAAATGTGAACTGTTAATACCGACAGTGCATTCTGTGGAGGGGATGCTTCCGCTCCCCACCCCCAGTCTTGTCTTCCACTCAATCCAGTTATTCTGCAACAACCCTTACTCTCGGCATCTAATCATGACATAAAGCTAACAGTAATAACACTTGCATATTGAGAAAAAGAATGATGGTTTGTGTGGAAATAAAAGTAGACAGTAAACATCTTTCATTCATTTAGCAGGTGTTCATTGACACTGTCCTGCAGGCCAAGGACAACCGTAAGAGGTGGTTGTGGCTAGACTCAGGCTAGCGATCTCAATGGGAAGGAAGCATTTAGAGTTGAAAGGTCTTTAGGGACCAAGATGAACCGTGCCTGGAGATGAGCTAAAGGCAGAAGGAGAAGGAGAAGGACACTTTGCCTCCAGAACCCTTTGCAAACTCCATGCCAGCCTTGTCCTCTTCTGTTAAGCCTGCTATTTCATAAGTACCAACACTCACATAAAGAAAAAGTTCTCTTTCTAAGTTTAGAGTTTTTGTGGTTTAATTACCAGAATTTAGGAGATCAATCCTAAACATATCATTGTCATCATAAAACCACCAAAAATTCTGTGCCATTTTATGTTTCTGAAAGTTGCCACATAGGTGATCTCATTAGATTCCATGATCTAGGCAAGGCGGCAACTGAGTTCAAAGTGCTCAATTATTATCCTTAAAATGTTTGATTCCTAAAGACTAACCTTAGTTATTCATCGCTTAGGAGTGTACAATACACTATTTAAGGGCAGCGACTCCAAAACAGTACTCCCTGGGTTCAGATCCTAGTTCTTCCACTAACAAGCTGTGTGGTTATGGGCCAGTTGCATGACCTCCCTGTGTCTCAGTTATCTCAGTAAAATATGAGCACCTGATGCAGGTGAAGTAAGGTAAAACACACCAGGTGCTTAGCTATTTGCCTAGCATACAGGGTGCCTGTGCCATTAAATGATAGCTTTATTATAAATATTACTTTTCAACAAGGTACAGGGGTGCTGAGTGAAGGCCAAGAGCCAACTAACCACTCCTGGCTGAGAACCACACCTCCTCGTATCCTAGACTGTCCTCCCTCCTGCTTGCCACGGACTGGGGTTGGGAGGAGTTGCTACTGTCCTGCTGCAGTCCTTGACTCAGTCTCTGGGCTCATGGTCTGGCTCAGAGTAGTTGCTTAGATGGGTCATTTCCAATTTGGTGTCCCAGGAGTGAAAAGTGAAGTCAGAGCTTTGAAGCCCAGTCTCTGATGACACAGATGCCTCCTGGAGTCTCCAGCACTATTATGAGGTGAAGCAGCAGAGGAAAAGGTGACTTCCAATTTCCTTCTTTTTTCTTTTTGAACAAACTGCTCTGAATTTCTGGAGCTGCTATGATGCCAAGCATTTACCTTTACTTAATCACTCAATAGCCTCCTCTGTGAAAACCGGGGTAATTAGGCCCAAAATATATCACCCAGAGGCTTATTTTAACTACCCAAAATAAAGGCTAGATCCCAATTTCAACAAAATCACCAGATTGTTTTCCTTCCAAGAACTTCTGGCAGTGTTCAAGTTCCCTGGTTGATTCTCCCTATGGGATTGTTCATCCCCATCACTGGGGTGGCAGGAGACGGGACAGCCCTCTCTAGAGCAGTCAGTAACAGGATGCATCAGCCAGGGAGGGTTCTTGAGGCACACCCTCACCACGCACAAACAAGCCTGGACATTTTTCCTCAAGCTGCTCCAAGACCTGTGAGACAGGACAATATCTTCCTGGAAGGGAGCACAGATGACTGGAGACATACGCACTCTGGTGTCCCTGGTTCACATCCTGCTTATTCCTACCAGCAGTGTAACTTTAGGCATGATGCTTTCATCCTCTGCTGCTCAATCTGTTCCCCCAAACAACAGGAGATAGCAATATTGCCTACCTGTGTGTGAGGGCTCAAGGTGCAATCCATTACACAGTAGGCATTTTGAGTCAAACTTTTCAAAAAATATATTTTAACCTCTCTGAAGATTACAATCTGTGTCACATTATAATTGGCAGCAAGTTTTCTTTCTTATGGGCACATAAAATCATGGAGTATCTTAAATTTGATAAAATACGGCATGTAGCCTGAGGAAATTGTTCCCCAGGAAAGGCAGGCTCTCCAAGACGGTTTTTTCCATTACTCTTCTGCTTTTATACCACAGCTTTTTTAAAGGAAGCAAGAATATGTGCAAGAGAATCTTGTTTATACAAGAGTTTTTGGACTGGGCCAGAAAAACACCAACGGTTGCAGTAAATACATAATATTTGCAAGTATCTTGCATACATCACTGTTCTCCAATCTCATGCCATGACAGACAGCACTAATCAATTCCCAAGTTCTTCCCACTGAGCCAATGTGTAGCTTCTGCATCCTCCTCAACACAGTTCTACAGGCAGCCATCCCCAATCAGCCAGGGCTGGCACTTGAGCAAAATCTATTTTAGGTCTCTGATTCAGGAGCTTGGGAGATAGAAAAAGAGAATAGGAATTGTCAGCCAAGTCAGGAAACTCAGATATAAGAAGAAGATTTCAAATATGGTATAGTTTATTGCATTAAAAAAACAAGGTCTAGAGAGATTAAATTGGCATAAAGTCACTAGCCAATTATCTGCAGAAAGAATGTAGAATTTTTTTCCTGTTCTCCCAGATAAGGGAGAATATTCTATCTAAATTATCAACATCACTAATCATCAGGAAAATGCAAATTAAAACCACAATAAGATACCACCTTACTCCTGCAAGAATGGCCATTATTAAAAAGTTAAAAAACAATCGATGTTGGCATGAATGTTGGGAAAAGAGAACATTTATACACTGCTGGTGGGAATGCAAATTAGTACAATCTCTGTGGCAAACAGTATAGGAATTCCTTACAGAGCCAAAAGTAGATCTACCATTCAATCTAGCAATCTCAATACTGGGTATCTACCCAAAGGGAAAGAAGTCATTATGTGAAAAAGACACTCGCACATGTATGTTTATAGCAGCACAAATCGCAATTGCCAACATGTGGAACCAACCTAAGTGCCCATCAGCTAATGAGTAGATAATGTGGGATATATGCACCATGGAACACTACTCAGCCATTAAAAGGAATGAAATAATGTCTTTTGCCACAACTTGGATGGAGCTGGAGGCCATTATTCTAAGTGAAGTAACACAGGAGTGGAAAACCAAAAACAGCATGTTCTTACTTATAAGTGGGAGCTAAGCCATGAGTATGCAAAGGCATACAGAGTAACGTAATGGACCTTGGAGACTCAGAAGGGGGAGGGTGGAAGGGGGGCTAGGAATAAAAAAACAACATATTAGGTACAATGCACACTACTCATGTGATGGGTGCACTAAAATCTCAGAATTCACCACTATATAATTCATCCATGTAACAAAAAACCACTTGTACTCCAAACGTATTGAAATAAAAGCATATATCTGTATGTATATATATGTGTGTGTGTATATATATATATGTGTGTGTATATATGTACATATATGTGTGTATATATGTGTGTGTGTGTGTATATGTGTGTGTATATATATATATACACTTTCTATCAAACCATGCTCCCTTTCTCACCACAAAAGCTAAATTCCTTAGGACTTAAGTAAACAAGAAGTTACCTGACAAATTAGACTGTGGCAAAGAGAGGATGAAAGGGTACTAGTCATGTAAAAGTCATTTGCTTTTTATTTTTGCAAAATTCCCTTTTGCTCATTTGTCACCAACAATTCATTGCTCAGGGAATTGATCTATAGAAAAATCAGGAATGGTCATCGCAAAGCCCTAAGCCCAACAAGAAATCCATCCTAGCCCCATGGTTCCTGTGATTTTAGTGGCTAAAACCTTTTACTGCAATGTTCCTATCCCTGAAAAGAAGAAAAAAACTGTCACTAATCCCGTATAAGAATGAGAGTTGCAACCAGCCATCCTATACCCACTTGGGGCCCTCCTGGGATTTCAAAAGTACTTGACATTTATGGTGTTTACCACAAATATTGATTAATATTCCCAAGCAATGGAAACTAACCAAAAAAATCACATCTGGAAAATTAAAAGTGACAGGTGGAATGGGGATCTCTCCTCCTTGTCAAATTTCAATTCAAAATTAGATTGGGGCCTTCAGTGCTAAGACAGGGACCCTTGACCCCTGAGTAACTACTTTCCAACATCATTTTCTTTAATTTGGAGGAGATATTTCTATTCTAGGAATTGCTGGAAAGGCTCATTTTATGAAAATGAAACTATATCTTAAGAAAACCCTGTTTGTTGCTTCCTTCTATTTCAGGTACATTTCTGCTCCTAGTGAAGTATGCTTGCCGCAGGCCTCTGGCTCTCCCCTCTCAGCACTCTTAGCATTGTAATTACACTAGCAAACTCCAAAGTCATTGAGACTAATGACACAGCTTGCAACTTACAACCTTTGCAAGGCTTCAGGGATGAGCCAGAAAGTCTGAACAGGCAATTCCTTACTCCCTGAAATGTGGATTCCCACATTTAGAAAACACATTTGTTGAATAAGGAAGAGCAATCTGAGGGGAAAGCACATTCAAGAATATGAAGGTAAGAAATGACAGCATTTTCAGGGATTATTTCACTTATTCACTCACTTCATTTCATTAGTGCCTTCATTTGCTCAACAAACTTGGGTACCCACTGCACGCCAGGCACCCTGCTGGGTGTTGAGGATAAAAGAGTAAAACAGGGTGCCTGACCTCGGGGGGTCCACTAAATGTGGGGAGAGCCTACAAATAGAGAATTGCCTTACAATGTCATAAGCACAATGGGCACAGTGACCTAAGTATGCACAGGGCCTCGGAGAACACAGGGCAAGGGACAGAGGCAGGGTAGCTTGTCCAGCCCAAGTGGGGAGGGAGTGGGGACAGGTGGGCCAAAAGCAGCAGGACTTGGTGGGTGAATGGAAGTGGCAGGCAGGTGACAGAGAGGGAGGGGCAAGGGCAGCTTGAGATCTAGGATGGCAGTCCCATAAACTGAGATCCCGAATTCAGGTGGAGTGTGGAGTGGGCTTCAGGGACCTGGCAATGAGTTGAGTTTGGGGTGCAGTGCATTTGAGATTCCTGAGAGACATCACATCAGAAGAGGTCTGATTTTCTCCAGGGCACAGACCATGCCTAACTCATTTCTGAGTCTTTGTGCTGAGTATCTAAGAGGTTCTCATAAACTGCTAAAGGAATAAATAAATGAATACAGTGCATAAGAAGCACATGTACAAATGCTTATCCTGTATTATACGATTTAATTCACACAGGATCTCTATGAGGAAGATCTATTATTACTCCATTTATTTCACAAATAGGCACAAGCCTTAAACTCTTACAGTCTAAGAGAGGAGCTGTGACAAGTTCATAGATAAAAATGACTCAAAAAAAAAAAAGAGGCAGAGCACATGAAAATGTGATCAATATCATTCATCATTGGGGAAAGGAAAATTAAAACCACAGTGAAATACCACTAGGACAGTTATAATCCAAAGGGCTGACAATAATAAGACTTGGTGGGGATGTGGGTAAACAAAACCTCAAACATTGCTGGGGGGAATGTGAAGTGGTACAGCCACGTAGTGTGATGGGTCACCCACCGGGTTACTTAGGAGTGCATGTCCGCTGCTTGTCTTTAAAGGCTGGGCGGTGAGCCAAGGCCAAGGTGCCCAGCTTAGAAGCAGGTGTCCCTGATAACCTGAACATCCCAGAGGGTAGCTGAGAATCTACCAAGGAAAACAGCCCCATCACGCACACACAGTAGGCAAAGCACCAGAAAATTAGCTTAAAAGCAGCTTAGGGATGGGAGGTTGTGCTGATCTCTAAAGCTGTCCTGCCAGCATCCAGGAGTACTTCGTATGTAAGTCATAATAAACTCATCTACTGGTCAAGCTGGACTCATCCAAGTCATTGTTTAATCTCTTTGCTCCCTCCTAGTTTCAGGGAATGCTTTTAAAAATATATAATTCCAGGTTTTTCTCATTATGGCTACTATGGAAAATAGTTTGGCAGTTTCTTCTAAAGTTAAACATACAGTTCCCATATGCCCCAGCAATTCCACTCCTAGATTTCTACCCAAGAGAAGTCAAAACACATTCATACAACACTTGTTTGTGAATGTTCAAAGCAGTATTATTTATAATAGTCAAATGTTAAAAACAATCCAAATATCCATCCACTAGTGACTGGATAAACAAAAGTTGGCATGCTCATATAATGCACTATTATTCAGCAATGAAAAGAAATGAAGTACTGATATATCCTAAAATATGGACAAACCTCAAAAACATTATGCTAAGGAAAGAAGACAGACACAAATGACCTTGAATTGTATGATTTCATTTATATAAAATTTTCCAGAAAAGGTAATCTATGGAGATGAAAAGTAGATTAATGGTTGCTTAGGGTTGGTGAGAGGAGGGAAAGAAAGTGACTGCAAATGGAACTTTGGAGAGTAAAAGAAATACTCTAAACTGAATTACGGTGATGGTTGCATAACTATAAATTTTCTAAAACTCGTCAAACTGAACACTTTCAATGGTTAAATTTTAAAGTGTATAAACTATACTTCAATAAAACTGTTTTTATTTATTTGTTTATTTGTTTATTTTGAGACGGAGTCTCACTCTATCACCCAGGCTGGAGTGCAGTGGCGCGATCTTGGTTCACTGCAACCTCTGCCTCCCGGGTTCATGCCATTCTCCTGCCTCAGCCTCCCGAGTAGCTGGGACTACAGGCACCTGCCACCACACCTGGCTAATTTTTTGTATTTTAGTAGAGACGGGGTTTCACCGTGTTAGCCAGGAAAAACTGCTTTTAAAAAAAAGGTAAAGAGAGCTTGGTGATTTAGAAGAGGGAGCGGTCACAGCTAGAGCAGCTTCGTACATTTGTGCTGGACCTGGAAAACTAGGTAGGATTTCAACATGTTGAAAGGTACAAGAAGGAATTTCAGGCAAAGAAAGAGGCAGAGGCTAAGCCTGCATGTAAGACAGTGCCAGCATGTTTGGGCAATATCCAGACATCCATTTTGGCTGGATATTTGGATGGAAAAAAGTTGATGAAAAGACTGAAAAATGTGGTTGTGACCAGATCAGATCACAGAAGCTGAAAATGATTGGGCTAATGCATTTATGACTTCATTTGGTAGGCAGCAGGGAGCTACTGACCATTCCAGAGTAGGGGAGTGTCCTGGTAAAGATTGATGGGGCAACAGTGAGGGATGTGTGTTAGAAGAGCCAGCCACAAAAGCCATCAAACAAAAGGCTCATAGGACTGGCAGTACTGAGTAGTTACTTGCCTATGTTGATAATGCAAAAGACAGAGAGCCTCACTCTACCAGATAGAAAGCAAAATAATAATATACAGCACTTATTTAGTGCTTCTTATGACACAGGCCCCATTTAAAAGAATCACTGTTCTACAGGAAAGGGAGTTAAAAGCCTGCTACGTACAGAATGAGCCAAATGGACTGATGATCATCTTTAGGTTTACTCTAAAGAGAAGGAATAAAGATAAAGGAGGTTATAAAATGCTTCACTTGAGGTCAGGAGTTCAAGACCAGCCTGGTCAACATGTAGTAAAACCCTGCCTCTACTAAAAATACAAAAATTAGCTGGGCATGGTGGCACACGCTGGTAGTCCCAGCTACTTGGGAAGCTGAGGCCAGACAATCACTTGAACCCAGGAGGTGGAGGTTGCAGTGAGCCGAGATCACACCACTGTACTCCAGCCTGGGCGACAGAGTGAGACTCTGTCTCTCAAACAAAACAAAACAAAAAAGAAAAATGTGATACTTCAAAGGTGGAAGGATGGTAAGTAAGACAAATGACAAAGACCAGTTTACATGGCTCTCTGGCCCAAAAAAGCAAGAGTATCTGGCACCACTGATGCTCTCCACGGATGTCACCACTGTGTAAAGCAGGAATGTCAGGGTGGCTTTCTGAAGGGAATCCAGCTGTTTGGGAGTCACAAAGTGTTTATAAACATTATTTTTTAAAATAAACTGCCAACACTGAAATATCAGAAAATTTCATACAAAACATGGAAATTTTCAGTTTCTCTTGAAATATTGGGAATCCTAGCAACTATATGGTCCAATCCCACATGGTATCAATCAGTCAAGGCTGAGTAGCCCTCATCCTTTTTTAAACATTAGAGTCCCTGCCTGGCACATGTCATGCATTTATTCATTCAAACGTATTTACTGAGCACCTGCTATATGCCAAGTGCTGTTATACGACCTAGAGACACAGCAATGACAAAACAGAAAAACATGCTTACTTTCCTGGAGCTCATATTCTCATGAGGATAGCTAGACAATAACCAAATAAGATAATGTATATTTCCGATTATACGTAATTAGAAAAATAAAGAAGTAAGGTATGACTTTTAGTGGATGGAGAGGTACTGGGAATTGTAGACAGGGTGATCAGAGAAGGCAAGCCTCTATGCTTAGGTGATATCAGACTCAAAAAAAGGGAAACAGCACATCTATCATGTTTTATATGTGGGAGGAACACATAAATAAATAAGCATGGGGCAAAGGCATTTCAGGCCTGGCAATGTTTGGATTTTATTCTGAGTGAGATGGACAACCATTGGCAGGTTTCAGCAGAGGAGTGACATGGTTGGGCATACTCATTTATGTTGGTGACTGGCCCCTGAAAGCATTTGAATTTTGGGTCCTTGGTTTAAAGCACGATGGGCAGAGGTTAAAGGGTTCGAGCTGGGTTCTGTGTCGGGAGAAGAAAAATAATCAGATGACGGGGCAGAAATTTCCTGATCTTCAGAACATACTGTTTATGCAGAAGAATAGCTCAATATGTAGTAATGACCTTGAATAACCAGCATCTATGGGCAGAATTAACACGCAATGAAGCCCCTTAGGAAACCAAGCTCACAGGACCCTGAGACTGGGCACCATGTGACTGTAGGCCAGAGGAAAAGGTTCCTAGTGGACATGCATCTGGAATGTTCCACCTTGTTTACTTACAAAAGCTGCTCTCCCTTCTCTGTCTTCAGCAGTGATAGTCCACCCTTGCTGGTATGCTCAATTTAGCGCTGGTACACTCAACTAGACAAGTCCTAAGCCCTGTTTTATTTCAACAACTTGAGTTAATTCTCAAGTCCTCCCAACTCAGACAGGAAAAATCTGGTCACCCTACTCCAAAACAAAGCAATGATCAATGCTGGGAGTTCAATGTGATCTGCCTTTTCAGAAAATCCATTTTTAGATGCTGAAGAGCTTGCAACATTTGACAAGAAGAAATAATCCACTCACAATCAGAATGTGATCCCGGCCCATGGTGATGACTGTCCGGTTCACTGTCCGCAGCAGCTGGACCATGATCTCCTGGATATGGTGGTAGGTGAAGGCCTGTAAAACAGTCAGAGACATCTATGTGACAACCAGGACACTGCATCTGAACAATTGTACAAAGGACACAGACAACAGTGGTCAGACATGGTGATCTTCAACACCATCACCAACACCACCACCACTACTGCCATCATCATCATCATCATCATCATCATCATCATCATCATCGCCATATCTCCATCGTCATTACCACCTACACTGGGCATAAAAAATTCCACTAGTCACCTGAAATATAAGTTAAGATGGCTTAACTTAGGCTTTGGAATCAGGAACTTTGGAGCTAGAATACTAGCTCTGACAATAATTAGTACTGCATTGGTTAAGTTATTATATGGTTTGGATCTGTGTCCCCGGCGAAATCTCAGGTCAAATCATAATCCCCAGTGTTGGAGGTGGGGCCTCGTAGAAGGCAATTGGATCATGGGAGTGGATTCTCATGGTTTAACACCATCTCCCTTGGTGCTGTCATCACGATAGTGAGTTCTCATGAGATCTGTTTGTTTAAAAGTGTGTGGCAACTTCTCCCCTCTTTCTCTTCCTCCAGCTCTGGCTACGTGAAGACGCCTGCTCGTGCCTTGCCTTCTACCGTGAGTAAAAGTGTCCCGAGGCCTCCCCAGAAGCCTAGCAGATGCCAGCATCACACTTCCTGTACAGCCTGTGGAATCAGGAACCAATTAAACCTTTTTTCTTTAAAAATTACCCAGTCTCAGGTATTTCTTTATAGCAGCGCAAGAACAGACCAATACAGTTATATTAACTTTTCTAATCCTTGGTTTCTTCATCTAATAGTCAGGATCTGAGCTGGAATAAGGAGGAAATTTAATGCAGGGAATTGGTTATACAGGTAACGGAAATGCCAACACACCAAACAAGGTAACCTAGAGTCAGCCACAGCAGGAAGCCACTGTCACTTGGAGGCTGGAGGGACAAATTGAGGAGGCAGTGTTTCTGGAGCCCCGGGACTAGGGTTATATAATGGAAACTAGGGTTACATAATGGTAACCACATGGTGCTTGTATAATAGAAGCCACATTACCCACCTTGGGTGGAAATTTACAGTGAGTCAGGTTGTAACAGGTATTGGGTTCTGGCTACTTTAAATACAGGTCCCTAAACTTTCTGTAGGATTTGCCGATCCTTTTTGAGCTTTTGTTGTAGTCGGCAAGGGTTTCAAGCATATTCATCTATATCTTGGAGCATTTTACCAGCATAGCATTTAGGCACAGAGTTGCACACCATGCATACGCGAGGGTGGCCATGGCCAAGTGGAAAGGCCTAGGAATCTTAACTTCAGAAGCTCTGGGTCTGAAGTTCAATGCTGTATTTGCCAGGTGTGCAACCTCACTTATCACTTCTCTGAGCCTCAATTCTCTCATCTACAAAAATGTAGAAGGTTCTCTCAAGGTCGATGTGGACCTAAAAATGACATGTGCAATTCTGGAAGAACTTACATGCCTGGGTCCTCTGCTGGAGATTTTGTAGTCTGAAACAGAGCCTGAGCGTCAGCAATTTCTGAATTTTAGGTGTGTTATTCTGATGGCTAAGAACCATGATGTGACATGCTGTTTAGCTCTGGAGATGGGGGTTTGGGAACAGCCTTGTGTCTCCAGAACCTAGCCAGAGCCTGACACAAAGAAAGTGCTAAATCGATAGTGGCTGAAAACGTGGATGACCACCCATGCTCATTTACAAGTACTCCAGCAAGCTTTACCGCATTAAACTTAAGTGTGGTTTTGTCACTTAATGTAAGGAATTGCAGGGAGTTGGTTATACAGTGAGAGAGAAGTAGATTTGCAGTTGGGGTAGGGCCAGAAAAAGAAAGAAGATGTGCTTACTAAAAAATGTCCTCCCCCTGCCCCAATGACTTTCAGTGGCTTTTGGCATCCGGAGATGAATAACCCAGAGCTTTCTTTCTCTGCCTTAGACTCACTTATTTGTTACTTTGGCTACTCCCAGACTCTCTAGCCCTGTGGAGCCACCAACAGAACCTCTGCCACTGGAGCTTTTGTTAGAGCATTTATTTTACAGAAACAAGTTCCCCTGCTTCATCAAGCGCAGCCAGACTTCAGTCTCTGCTGGAGACTTGCTGGTCTCTCCCCACCAACCAGCCCTTTCTACTCCTGACACTCAAGGCCAGGGAAGACAGATCTCCCCATATTTCTGGCCCAAAGATGAACCTCTCTCCTGATTTCCTTCTCCTTTATTTCTCCAAGCCATTTTGCTGACTTACAGTCTCCTATTTCTTGTACTACGTGAACATGATGTTCATGGTTATAGCAACAACCACAGCTGACAGTCTTTAGTGCTTCCTAAATGCCCGGTACTCTGCTAAGCACTTTATATCGTCTCACATCAAGACGAGCAACATTACTCTCTCCATTGTTCAGATGAAGAAACTGAAGCCAGAGTGGTTAAGTAATTCATCCAGGGTCACCCAGTGAGGAAGGGAGAAAGGATTCAACCCAGCAGCCTGTCTCCAGAGTATTCTCCTTATCCAAACTCACCCATGCAGACTGGAACACGATCAGAGATTTCTGGTGGCTGCTTGGGGGGTTTCATCATCCACCTTCCATCTGTCAAGATGGATAGACCCTGCCTTCAATTGGACCAACTTCTACCTCCTTCAGTGACTTTTGATCTTTTCTCTGCCTTTTATAAAATCTTCAATGCTATGTATTCCCCCTCCCTTATATTTTCTGCATTCCTTTGCAATTTCATCAAATTTATATAATGGTTTTCATTTTGATGCTATTTTTTTTCCAGGATTACATCTCTTCCCTTGTGAATAGAGATATTAAAACCCACTTTCTTGACCTCCTGCCCCTTGCTTCTTTTAAATAGCCATTTCTTCTTGTTCCAAAGAGCAGCAATTAGACTGCTCAGGAAGTTTGGTATTTAAAAGTAGAAAACTGTCAAATTCAATTCATTTCACTCTGAAAGCTCCCAGTATTGGGAGGTTGCATAGCAGAGTGTTTTGAGATTAGAGATACTTGAGTTTGAATCCCAATTCTGCTCATTTGAGCTGGGTGACCTTGGGCAAATTGCTTTTCCTCTCTGAGTTTCTGTTTCTTTGTTTATAAAATGTGGCAAATAATAGTAACCTCAAAGTTACTGGTTTGAGGAATAAACAAGGTAATGCAGGTAAAGTCTTTGATACTGGGGGTTGGTATATAGTAAGCCCTCAGTAAGTGGTGGCTGCAACTCACGTTCCCCTTGGTTTGCATCAGCTCTCTGGTTGGGCTTGCAGATTGCCAGCACGTAGCAGAAAGTGCAGTACAAGGCAATGCATAATCTAAACTCTGGGTGATATCTAAATGTCACCCAAAGAATGTATAGCATATATGCAAATGGAAAACTTTCAAGATGATAAACCTGTGCTAAGCAGTAAAAGTGCAGCCACAAATCACCCACTGTTAATTGCTCCAGTGCCAGGCAAGTGGAGGGAGACTCTAGGAAAGTGACTTCTGGGCTCAAACTAAACGGTAGCTTGTAATTGAAATGACAAAATCAGTCTTCCCATTATGGCCTTGGCAAAGAAATTAATCCATCCAACCTAAACACACTGCAAATTGTAGTGATTTTTTTTTCTTTTAATAATTATAGGCTCTGGTATCTGGAAGGGACTTCAAATGAAGTCTTATGCAGAGCTCACTACATAACACAGCAGAAGGTGAGCTGGGAGTGGATGGGGACTAGGCAGGGTCGGGGCTAAGGGAGCCAAGCCCTCTCTTCCTGACTCACTCTTGACCCTAGGCCACTCCTAGGACTTTTCAGAATGCAGTGCAAAACTACTGATCTCCTGTAGGGTTTCTAGAATAAGAAAGCACACCAAATATGAGAATATTTTAAGTAACAATAGACAAAGCATTTCATAACACTAAACCAAATTATATAAAAAATGTGGCCTTTTTTTTTCATTTTTCTTTCAACACTTTTCATGATACCAAGTAGAGAAATCTCGTTTTGGTGATTATATGTCTTTAATACCTCTCTAGTTCTTGTAAAAACACCTTTTCTAACAAAGAGGAAAATCTTCAGGTCAGAGCAGGCAGCAAACAGTATCTACTTAGAACTTAATGACATTGTTTTGTTTTTATTGTGTTTATTTTTTGAAGTTGGTCATATTTATGGCAAGTGTGCAAGAAAAAGCTCCAAAACTTGGAAATAAAGCAAAATGAGGATGGCATGACATTTTTAATAGAACATTTGGAAAAACCACACGGAAGGTCCTTTTACCCTCTCAGGAATATAACTTTGTTTGGATTAACCATCCACAACTGATTAGAAACTAGAAATGTTATAACCTTGCAGAGTTAGTAGTTAACTTGCAGAAAAATGATAAAATGTGATGTTTGCTGCTTTGTTAAAACTCATAGTTTTATTACTCTGGAGAAAATTTACCTGTTTTATACCTAATGATAATTTTATACAAGTATCTCTTCTCTCACAAAATATCAAGAAGCCTGAATACTTTTGAACCAGGTTGTTGTTGTTCAGCTTGTTCCCTGGTTTACCAGTTAAATGAAACTTTGATGTGCTCAGTGTCTAATTGCATAGGATAATATTTTTAATAATTTGAGAAATCTACTTTTACACAAATGATGCTACTTACAGTTTTGATATGAAATTTTATTTTTATCAAAGTTATAAGTGTATATAGTTCAAAAAATTCTTCAAGCTTCATTTAAAAACAAAACAAGCTGGGCACAGTGGCTCATGCCTATAACCCCAGCACTTTGGGAGACCCAGGCGGGAAGATTGCATGAGCCCATGAGTTCAAGATCAGCCTGGGCAACAGGGCGAAATCCCATCTCTACTAAAAATATCAAAAATTAGCCTGGCATGGTGGTGCACACTTGTAGTCCCAGCTATCGGGGAGGCTGAGGCAGGCTTGAGCCCAGAAAGTTGAGGTTGCAGTGAGCTGTGATTATACCACTGCACTCCAGCCTGGGCAACAGGGAGTGAGACCCTGTCTCAAAAAAGAAAAAAAAAAATCCAAACCCCCAAACAAACGAAATACAGCAGTCTCTCATGATCCCCTTGCCAGAGGAACTTTTGTACCTCTTTAAGCTGTTGTAATTGTTATTTTGGCATTTATGAACATGATGCCAATAATATGCTTTGGTACTTCTTTTTTAAACATTTCTTTTCACTTTTGGCATTGTCTATTAACTGTCCACCATAGAAAACAAGCATTTTGGCCAGGCCCGCTGACTCATGCCTGTAATCCCAGCACTTTGGGAGGCTGAGGCGGGCAGATCATCTGAGCTCAGGAGTTCGAGACCAGCCTGGCCAACATGGTGAAACCCCGTCTCTACTAAAAATATAAAAATTAGCCAGGCATGATGGCGCATGCCTGTAGTCCCAGCTACTTGGAAGGCTGAGGCAGGAGAATAGGTAGATCCCAGGAGGCAGAGGTTGCAGTGAGTCGAGATTGCACTATTGCACTCCAGCCTAGGCAACAGAGCAGTCTCAAAAAAAAAAAAAAAAAAACCAGGCATTTCACTCTTTCCTCCCACTGTCCCATGAGGCACATGCATCCTTCCCATTTCTCCTCCCTCCCATACACTTACGGTATAATTTTGCTTTGATCAATATTTATTACTTAAAATATTTTGAATATGCAAATGCCATTCTCATCCAAGTTGTAAACTATGATGGATTCCCATTTCTTGCACACTCCTCATTTCATGCCACCCCCCCACCAAAAAAAAAGCAATTTGGAAAAATCCAAGATTCCTTTTCATTCTCTGAATGTTTAGTTTTTTTAAGTACTATCTCCCAATTTACAATGGTCTCTTCTGCTATTTTTCTAAGTTCTCTCTGCCTCTTTTCTAAAGTTTGCTTTGCCTCACAGAGTCTGTGTCCTCCAAGTAGATTTGCTTCTGTTTGCTTGTTTTCACTCTCTCTTCTATGTGAGCATTGTTCCTTAGTTCTCTTTAATCCTTGGGGCTATGTTCTCATTTCATTGTGTGTGATGCTAAGGTGATCACCGACTGAGCATGTGAGTAGGGCTTGTGGTCTGTGAGCTTATTGCAGGGTGATCTGGTTGGGACATTTAGCTGGAGAGCACTGACTGAACATGTGAGTAGGACTTGTGGTCTGTGAGCTTACTACAGGGTGATCTGGTTGGGACATTTAGCTGGAGAGCACTGACTGAGCATGTGAGTAGGGCTTGTGGTCTGTGAGCTTACTGCAGGGTGACCTGGTTGGGACATTTAGCTGGAGAGCACTGACTGAGCATGTGAGTAGGACTTGTGGTCTGTGAGCTTACTACAGGGTGATCTGGTTGGGACATTTAGCTGGAGAGCACTGACTGAGCATGTGAGTAGGGCTTGTGGTCTGTGAGCTTACTGCAGGGTGACCTGGTTGGGACATTTAGCTGGAGAGCACTGACTGAGCATGTGAGTAGGACTTGTGGTCTGTGAGCTTACTACAGGGTGATCTGGTTGGGACATTTAGCTGGAGAGCACTGACTGAGCATGTGAGTAGGACTTGTGGTCTGTGAGCTTACTGCAGGGTGACCTGGTTGGGACATTTAGCTGGAGAGCACTGACTGAGCATGTGAGTAGGGCTTGTGGTCTGTGAGCTTACTGCAGGGTGACCTGGTTGGGACATTTAGCTGGAGAGCACTGACTGAGCATGTGAGTAGGACTTGTGGTCTGTGAGCTTATTGCAGGGTGATCTGGTTGGGACATTTAGCTGGAGAGCACTGACTGAGCATGTGAGTAGGGCTTGTGGTCTGTGAGCTTACTGCAGGGTGACCTGGTTGGGACATTTAGCTGGAGAGCACTGACTGAGCATGTGAGTAGGGCTTGTGGCCTGTGAGCTTACTGCAGGGTAATCTGGTTGGGACATTTAGTTGGAGAGATGCCAATATCAATATATGCAAGTCTTTCTTCTTGGACTGCTAGGATTTCACAAATAAGAATTGTCTGATCCCTGCATGATGTGTGAAGGCCTGGCCACCAGTGCGCTAGGAGATGAACGGGAGGAAAGTGCTGGAGGTTTTAGCCTCCAGGATGCACACTTTGATTGAAACCTGCTTTTGAGTAAGGTATCACTGCCCACACTTTCGTCTGGCATCTCCTAGGCCAGATGTCTTCTGTTTTTTTCTTCTTTATTGAATACACCTTCAATAACTCAGCCCCATGGAGTCAGACTGCTTCTGGAACAGGCTCTCAGCTGATCCTCCTTATTTGAGCTCCTTCCTTTCCTTCACCCTGACTTGCAGGGGCACCTGGTACTACCATTTCCGGAAACTTTGTTTTAGATTGGATGAGTCCTCAGGGTCCTCCACTGCTGGCTTATGAAATACTTTTCTCAGGTCTGCTATGTCATGTACTAACTTTCCGTATGATTCCTACCTTTCTTTCAAAGAAATTCTATTTTTTCAGGAGGTTTTCAAGAGGGAGGAAAAATATGTACCTATTTTAATTTACCATCTTTACAGGGAATTCTGCCCTAAACTTTTCATGTTTGAATATTTAGAAGTGAGGTGATTTTGTTAAATATATTAAACATATACCTGATAGTGATACACTTTTAAAAATATGATTGTGTCATGTAAATGTCTAAGGTTTCAAAAATAGTGACAGTGCAATCCATTTTACAGAAAGAAAAACTTCAGCTTTAGGATGGGGTTTGCACAAGGTAATATGACCAGTGTTGTGTGACAGGAAATGTCATCAGAGCTAGAATGAAGGACCTATTCTGCTGAACATTGAGGGGGCCACTGCTTCCTCCAGTCCAGCACACAGGCAGCCTTGGCCCTGTGTTTATGCCAAGGACAATCTCACCTCCTCTGCCTGCTTTGTCTTTAGGCCTTTTCAGTGCTAAGATGAAGATCACAAGGTCACAGCTACAGAGTGAAATCCAAAGGCCTACATTTTTTTTTTAAGCAAAAGAGAAAGAATGTATATTCTTACAGTGAAAACAGCAGCAATCTATGGCTGCTACTGTTTTGTCCATTCTGTGTTCTATGGAAGAGGTCTTTTCCATTTCTTTCTTATCTTGAAACTACCACAAACACCTAGAAAGAAAATATCTAACTTTGAAAAATAGTAACAGATATCATCTACAGTACAGTCACCCTCTCTCTCTCTGGCCCTTAGAGGGAATGTGATTTTTGCATGAGTTCTAGGTTTAGTGCTGTCTTCTTTCTTCCTGTTTGAACTGGTTTCCATCCTGAAAGATTTTACTGCATTGACATCTCATTGCGTGAAGCAAGCTTCAGAGGCAGCCAGGGACAGAGACAGCTCAGCGAAGGGGAGGCAGGGTAAACAAGGCAGGGTGGGTGGCACTGCTCTATCCCATCATCTCTGCTTCTCCCCACCCACTGGGTGAGTGTCCCCACCCCATGTGCCAGGCGGGACTTGGGCAATGCTTTCATGTTGTCACACATGTCTTGCACTTTGTATTAGCCTTCACTAGAAGACAAGGGTTGGAGTTGGTGGCAGAAGGATGCAATAAAAAGGAAAAGAAGATGTGGGTTCTAATTCTGACACTGCTGTTAACACAAGTTTCAAGGTCTTATTATATGCCAGCAACTGTGCATATAGACTTGACATAATCTCATTTAACTGTTTATAAAACTCCACTGAAATCCCAGATACACAACACACGAATTAGAGAGATTTAGTAACTTGCCCAAGAATGTTCCATTCACAGATGGCCCAACCTGAACCTAAGCTCATTTCTGCCTAATTGCATGCTCCTTCCATGATCAGAAGTGTGGTGTCGATGGCACAACGGAATGGTGCTTTAGGCCCTCTCCAACTTCTCTGGCAACTTCTTTCAATATTATGAAAAACTCTCTGCAAAAGTCTCTCCTTGCACAGAGACTAATGAAGTTGCCATTAACTATTCTCTTTCCTTGTTGGTCATTGACCTTGACACATCTTGCCCCTCTGAGCCTCAAGTTTCTTCATCTGTATTTTGGATGCATTGGCATCCACAATATCAGAATTGTTTTGAGGAACCATAGCTAATTCCAACACTGAGAGCTAATATCTTTTGAGTTTTTAATATGTGGCATGTACTTTTCTAAGTATTTTACAGACATTAACTTAAGGAATCCTGCAAGCACATATAAAATGGGAGAAAGACTTCTACAATTCCAGATTTAGAGATGAGTGAAGTGCTTGGCTGTGGTCTGCTAATCCAAGTTCCAGCCCAGGCCTGCCTGACTCAAGTCCAGGCTTGTGACTGCCTCTGCCTCCACCTCTTTGGATCACATAAATGAATGGATGTGGCAGCACTTTGCAGATGGTAAATCATTCTGTAAATCTGTCCAAAGAACATCATAAGACAAACAGTTGTGTGCACAGCTGCTTGTAGCATATTGCATTGTTTATAATACCTAAACGCAGCAAGCAAGATAAATGTGGTCAAATCAGGAATCCTATTATGTACATGACAGTTTATTCACACAATGGAGGAGAAGGTAGATAGATCTTGACCTGGAAAAATATCCTAAATATGTTCAGAAAAAAAGAGACTACAGAGTACCATATGTAATATACACCTTTTTTTTTTGAAAATTTATTTTCTATGTCCAGAAAGTCTGGAAAAAATGCATGGCAAACCATTAACAATGATATCACTGAGTGGGAGGGAGGAGGGACAGATGTGAGGTTAAAGGGATAATTTTATTTGCTATGTTTTGTTGGAAATGTTCATAATCACATATGTAACAATGAAAATAGAACTCTTTCTCCATTGGAAAGAAATGAAAGTCAGGCTGCAATCCTAAAGAATCATGTCCACAGGGGACTGAGTGGATACATCCCAGGGATGTACACCCAGGAAGCCCTGTGTTCAGGGGTGTCAGGCTACTGTGGGAATGGCTCTCCTTCTTCCCCACACCCAGCAGGTCTCCCGTCCCATGCTGGGGCTATAGATGTAACCTTGGGGCTCGCAAGCTGGATCACTGTTGCCAACATTACTAAATGGACAGAAAAGCACTGCAAAGTAACATGGGCTAACATTCTTTTAAAAGGCACAACTATGAAACCAGCTAAATAAGCAAAACATTGTTTTTATTTAGATCTGTAAGTTGCTTTGCAAGGGTTTTTATTAAAATGTAGTGAAACCTCCAACCTGCAGGCCAGAGCAGAAAAAATTAAGCCTCCTAAAGTCTGCATGTTCAATATCTTAATGCCAATGAATAAAGGCTGGTTGGAGACACTTATGAAGATGTGCCTCAGATAGGCTCCACTTTAGTATTTTGTTCTTCAAAACAGGAAAAATTTATGAGGTGCAAAAAAATAGATAAAAAACAAAACTAAATTTGTTGAATTCTTACTATGTGCTGGGCAATGGGCTGTGTGCTTTGTGTTCAATATCTCAATGAGTCTTGACAAGAACCCCGGGGATAAGTATTACCCCATTTTAAGATACAAAATAAGATTCATTCTAATGATTATTATCATTCAATATTTATTGAGCACTTAATATATGCCAGCCATTATGATAAGTGCTTTACATGAGCCACCTCATTTAATTCACAGAATAACCTTATAGATCTGCTACGCTGGTTCTTCCCATGTTACAAATGAGGAAATCTAAAGCTTTATGCAACTTGTCCAGAGCCACAGAACTGTAGGCAATGGAGCTGGATCTGCTCCCATGTCTTTTTGGTTGCAAGGTTCTTGCACTGTGTGCAGCTATTTATAGCAATATTGTATTACGTATAATACCCAAATGTAACAAGCAAGATAAATATCCCCACATCAGGGATCCTATTATATAAATGATGGCTTATCCACACAATAGAATAGGAGATAGCAGATATGTCTTGCCCAAGGGACCTGCATCTCCAGTCTACTTTCCAGGAAGAACAGGGTCATCTGCTTTTAGATCTTAAATTATACCACTCAATCTCCTTTCTTGGAGCTCTTTAGACAAAAAAGCAGGCTCTAAACAAGGTGACTTTTGAAGGCCCCATTTCATATCATGTGTCAAAGATATTAAAAAGAAAAAACCTCCCCAAATAAATACAACGTAAATACAACTGCAAAACTGTTGAGTTGTAGTTGACTAGCTAATATACTGTTCATTTTCTAAATACTTAAGCAATTATTTCAATTTTGATACTTAATACTTTAATGTCAATTAACAAATATCCTGAGCCAATAAAGTCATAGGCCCTGGGTTCTGTACCTACACGGTCCTAACGTGTAAACTTTCAAAGCTTAAGTGAAAATTGAACTACATGAACAAATGGCCCTGCAGCAATCGTCTCAGGTAAGGTTTTCATTGCAGAAATGGGGGTACATGAGCTATTTGCAATATTTCAAAAAGCTTAACAGAAATTGTACACTCATTCATCTTCAGTATTACTGCATGGGCTAATGAAAACGCCAAGATTCCTTGTTTGAATGAGGACAAGATAAACTCTAAATAGGCAACCTGTTTAACTCTGTTGGTCAGAAAATTACTGAATGTTTAATGCATGCCGCTTTTTTGAGAGACAATGTATTTCAAAACATGCATCCATGGGCATAGGAATAAGAACAGGACTCCGTGGTGATGAAAATTTTTGCAACTATTTTTCCAGAAAGCCATCCTAGATATGGTTTCCACCCTTCCATTTCCCAGCTTCACAACAAGCTCCCTCCCTCCTCACATGACTTTCCTCCCTTTTCTCCCCCATCCAATCGCAAACTAGTGTTTCCTTTTATTTATGCCTCTGCATCATCATCAGCCCTGAATGAGAGCATTAAAATTCTGGACTATAATCTTCTCTGAGGTAGGGAGTCATAAAGTAATCCACTCGGAGCTGCCCCCTCTTACACTGTTAAACAAATAGATTGTGAATCATTGGTAAGTTACTTGAGGACAGGGATTAGGTCTGTGCCACTACTTTGGGCTCAACACCTAGCACAAGTACCTGTCACAAAATAAGTAATCGCCATGATTTTATTAAGCGGATTTAAGTTCGAATAGGAGATGTCACGTAACTGTTGCAGAGAGAAAGGAGAGATTCTCAGATGAGGCGTGGAGCTAGAATAGAGGATCTGGACGCTTCTGGGCACAGATTTCTTCAACTGTCCTGACAACACAGCTTGACCACATACAAAAGACTAAGGGGTTATTTGACAGGAAATGGGAGAAACCAAAAAATACATACAACGTTCTATCCTCCTTCCTACAGTGAAAATACCCTTAATCATCCCACCACCCTCCAGAGAGAGAACATAGACATCAGAAGCTCATTCAGTGATGACTAATACAGTTTCCTCAGCAGGGTTTCCCCAAATCAAAGGTCTACTATCCTCATTTTTCAAAATGGACTTCTCCCACAAATCCCTTCCAAGTCAGGCAGGCCCAAAACCAAGCTGGGAGGCCGATCTCATGAAACATACAGCAGCCTATGCCTCAGCCAGAATTCAGAGCCCACTCTCACTGACCGCTCTGCTTAGGGATTAATTCTACCAGAAACTTTAGAAAAACTACTAGCAAAGGGAGGTTTTAAAATCTCACCCTTGAACCTCTTTTCCTTTGCTAAGAAATGACAGAGGGAGTATGTCGATCTAAAATGCAACAGAATTGGCCAGAAAAGACCAGTAGATCTAAGGAGTGAATTTGTATCCTCTGATCTACGCATGCAGTTACACAGACATCAGGATTGCCTTTGTCAGTTCAGATTGGATACAGTAAAAACCCTCCCCAGAAACCTATCTGTATAAATAAAAAATAAGCAAGAGACAATGTGTGCCCTTCTCCATGGTGCTGGCAAAATCACTGCCTCCTAGGACAAGGGCATTTCTCCTCATCTTGGGAAATATGGACTCACTCACTCTCTCTGTCAACACCCACCCCCGCCAACAGAGTGTGTGCCTCGGTTTTAATGTTGAAAAACCATGTGTGTGTGTGTGTGTGTTTTTAATGTTTTCTAATTGTCACCAATGATTTCAACATTTTTAAAGTTCTATCACATTTCTAACACCATCATCCCCAGCTCTTTCTGGAAAGCTTAGGCTGTGTGCTCCCTTTTCCTCCACTAAATCTCCCAGATCCACCTATACAACTACAGTAAATTTGGGCGAGGGAGAACTCATTTATTTTCCTTGATTTATTCCGAATTCCGATCTATAGTTTCTGGTGGCTTTTCTGGATGGTAGAAAGATGGGCACCTCATTTTCCAGTTTCTGTAACACACTCAGTGCCCCCACCTTTAATCCATAGCCCTGATCCTTCCCCAACAAGCTGGTGAGCAGGAAAGCCATTTCTATGAATGCTCAGTCACTTTCCGTTCTCACCAGTGACAGCCTAGCTTAGCTGGTTATTATAACCAAGTCATCTTGAAGCAAATCTGTGCACGTATTCCTGGGAGCACATTAAGGTTTTCTTTCAGATAAGTATGCAGCATCTAGAAGCAGTCATCTGCTCCCAGGTTTCTGCAGCCTGAAGTGAACTGAGATCCTTGAGAAGCTGCCTAAACAGCAGGTTGCAGCTCCTCTCCAACCCCCTGCCCTACCAAAAAATGAGATGGCCAGGATAATATCTGTTATAGTCCAATACCTCAAGAAGCATTATCTAAGCATCTGCTTCAGTGGTCTATAACCATAGCTGCATTTTTAAAACAAGCGGGGGATTTTCCATATATATAAATATATTCATGCCCAGGTTCCACCCAAGACAAATTCTAAGTCTCTGGTGATGAGACTCAAGTATTGTTATTCTACAAAAGCTCTCTACATAAATTTCAATACGGAGTGGTACCGACTCACTACGTGCCACGCTCTGTCCTGGATTCTGAGGATTCAGAGACAGAAAATCTAGCCCCTGCTTTTAAGAGACCACAGTGTATTAGCAGCATAGGACTAGGGAAGAACCACATAGTAAAGGAAGGATCCTGACAGTGTTATTACAGGGAGCTGAGAAACCTCAGAAAAAAAGTCGTCACCCAATCTAGGAAAATGTGAGACGGTGTCCTGAGGGAGGTGCTGCAGAGCCAGCTGGGAGAAACATGCAACATAGTTCTTTGCAATGTAGTAAATAAGGCTTTATAATAACACTGCCTCTCCATATTAAGAGTGTAGCCTAATAATACATAACTAACTCTTATATATTCTTGCTGCCAACCCCTTTCCTTGAAACTGTATCAAGTCTCACTCGCAGTGAGTCAGACCAACCACTCTTGGATTCCTACCTTCTCCCTGGAATTCTGATTATGATCTTCCCACAATCATGATGGGTAACAGAATTCACCATACCTTTACCTTGGACTACAGGCATCTTCTTCAGAGAATTCAGTCCTTGGGGTCTGGAGAGGTTTCATTTCTCCCAGGCCCTACCCCAACCAGTCTTGGTCAGCTCGTCCCCCCCAGAGATGAGAGCCACCAGAGATGAGAGCATGTTTTTCTCTGTGTCTGAGATGTCCTTCTCCCTTTGATTATCTGCTAATATCCTGTTCACCAGGGAAAAACTGAGCCCAGTCATCATCTTTGGGAGCTCAACCACTCCAAACTTCCACCTTACCCCAGGCAAAGTTGCTTGTTCTTTTTGAGTACCCACAAAACTTTGTTCATATTTCTTTAGATCACACCTTTCCATTTTGAAAGTCCAAAGTATACCATCATGCTTGACACAGAGTAAGCACTAAGTACATGTATAAATACACAAAATGAACATGTCAGTGGAGGGATGGATGGATGGTTGGATGAAAGAATGAATGGATGGGTGAGTAACATTGTCTAAACTACTTTACATCTTATCACTTCAGAATTTGATGAAAAACAATAGATGTGCTACGTCATCTCTTCTCAAAAAACAAAGACGCTGGCAACTTCTTTACTTATTCCCCCTGTATGTACCATCTCCTCTCCTTTCTTCACTTTTCACCATATAACCAAGAGGGTGTAGTGTTGTGACTCGTCTTCCAGGAGAGATTTTTTTGTTTTGTTTTTTTCTTTTTTTTTTAATGTTATGCAAACGTTTCAATATTTTCTTTATATATATATATAGATATATTTTTTATTATACTTTAAGTTCTAGGGTACATGTGCACAACGTGCAGGTTTGTTACATATGTATACATGTGACATGTTGGTGTGCTGCACCTGTTAACTCATCATTTACATTAGGTATTTCTCCTAATGCTATCTCTCCCCCCTCCCCCCACCCCACAACAGGCCCCAGTGTGTGATGTTCCCCGCCCTGCGTCCAAGTGTTCTCATTGTTCAATTCCCACCTATGAATGAGAACATGCGGTGTTTGGTTTTTTGTCCTTGCGATAGTTTGCTCAGAATGATGGTTTCCAGCTTCATCCATGTCCCTACAAAGGACATGAACTCATCATTTTCTATGGCTGCATAGTATTCCACGGTGTATATGTGCCACATTTTCTTAATCCAGTCTATCACTGTTGGATATTTGGGTTGGTTCCAAGTCTTTGCTATTGTGAATAGTGCCACAATAAACATACATGTACATGTGTCTTTATAGCAGCATGATTTATAATCCTTTGGGTATATACCCAGTAATGGGATGGCTGGGTCAAATGGTATTTCTAGTTCTAGATCCCTGAGGAATCGCCAAAATGTCTTCCACAATGGTTGAACTAGTTTACAGTCCCACCAACAGTGTAAAAGTGTTCCTATTTCTCCACATCCTCCCCAGCACCTGTTGTTTCCTGACTTTTTAATGATCACCATTCTAACTGGTGTGAGATGGTATCTCATTGTGGTTTTGATTTGCATTTCTCTGATGGCCAGTGATGATGAGCATTTTTTCATGTGTTTTTTGGCTGCATAAATGTCTTCTTTTGAAAAGTATCTGTTCATATCCTTTGCCCACTTGTTGATGGGGTTGTTTTTTTCTTGTAAATTTGTTTGAGTTCTTTGTAGATTCTAGATATTAGCCCTTTGTCAGATGAGTAGATTGCAAAAATTTTCTCCCATTCTGTAGGTTGCCTGTTCATTCTGATGGTAGTTTCTTTTGCTGTGCAGAAGCTCTTTAGTTTATTTAGATTGCATTTGTCAATTTTGGCTTTCGTTGCCATTGCTTTTGGTGTTTTAGGCATGAAGTCTTCGCCCATGCCTATGTCCTGAATGGTATTGCCTAGGTTTTCTTCTAGGGTTTTTATGGTTTTAGGTCTAACATTTAAGTCTTCAAACCATCTTGAATTAATTTTTGTATAAGGTGTAAGGAAGGGATCCAGTTTCAGCTTTCTACATATGGCTAGCCAGTTTTCCCAGCACCATTTATTAAATAGGGAATCCTTTCCCCATTGCTTGTTTTTCTCAGGTTTGTCAAAGATCAGATAGTTGTAGATGTGTGGTATTATTTCTGAGGGCTCTGTTCTGTTCTATTGGTCTATATCTCTGTTTTGGTATCAGTACCATGCTGTTTTGGTTACTGTAGCCTTGTAGTATAGTTTGAAGTCAGGTAGCATGATGCCTCCAGCTTTCTTCTTTTGGCTTAGGAATATCTTGGAAATGCAGGCTCTTTTTTGTTTCCACATGAACTTTAAAGTAGTTTTTTTCCAATTCTGTGAAGAAAGTCATTGGTAGCTTGATGGGGATGGCATTGAATCTATAAATTACCTTGGGCAGTATGGCCATTTTCACGATATTGATTCTTCCTACCCATGAGCATGGAATGTTCTTCCATTTCTTTGTATCCTCTTTTATTTCATTGAGCAGTGGTTTGTAGTTCTCCTTGAAGAGGTCCTTCACATCCCTTGTAAGTTGGATTCCTAGGTATTTTATTCTCTTTGAAGCAATTATGAAAGAGAATTCACTCATGATTTGGCTCTCTGTTTGTCTGTTATTGGAGTATAAGAATGCTTGTGATTTTTGCACATTGATTTTGTATCCTGAGACTTTGCTGAAGTTGTTTATCAGCTTAAGGAGATTTTGGGCTGAGACAATGGGGTTTTCTAGATATACAATCATGTCATCTGCAAACAGGGACAATTTGACTTCCTCTTTTCCTAATTGAATACCCTTTATTTCTTTCTCCTGTCTGATTGCCCTGGCCAGAAATTCCAACACTATGTTGAATAGGAGTGGTGAGAGAGGGCGTCCCTGTCTTGTGCCAGTTTTCAAAGGGAATGCTTCTAGTTTTTGTCCATTCAGTATGATATTGGCTGTGGGTTTGTCATAAATAGCTCTCATTATTTTGAGGTACGTCCCATCAATACCTAATTTATTGAGAGTTTTTAGCAGGAAGGGCTGCTGAATTTTGTCAAAGGCCTTTTCTGCATCTATTGAGACAGTCATGTGGTTTTTGTCTTTGGTTCTGTTTATATGCTGGATTACATTTATTGACTTGCGTATATTGAACCAGCCTTGCATCCCAGGGATGAAGCCCACTTGATCACGGTGGATAAGCTTTTTGATGTGCTGCTGGATTCAGTTTGCCAGTATTTTATTGAGGATTTTTGCATTGATGTTCATCAGGGATATTGGTTTAAAATTTTCTTTTTTGGTTGTGTCTCTGCCAGGCTTTGGTACCAGGATGATGCTGACCTCGTAAAATGAGTTAGGGAGGATTCTCTCTTTTTCTATTGATTGGAATAGTTTCAGAAGGAATGGTATCAGCTCCTCCTTGTACCTCTGGTAGAATTTGGCTGTGACTCCGTCTGGTCCTGGACTTTTTTTGGCTGGTAAGCTATTGATTATTGCCTCAATTTCAGAGCCTGTTATTGGTCTATTCAGACATTCAACTTCTTCTTGGTTTAGTCTTGGGAGGGTGTATGTATGGAGGAATTTATCCATTTCTTCTAGATTTTCTAGTTTATTTGCATAGAGGTGGTTATAGTATTCTCTGATGGTAGTTTGAATTTCTGTGGGATCGGTGGTGATATCCCCTTTATCATTTTTTATTGTGTCTATTGGATTCTTCCCTCCTTTCCTCTTTATTAGTCTTGCTAGTGGTCTATCAATTTTGTTGATCTTTTCAAAAAACCAGCTCCTGGATTCGTTGATTTTTTGAAGGGTTTTTTTGTGTCTCTATCTCCTTCAGTTCTGCTCTGATCTTAGTTATTTCTTGCCTTCTGCTAGCTTTTGAATGTGTTTGTTCTTGCTTCTCTAGTTCTTTTAATTGTGATGTTAGGGTGTCAATTTTAGATCTTTCCTGCTTTCTCTTGTGGGCATTTAGTGCTATAATTTTCCCTCTACACACTGCTTTAAAGGTGTCCCAGAGATTCTGGCGTGTTGTGTCTTTGTTCTCGTTGGTTTCAAAGAACATCTTTATTTCTGCCTTCATTTCATTACGTACCCAGTAGTCATTCAGGAGCAGGTTGTTCAGTTTCCATGCAGTTGAGCGGTTTTGAGTAAGTTTCTTAATCCAGAGTTCTAGTTTGATTGCACTGTGGTCTGAGAGACAGTTTGTTATAATTGCTGTTCTTTTACATTTGTTGAGGAGTGCTTTACTTCCACCTATGTGGTCAATTTTGGAACAGGTGTGGTGTGGTGCTGAAAAGAATGTATATTCTGTTGATTTGGGGTGGAGAGTTCTGTAGATGTCTATTAGGTCTGCTTCGTGCAGAGCTGAGTTCAATTCCTGGATATCCTTGTTAACTTTCTGTCTGGTGGATCTGTCGAATATTGACAGTGGGGTGTTAAAGTCTCCCATTATTATTGTGTGGGAGTCTAAGTCTCTTTGTAGGTCTCTAAGGACTTGCTTTATGATCTGGGTGCTCCTGTATTGGGTGCATATATATTTAGGATAGTTAGCTCTTCTTATTGAATTGATCCCTTTACCATTATGTAATGGCTTTCTTTGTCTCTTTTGATCTTTATTGGCTTAAAGTCTGTTTTATCAGAGACTAGGATTGCAACCTCTGCCTTTTTTTGTTTTCCATTTGCTTGGTTGATCTTCCTCCATCCCTTTATTTTAAGCCTATGCGTGTCTCTGCACGTGAGATGGGTTTCCTGAATACAGCACACTGATGGGTCTTGACTCTTTATCCAATTTGCCAGTCTGTGTCTTTTAATTGGAGCATTTAGCCCATTTACATTTAAGGTTAATATTGTTATGTGTGAATTTAATCCTGTCATTATGATGTTAGCTGGTTTTTGCTCATTAGTTGACACAGTTTCTTCCTAGCATCGATGGGCTTTACAATTTGACATGTTTTTGCAGTGGCTGGTACTGGTTGTTCCTTTCCATGTTTAGTGCTTACTTCAGGAGCTCTTTTAGGGCAGGCCTGGCAGTGACAAAATCTCTTAGCATTTGCTTGTCTGTAAAGGATTTTATTTCTCCTTCACTTATGAAGCTTAGTTTGGCTGGATATGAAATTCTGGGTTGAAAATTCTTTTCTTTAAGAATGTTGAATATTGGCCCCCACTCTCTTCTGGCTTGTAGAGTTTCTGCCGAGAGATCAGCTGTTAGTCTGATGGGCTTCCCTTTGTGGGTAACCCGACCTTTCTCTCTGGCTGCCCTTAACATTTTTTTCCTTCATTTCAACTTTGGTGAATGTGACAATTATGTGTCTTGGAGTTGCTCTTCTCGAGGAGTATCTTTGTGGCGTTCTCTGTATTTCTGGAATTTGAGTGTTGGCCTGCCTTGCTAGGTTGGGGAAGTTCTCCTGGATAATATCCTGCAGAGTGTTTTCCAACTTGGTTTCATTCTCTACGTCACTTTCAGGTACACCAATCAGACGTAGATTTGGTCTTTTCACATAGTCCCATATTTCTTTGAAGGTTTGTTTGTTTCTTTTTATTCTTTTTTCTCTAAACTTCTCTGCTCGCTTCATTTCATTCATTTGATCTTCCATCACAGATACCCGTTCTTCCAGTTGATTGAATCGGCTACTGAAGCTTGTGCATTCGTCACGTAGTTCTCGTGCCGTGGTTTTCAGCTCCATCAGGTCCTTTAAGGACTTCTCTGCATTGGTTATTCTAGTTAGCCATTCATCTAATCTTTTTTCAAGGTTTTTAACTTCTTTGCCATTGGTTCGAACTTCCTCCTTTAGCTCAGAGTAGTTTGATCGTCTGAAGCCTTCTTCTCTCAGCTCGTCAAAGTCATTCTCTGTCCAGCTTTGTTCCTTTGCTGGTGAGGAGCTGCTTTCCTTTGGAGGAGAAGAGGTGCTCTGATTTTTAGAATTTTCAGTTTTTCTGCTCTGTTTTTTCCCCATCTTTGTGGTTTTATCTACCTTTGATCTTTGATGATGGTGACGTACAGATGGGGTTTTGATGTGGATGTCCATTCTGTTTGTTAGTTTTCCTTTTAACAGTCAGGACCCTCAGCTGCAGGTCTGTTGGAGTTTGCTGGAGGTCCACTCCAGACCTGTTTGCCTGGGTACCAGCAGCAGAGGCTGCAGAACAGTGAATATTGCTGAACAGCAAATGTTGCTGCCTGATCGTTCCTCTGGAAGTTTTGTCTCAGAGGGGTACCCAGCTGTGTGAGGTGTCAGTCTGCCCCTACTGGGGGGTGCCTCCCAGTTAGGCTACTTGGGGGTCAGGGACCCACTTGAGGAGGCAGTCTGTCCATTCTCAGATCTCAAACTCCATGCTGGGAGAACCACTACTCTCTTCAAAGCTGTCAGACAGGGACACTTAAGTCTGCAGAGGTTTCTGCTGCCTTTTGTTCGGCTATGCCTTGCCCCCAGAGGTGCAGTCTACAGAGGCATGCAGGCCTCCTTGAGCTGCGTTGGGCTCCACCCAGTTTGAGCTTCCTGGCTGCTTTGTTTACCTACTCAAGCCTCAGCTATGGCGGGCGCCCCTCCACCAGTCTCGCTGTTGCCTTGCAGTTCGATCTCAGACTGCTGTGCTAGCAACGAGCGAGGCTCCATGGGCATGGGACCCTCCAAGCCAGGCACGGGATATAGTCTCCTGGTGTGCCGTTTGCTAAGAGCATTGGAAAAGTGCAGTATTAGGGTGGGAGTGACCTGATTTTCCAGGTGCCTTCTGTCACAGCTTTACTTGGCTAGGAAAGGGAATTCCCTGACCCCTTGCGTTTCCTGGATGAGGTGATGCCTCACCCCGCCTCAGCGCACGCTCGGTGTGCTGCCCCCACTGTCCTGCACTCACTGTCCGACAAGTCCCAGTGAGATGAACCCGGTACCTCAGTTGGAAAGGCAGAAATCACCCGTCTTCTGTGTCGCTCACGCTGGGAGATGTAGACTGGAGCTGTTCCTATTCGGCTATCTTGGAACCCAATCTGTTTTGTTTTTTTCGAGACAGGGTCTTGCTCTGTCACCCAGGCTGGAGTGCAGTGGTGTGATCACAGCTCACTGCATCCACTAGCTTCTGGGCCCCAGTGATCCTCCCACCTCAGCTTCCTGAGTAGCCGGGACTACAGGTGCATGCTACCATGACCAGCTAATTTTTTAATTTTTTGTAGGTGTAGGGTCTTGCCATGTTTCTCAGACCAGCTTCAACCTCCTCAGCTCAAGCAATCCCCTAGCTTTGGCTTCCCAAAGTGCTGGTATTAAAGGCGTGAGCCACTCTGGCCAGCAAAGGAAAGTTTTGTTGTTGTTGTTGTTTGAGATGGAGTTTTGCTCTTGTTGCCCAGGCTGGAGTGCAATGGCGTGATCTTGGCTCACTACAACCTCTGCCTCCCAGGTTCAAGTGATTCTCCTTCCTCAACGTCCTGAGTAGCTGGGAGTACAGGCATGAGCCAACGGGCCTGGCCAAGGGTAGTTTTTAAGCAGATAAATAATTGGTCTCCTGCGGGTATTTCTGGAAAGGTTAACTACACTTACCTTCACTGAATCATGTCATTCCTTGTCCCCAGATATAAAAGCGAAGGCATTTCTACTAATACATTTGACGACTGTATTAGGTGTGGGAAGTCTCTGTTTTTACGTACCCTTTGATGAAGTATAAGCAAAAAGTTTATATTTGGACAAATATAAAGTATGCATGAATAATTAAGATGAAACATAAGACTGAATTCAAATAAATTCAACCTTTGGACTCTGCCCCCCAGAACATTGAGCATTTATATTCACTCACCTGAAATTATTAATATTTATGTGGAAAAGCCTGGAAATAACTGAAATCTCTCATTGCTGTCTCAAAGATATGTTTGCGTGACCTATCTCAGGTCACACAGTCTGTTAGAATTAGAGCTGGAAATAGAACCCAACACTTCCCAAAAGCTGCGGAAAGGCCCTGGCATCAAATATTGCCTTCTCTGTCACCACCAGAGAAGGCTAAAAAGAGACATCATTAATTAATTAATCAGATGCTTTTGAGGGATTAAGGCAGTAAGGAAGGAAAGAAAAAACATTTTGGTATTAACCACATACTCAGCAACTTGGTTTTATGAATTAACAAAACATGGAGAGATAAGCTGAGGCTCAGAGAGGCCCCAGTACCACCCGGCTAGTTAGTGATGGCATTGGAATTCAAATCCATGCCTATGTGTCTCCAAAGTCCATCATCTTTCAACTAGAATTTAACTCAATCCAAATCAACAAATACTTATTGACTGCTCAATAAATGTGCTGGGCACTGTGCTAGGATATGGCAGTGAACAAGACCGATACGGCCTTTGTGCTCATAGGGGTTACTATCCAGATGAGAAAACAGACATCGTAAAGCTGGGCACAGTGTGGTGATTGTCAGGTAAGGTGAAGTGCATATAACCTCCACACTCTTCAGGCAATGAGAAGTACATGTGAGCTCTAATCTCTGCCCCAGAGTTCAAAACATTATGGGTTACGCATGTTCACGTAGGCTGGCCTTGGGGTGTGACCAACCCCAAGGCATTATTTCTGTGGGAAAATGCAGGCTGAATTCTAAACTGATGTATAAACAACTTTGGGAGCCCAGCAGTACTCAAAGTTGGTACCTGCTTTTTATGCGATGTTTTAATGCAAAAGCAGAAGATTTACCTTTCTCACTGGATTCCACTGAGTATAAAAAATAAAATTAGTGTCAGCATGTATTTCTTGAAAGTAGACTAATTGAAGATGGGAGGATCAGTCAAACCACGGACATTAATTATTGAGTATCTGCTCGGAGTTCGGCACTATGCCCAGGCAGTGTGGAAATACGGGAGAAACGTAAGACTGGATCAGCCCTGTCCTTGGAGAGTCTGTAAATAACAAACAGGACACCCACAGAAGAGCACTTTCTGTAAATGATGGCCTATGTCAAATTTCCAAGAGACAGGGGTGGACACATGTCTGTGAAACAGACAAGGCAAGGCAAATATAAGGGAAATTGACCCAGGCTTCAAAAGACAAATATGATTTAACTATTCAAAGAAAGTTTATTGTAGCAGTGGGAGGAGTGTTAACCAGGGAGTGAGGCTTAGGAAGGACTAGATGTGTTCTGAAATAATGAATAGACCACTGAGGCCAAGTGCTGGGAAATAAGGTCCGAAGTTAGTTTCTAATAAGAGAGGAGCTTGTCTTCAACACCTTTGCATCCCAAAGGCCTAGCATGGTACCTGACAAATCATAGGTGCTTAGCTAATGTTTAGTGAGCTGTTGGATAGAAAGATATTACTTCAGTTGAAAAGAGAAATAACAAAAAGTGTTAGGCTTGTCTCAACATGTGCCAGAAAGGCCTACCATGACAAGAGCAAATGTCAAGCTGCATATAATTAAGTGCTAAATTCTACAATAAAGCCAAAAGTTTTCAGAATGCAGAAGAGGTGGTGAGTGAGACGGAGCTAAAAGAACCTGGGGTGATTTCTTAATCGAGGAAGAATTGGGCCTATTAGGAAAGGCAGGGTCTGGCTCTCAGAGGTCACAATTCAGATGTCTACATAGGCAGGATGGATAATATAAAAGTGTGAACCCAGTCATCTAGAAAGCAATAGGAACGAGTGGGACTGTGGGTTTTAGGAAATAATTCTGCAAGCCAAACACAATACATCTGTGGGCTAGATTCAGGTTGTAAACCACCAGTTGGAGGCTTTCAGGACAGACAGAAGGGAGAAAAACAGGGTGACTATAGTCAATAATTTAATTGTCACATTTAACATAACTAAAAGAATATAACCGCATTGACTGTAACACAAAGGATGGTTGCTTGAGGACATGGATACCCCATTTTCCATGCTGTGATTACGCAGTCCATGCCTGTATCAAAACATCTCACGTACCCCATAAATACATACACCTACTATGTACCTACAAAAATTAAAAATTAAAAAAAAGAAAAGGAGGGAAAAAAGAATCCCTTCCAGAGTGAAGGAATAGGGTAAATGACAAAGAAAGAAGAAAGAGCATGAAGGTTTGGTGGGAGAGTGAGAGTCTGGCTGTGCTAGAATGTAAACTGCAGGCAGAAAACAGTTGGAAATGTGGTTGGAGAGGAAAATTAAGCTGAGTTTGGATTTCAGGCCAAAGGCAAGGTAATAAATAGAGGGCAAAGATGACTTTAGCATGCTAGGTTGCTTGCAGAAACTGTGCTGAAATTAAACTTTATTTTCCAACCCAGACTGTTAAACCAATTGTGTTTATCTCTAAGACAAAACTGATCTGAAAACCTCCCTGAGAAAATGTCCATTCTAGAACTCTTAGATCATTTGCTGGAAGCTTCCTTGCTGCAGTCTTTGGCTGCTGCCCCTCAGATTGTACATGGCAGGTGAGGCACCACAGACAGCTGCTGATCAAATGCATCCTTAAAAACAGGGCGCCTCCTCCCTCACTTAACTCATTTCACTTAAGGATTTACATTTATACCAGGAGAGCAAATCAAAGTTATAGTTCCCTCAGCAACTGTAACCTGGACCAAACATAGCTATATTTATCTGCTGCTGAGAGGGCTTTTAACTCATGTCTCCCAACTTCGAAGGGGAGATTTAATTCAAACACTATGCAAGAAATGCTTTTTGGAAACCAAGTGGCTGCCCCAGTGAAGGTTTAGAGTGTAAATGGCTGTTCCTTTCAACTAGTGCTTTTATGCAAGGGTTCCCAGCAGACAGAAATCTTCCGCAGCCCCTCTACAGTCTTGGAGGGTGAATAGAAGGGTACCTTCTCCATTCCTCCAAGCCGCCACGCCATTTATGGGTCAGAGCCCAGCTTTGTTACTGCAGGCAGCCAGTGTTGATAAGAGGACTGTGCAGGGGCCAGGACTAGGGGGAAGGAGTGATACAAGTTAGACACTAACCTAGGGGGCAAAATTGAAGGGGGTCCCAAAAAACTCAGTAATCAAGAAAATTAACACTTAATGCAATTTTTTTGTTTAAAAAATTAATGCAAAAACTCATGGTAAACAAAATAACAAAATACTGAGTTTTTAAAATGTCATGTGAAAGTATTATTTGATTTGATTACTGAATTTTTGGTGCCCCATTACATTCTGCCCTTCCTCCCAGGCCATGCCTCACCTCATCCTGGCTCTGAGAGGCAGTGAAGAAGGGTATGAGATTGAGGATAGGAAGGAGGGAGTGTGTGAGGCCATCGTGCATTTGGCTGTAGGCAAACTTCTTTAAACTTTGGTAATGGCAGATAATGCAATATTAAAGAATACCTTAAGAAGTATTTCTAGCTGATGCTGATGGAACAGAACCTGGTGGATCATTAACTTTACTAGGGGGAGGTCTAGTCAACTGTGAGCAAAAGCTGTCTTCTTATTTTCCAGATGGATTCCCCAAGAATACACAACCCAAAGACCATCCCTAAGCAATGCCAAACCAACCATTTTCCATGCCCGCCAGGCAAAGATCAGGTGACACTCAAGTCCTATACCCTGGCCTAGGACTTACCACATGGCTAGGGATGTCAAATAGCCCACGTGAAATACTATAGGCTGCAAGGTCCCTGAGAACAGGACAGGCTCCTATGCTCCTCCATGTTCCACCTCCCCAGAGCCTAGTCCTGGGTTATGGCATGCTAAATGTTGGTTTAGTCATGCAATTACCTAATTATTCATTTGGTAGGAGGTTACATTGGCCTTCTGATTGGTTGAGACAGTTAGGAATTTTGCAAATGGAACCTTCTAGTAAGGCTAGTCCTTTCTGGATTTTTTTGTCTTAACTCATAAATCAGAAAAACCTGTATCTATCAGGTTTTTACACTAATTTCTATGTGTAATTTCCCTTCACATAGAAATAAGTATACTTGACAGAACTGTTCACCTTCAACCCTCATTCTTCATAAGTGAGTAATCATCCCTTAAATACTTCAAAAATAAGCTTCTTAAAAACATTTTAAATTTTGAAATAATGTTGAATTCCTAGCGAGTTGCATAGATGGTACAGAGAGTTCCTATGCACCCTTCACCCAGCACTGGTTAATGTTAACCTCTTACATTACCAGAGTAGAATAATCAAACCAGGAAATTCACATTGGTCCAATGCTATTAACTACACTGTAACCTTTATTCTAATTTTGCCAGTTTTCCTTCTAACATCCATTTTCTCGTCCATGATTCAATTCAGGATCCCACATTGAATCCAGTTGTCACATTTCCAAATCTGTGAGAGTGCCACAGTCTTTCATGACCTTAACTGTTGAAGAGGACTAGACTGGTATTTTTCAATCCTCAGTTAGGGTTTGTCTAATGTCTTCTCATCATCAGATCGAGGCTGTACATTTTTGGTAAGATTCCCATAGAAGAGATGTAGAGTCCTTCTCAGTGCATCGTGTCAGGAGGCACATGACGTCAGTATGTTTCCCTGCTGGTGGTTTCCCTTTGCTCATTTGGTTAGGATAAGGTCTATCAGTTGTCTCCACTGTAAAGCTACTGCTTTCCCTGTGCCATTAATCAGTGGATACTTTGGGAAGACACTTTGAGATTATGCAAATATCCTGTTTCCTATCAGATTTTTGTCCATGACTTTTAGTAACCATCGATGGTTCTTCCTTGTAACAATAAATCTGGTGGTGTTTGTCAAATCAAAAATCAACTTTTCCTAATTTTTATGTCCTACTTAAGGCCAAAACCTACCAGGTGAAAGACGACAATCTCCCTGTCACAGTGACCTTCCCCACATTTTGGGATTGGCCATCTAGTTTAAGCATAGCAAATCCATGGTACCCAACTCATTGTCCCCACCCCTCACCTACTGCAGGAACCAAGGCTGTCTTTCTCACTGCCCTGCAGGAGACCTCGACATTCTCAATGCTATTAGGAAAGAAGCCACAGCAGATCAATGAGAACTATCATGAGAAATGAAACATATCTCCCCTCCTTGGTCTATGTTGGGTGTTTAGTTTTTCTTAAAAACACTACATCCCTGGAGCATACTGGCTTTGCCAAGTCCCTTGAGAACCCTTAAAGGGTGGCAGATTTAGGGTCCACTAGGGGAAGAGAATTGCACAGGCATCTCCCTTGGGTCTCTGGATTTTTCTTGTTTGGGGCCATTGTTTTGAGTCCCTGGCAGGGGTGTGCTGGTAGATGTTTGTCCATTGTTTTTCCAGAAAGAAAAAAATAAAGTCCTGGATATATGCAACGTTTTCCAATTTCTGTGGCATTAACACCCCCTTTCTGGTTGATTTCAAGGCACAGCAGCAGAGCTGGAGACAGTATTTCCACCACACAGACACAATAGATGTAAATAACCTCAAGAGGGTAGATAAAAATAAAATGGAGCCAGCTCATCGGGAAGTTTTTGAGTTTTGAGATCTTATTACCTTAGATTTTAATATAGTTTATTTAATTATAGATTTATAACAATTTTTGATGATAACGGTTATTTAACAATTGCCTCACAAAATTCCTAAACATTTAATACTCGGTTCTTGTGAGCTGGAAAGAGCCAGCTCCAGCTCACTGCCCTGTACAGTGGTGATCAGGAGCCCTGAAGTTCTGGAATTCCCCGCAGGAGCCCCTGAAAGGACAGGAAGACACCTTTCTCCAGTCGCTCCAGGAATTCCTATGAGGTCCAGATGCCCTGCAGGGAAGGCCTGCCTCCAGCAGCAGCATCTGCCGCTTCCCGGCAAGCCTTCTGTGGAGACTGCGAGGGCTCCAAACCATCTGGCTGCCACCAGGGCTGGCTTGGGGGTTGCCCTCAATACTAATGGGGCTACAGAGTTCTCTCCAGGCTCAGTGCCTGCCTTGCATTCTCCCAGGAAGCCACTTTACCCTGTACTGTCCTTAAAAGAATTATAGGGATGTTTTAGAAGCAGCCTGGAACAGCAGAAAGAGCATATGAGTGAATCGGAACAGTGAGGGAAGAAGGAAAGCCACGTGCATAGAGTGCAGATTATTTGCCAGGCATAAGGCTGGATGTTTTCACAGGTGTTCTTGTTTACTGTAATTCTGACACACCTGGGAAAAGAGTATCCTCATCATACAGACAGGTTAGAGCAGCCATCCCTAGCCTTTTTGGCACCAGGGACCAGTTTCATGGAAGACAATTTTTTCACAAAACGGATGGTGGGGCAGGTGGTTTTTGGATAATTCAAGTGCATTACATTTACCGTGCACTTTATTTCTATTATTATATTACCTTGTAATACATAATGAAATAATTACACAACTCAACATAATGTGGAATCAGTGGGAGCCCTGAGCTTGTATTCCTGCAACTAGACAGTCCCGTCTCAGGGGGATAGGAGACAGTGACAGATCATTAGGCATTAGATTCTCATAAGGAGCATGCACCCTAGACTCCTCTCATGTGCAGTTCACAATAGGGTTCGCGTTCCTATGAGAATTTAATGCCGTCGCTGATCTGAAGGAGGCGGAGCTCAGGCAGTAATGCAAGCCATGCGGAGTGACTGTAAATACAGATGAAGTTTTACTCGCTCTCCAGCTGCTCACCTCCTGCTGTGAAGCCTGGTTCCTAACAGGCCATGGACCCAGGGTTGAGGACCCATTCTGGGGTTGGGAAGTTAGATGACTTCTCAATGTCCCACAGCTAATAACAGCAGAGCTAGAATTTATCCCCTGCTCTGCTCACAGCCGTAGCCCCAGCATACAGAATAGAGCACATGTTAGGCAATTTCTAAATATTTGTGGAATGGATACAAGATGCAGTCTGACTTAAAGCCTGTAGAGGCTCCTCCAGGGAAATGGTGCAGGTGAAAGTGCTGTTAACTGGCGATGTGTAGATGCAGAGTGGGGGGAGGTAACGTGGTGCCTGAGAGGCTGTTGAGTTGGGAATGTCACCTAGCCTCTCTGAGACTCAGCCTCCTCGCCAGTTAAATGGGGATAGTAAGATCTACCTTGCCACTTTGGCACCAGAAACAAACAACTGTGTCGTATAAGAACACACACTGCCAGTTAGAAGGTGCTGGGGAAGTGTGTGGTATACAGTCATCCATAGAAGTTGTGCCATTGGCCTCAGGAGGGCATTTCTAACTCCACGGAAGCCAGAGGAAAAGCAAGGGGTGAAAACAAAGCAGCCTTGGTCACAGCAGAAGGTGCAGTGATCTCATGTATTTCAACCTCAGGTTTGGGGCTTAATTAGCTGCTCTCTGGCATGCACCATAGACAAAAGAATTTCAGCAAGCCTTGTCTCCCTGCCTTTTATTTCAAATATGAGGGAGCAGATAGGTTAGAAGAAAACCCTGCTGCTCTTGCAGGGTGGTATTGATTCCTGGGAATTAAACAGTAATGCAAAGAGGCAGTGGCAGCCTCCCTTCCACCCTGCAGCAGGCAAACTGCCTAGGTTTATCAGAGAACCCAGAGCTCAGAGTGGCCACAGGGGATGCACTTCAGAAGAAGGCGCCCAAGCGTAGACAGGCAGGGTGGACTGCTTTCCCACACGCAGGTCAGGGGCAGGACTCCACCAAGAATGCCCTCTAGTCTGGAGGATTCATGCTCATGCCGCAGTCCCCTCCCCTCCCATCGGGATTCTAACACAGCTAAGATGCTAATGCCCTTTGCTGTCCATATCTGATCCTCTTCAAAGGAGAGGCATGAGTGTGTGTGTGTGTGTGTGTGTGTGTGTGTGTGTGAGAGAGAGAGAGAGAGAGTCTGTGTGTGTGTGTGTAAACATACATGCACCCAAAACCACACGTGCATATTCAACGCATTAGACAAATCATTCATGGGGGGTGGGGGGCATGTGGAATGGGAGTAGAAGACGGGGATAAAGGGTAAGAAATTGTTCAATAAAATCATAGGAGTCCATTGTTTTGGACTGAGCTCCTGCACTAGGCCCAGATCAAACCAAGATGGAGTCGCTTGCGCTAAGTGCGACATACTAAAATGGGAACTTTAAGGAAGCAGGAAAATCCCCCAAAGAGACCAGTCTTTCTTAAAAACAGAAGGTTCACAGCAACCAGTTGGAAAGGGCATGGTCATTTGAGCTGGCATGATAAGGAAGTCCCCCTGCTTTAACTCTTACAAGGAAAGTAACCTGAAGTAACCTGATGTTAACCAACCCACCTTTTTGTATCATCCCATTTCCTTTTTCCTACTCAAGCTACCTTACAATAACCAACTGCTTTGCTGCGCCCAAGAGAGCTCCTTCTGTCTTTTAGATACGAATGCCTGACTCATGAATCACTAGTAAGAGTCAATTAGAACACTAAAATCAATTTGATACAATTTTGTTTTATGACAAAATGCACACGCATATACACACACAGAACAGGGGAGGATCTTGCACAGACCAATGAAGATGATGTGTTATGAACTCAGGAGTGTGATTAATTCAACCCTCTGCACCTGACATCTAAAGAAGGCAAAAAGAAGAATACCCTGCTAGCACTCAGCGCACAAGAAAAGAAGGCAAAAAGAAGAATACCCTGCTAGCACTCAGCGCACAAGACCCCAGGGAGAAATCAGGCCCTGCCATTAATTGGAGCGAGACATATTCATTCATTTATTCCTTCCTTCAGATAGCTTCAAGAGCCAGGCATTGTGCTGGGGTGGGCGGGGGGTAGAGCAGCAAGATCTCTCTCCTCATAGCACTCTGGTTTCTGCAGGCAGACAGAAAAGTCCACAGAGGGTGACAACACAGGTGCCACAATGGAGCAAGCACAAGCTGCTCCTTGGACCACAAGAGACATGGAGAAGAGGATTAGAGAAGGCTTCTCAGGAGAGTCACATTTAACCTGATTTCTGAGGGGAAGGTAGGATTTAGCTAGGCTAAGAGCAGAGGTGATGCATTCAGGCAGTGTGAACGGCACTCCGCCGCAGTGAGAAGTGAGAGGGTGCTGCACAAGTGAGGAACTGAAAGGATTTTAATGGAACCAGAGAATAGACAGTTCAAGTGGGATGGGAGAGACTGAAGCTGAAAGCGTAAACTCTGCGAAGTCAGTGTGGAAGCTCAGGTTTGAGACCTGCTCTACACCTGTGGCTCAGGGAAGCTCCCTGAGCTTCCACACTCAAAGCCTCCTGTTACACAGGAGAGAGTAACACAAAATGACTGGCGCTGGGATATCAGGGTGCACACATGGTTCTGAAAACACAGACAAGGAAGTCCCTAATTCTGCCTGGGGGCAGAGCGGAGGAGAAGGAAGTGGGAATGGAATTGAGAAAATCTCAGAAAGGAAGTGTTATCTGAGCTGAACTCCAAACGAGTTTAGGATTCTACCTGCAGAGAAAGATGAGAAATTGGAAGAGCATTCCAAGCAAGAGACACTGCACTAAGCAAAAGCAAAAGCCTCCCAACTGATGTCTAAGTTGTGAACAAAAACATCAAAACCTGGCCGGGCGCAGTGGCTCATGCCTGTAATCCCAGCACTTTGGGAGGTGGAGGTGGGCAGATCACTTAAGGTCAGGAGTTCGGGACCAGCCTGGCCAACATGGTAAAATGCCGTCTCTACTAAAAATACAAAAATTAGCTGGGAGCAGTGGCTGGCACCTGTAATCTCAGCTACTCAGCCAGCTGAGGCACAAGAATTGCTTGAGCCAGGAGGTGGAGGTTGCAGTCAGCTGAGATTGCGCCACTGCACTCCAGCCTGGGCAACAGAGTGAGACCTTATCTCAAAGAAAAAAAAAAAATCAGAACCCTTAAACCATTCATGACTGAGAGTACCTTGGTAGCCCCCCACCCAGGTTTAGCCAATAGACTCAAATACTTTTTTAAAAAAAGATGATTCTGAGAATTCCTTATGTCCACGATTCAGATGCAGCCAACACCTTTTCTTCTTGAGAATTAGGAGTCATCTTTACCCACTTTAAGACTGCTAAGCAGAGTAGCAAACAACGACTCTCCTTTTTCTTGAGGAATGAAACATAAAAACAAAAACCCTGTCTTAAGAGGGGAAAAACCAACTCTCTCTGGGTCTGGAGCAATATTAAATTTTATCAGTTACTCGGCAGCCAGCAAAGCACAGAACGAAGCAGTGTGAAACCGCCCTTCAAAGTAACTGGAGTTGACAACTAAACTTGCTCAGTGAGGGGGGAGAAAAGGAGTTAATAGAGGAAGAAGTCAGGCCTTTTATCCTTCACCTGAGCTGGTCCCTTTCATATGCTAAGAGACCAGGAGCAAGCTGGGTGAGGGAATTCAACACTATGATTAAAAAAAAATCAACAGCCAGGCTAAGGCAGACATCTCCCCCTGAGTCCTACCATGACACCCAGGGTTTCAAAGAATAAGGTTGGCTTGCTGCTCTGGGCTGTAATTACCCAAACAATGACAATCTATTGAAGACAAGCATCCTGTCCCATTCCCCAAACACACAGCGCCCCCCAAATGGAAGCTTGGCATCCTGCACTGTAATTGCTAAATTTCCACACGTGGTTCTACCCTGGGCAATGCCTCCAGTAGGTGGACATAGTCTCTATTCTTGGATGTTCCATGGAACATCAATGGGTTGTTCCATGATGCCAACTAAAAGCCAGTAAAAATGGCTATGCTCTTGTCAGCAGAGAAGGTCCAAACAACCAGGAGAAAAATCCAGAACATTTGCTCTGGGGGCCTTTTTTATTAGTTTTCATCTAAGTGTTCAATTTTGAGAAGTTGGTGCCTGTAGAAAGCAAACAGCACATTCTACAGTCTGGATTTTCAAAGTTGGATCTTTGCATATTCCATGTCCCTTCTATCCCATGAAGATGAATTCATGAGTACAAATTAATGTGTTTGAAATATTTGCCATTTTGTGGTTTATTAAATGCATATTGGAAGATGCTAGATTTTTTTTTTTTTTTTTTTTTTTTTTGAGACAGAGTCTTGCTCTGTCTCCCAGGCTGGATTGCAGTGCCATGATCTCGGCTCACTGCAAGCTCCACCTCCCAGATTCACGCCATTCTCCTGCCTCAGCCTCCAGAGTAGCTGGGACTACAGGCGCCCACCACCACGCCCAGCTAATTTTTTGTATTTTTTTAGTAGAGACGGGGTTTCACCGTATTAGCCAGGATGGTCTCGATCTCCTGACCTCGTGATCCGCCCGCCTCGGCCTCCCAAAGTGCTGGGATTACAGGCGTGAGCCACATGCACCCAGCCGGAAGATGCTAGATTTTATAGACTGGACAGGGTTCTTAAATTAAGAAGGTAAAGAACTGAGAATGAGCCCAGCTATTCCTCTATTTCCAGTGAATACTAAAGGAAAAAAAAAGACAGGTCATATTAGAGCAATGGTTTCTGAGCATGGCCTCTACATTGGTAGCATCAACAGCACCTGGGAACTTGCTAGAAAAATAAGTTACTGGACGCCAGGACCCCACCGTCCAGACTAATGATCAGAAACGTGTTTTAACAGCTCCTCCAGGTTACTGGGGGTGCCTGCTCAGGTTTGAGACCTGCTCAACACCTGTGGCTCTTCATGCTGGCTGACAGTTAGCATCACCTGGTAATCATCACCTTTTCATTGCAGTGCCCCACCCACCCCAGACCAATTCAGTCAGAATACTTGGGACAGGGGCCTAGGTATTACTGCTTTTGATGCAAGATTTTTCTTCTCAGTCGCTTTGCAAGCCGGGGACCCCCAGCCAGTGACGCCCTGCCCAGGTCTCACTCAGCCCATCCAGCTCACCAACTATGTTATAGCTTGTACCCATATTCAGCGGTTCCGGATCTCTTGTGCCGCACCCAAGAAGAATGAGGATACGTGGGGCATTGAAGGGTGAGGAGGGCGGAGAATAATTTTCTTGAGCAGTGAAAACGGCTTTCAGTGGGGGGGCGGGGGGATGGTGGGGGGTGGAGGTGGGGCACTGGTTCCCCTACCCCAAGATTGGAAAGTTGTCCCCTCCCCGTCCCTCCCCACACCTTGTGTGACTGGGTCTGGGGCCTTTTATAGACTCAGAATGGGGACTGCCGATTTGTTTGTTAGTACGCAAAAAAAGGTTAAAGGGAAGACACCACTCAAAGGTGGGCATGACAGTGTAGAAAACCAATTAGGAAAAGGTAAGTTTATGTAAAATAAGCGAAGGGTGGGGATCAATCAGAGGAAAGTGTGCCAAATGGTAGGACAAGTTCTCAATCCAGTCTGAGGATTTAACATACAGCTTGACTTTCAGGTTTTAAACTCTTCGGCTTGGAGATGGGGTTTCACCGGGGACCCACCCCATCTTCCTACCCATTTGGCTGACTCCTGCTAGTTTGACTTTTAAAAAGCTCCCCGGGTGGCTTGTAATCCCAGCACTTTGGGAGGCCAAGGCAGGAGGATCACTTGAGGCCAGGGGTTTGAGACCAGCCTGGGCAATATAGTGAAACCCCATCTCTACAAATTAATTAATTAATTAACTAATTAACCAAGTGTGGTGGCTGGTACCTATAGTTGTATCTACTCAGGAGGCAGAAGCAGAAACCTGGCTCAAAAAAAAAAAAAAAAAAACTCTCGAGGTGATATGACTATGCAGGCAATGAGGCAATGTTGAGAGCCGCTATATATTAGAACATGAGAAATTTAGGTACTTTTGGGCCTCTCATTTTCAGTTTAGCTCAAAGTAATCATGGCTACTGAATGCCTCCTATTCATTGAAGAAGCTTTTGAGAAAAGAAGAGAGATTTCCATCTTCATGAGCAGGAGAGGTGAGATGTGAAGCTCACCAAAAGCATCAAAATTTCTACCAAATTCAATGGTGATAACAGTATTTAATAACTCATCCAGCAAAGACAGTTGCTCACCCGGAGAAAGGGGTGGGTTAGTCCCCACAGTCAGAATTCATTATAAGAGCACTGCACTCAGAGGCGGTAAAGAGTGACACGCACCTCCCACACACCTCAAGTCCAGATGCCACAATCCCCCACGGGGAGCTCAGAGCCTCCCACTCACTTCTTGGCTTTGAAGCCCTAAGTATCGAGGGTGTGTAAGACAGCAAGCAGCCTCTTCTCACCAGTGTCTGATGTCAGGGAATGTGCAAAAGGGTGACAGCCTGTCAGGGTAGAGCTCTAGGGGGCCACTCCCCTGGGATGGGCAGAGCCTCAGCATCCTACTTCACAAATAACTGTGAACTGGGGCCATCTTTCCACCAAACCAGGAACTTGACAATTAGCACATTATAACTGGATCCCCCAAACTGGGGGCCACTGGCATATTCCCAAGGACCCACATTTTTTTCCCCATTTAAAGGGATCTGAGCATTACTAAAATGTAAAAAACACTGTGGATTGGCTTTTCAACAGAAAGAGGCAAATTTTTTTTTAAGACAGAGAGTCAGGGTCTGTTCTGTCACCTGGGCTGAAGTGCAGTGGCAAGATCATAGCTCATGGAAACCTTGAACTCCTGGGCTCAAGGAATCCCCTCACCTCAGCCTCTCAAGCAGCTAGGACTATAGGTACATGCCACCACACCCGGCAAATTTCTTTTCTTTTCTTTCCTTTTTTTTTTTTTTTTTGTAGAGACAGAGGTCTTGCAATGTTGCCCAGGCTGGTCTCAAACTCCTGGCCTCAAGTAATCCTCCTCCCTGGGCTACCCAAAATGCTGGGATCACAGGCATGATCAACCTCCCTGGCTGAGGCAACATTATATAGGATGTTACCACAGAAATAATAGACAAACCCTCATGTTTCTACACTATGAGTAAGACTGAAATCTCCCTTTAAAAAAACAATTTTTAAAAAGATCAAATAGCTAAGACTGGAACCAGCTCAACAGCTGGCTACTGAATGTCCTTATAGAAACATCATCACCCTAACATCATCATCTGAATGAATCTAGAATATCTAAGCTTTTGGTTATTATACTGTCTTTCCATTAAATGAGGTAGGAGTAGAAAGAAAAAGACCATGCCTTTGTATCCCCTATGCCTGTGATTACACAGAGTCTGAATCAGACTGACCTGTGTTTGAATTTTGACCCTGACATTTATTTGCTCTATTTATTTGGCCTTGAATGCTAATGAAGTCTATGAATTTCAGGTTTTTCATCTCTAAAATGGGAATAATAAGCCTTAGTATCTAGGATCAGGGTGAGCAGAGAGAATGCGCAGATTGCATTTAGCACAGTGCCTAGAAACCAACAAATAGAGATATGATCATTAATTATTCACCACTGAACACTAGCTGAAGCTTCACCTCCTTTGTGTAGGCTTCCTTGACAAAAATGCTTACGCGCACGCGCGCGCGCACACACACACACACACACACACACACACACACACACACACACACACACTTTGTAGCTCTTGTACCCCAAATATGCATCTAGATTTTAGTCGTTATATATTGGGGATAGGTTTTCTTGTTCCCAGTGCCTAGCGCACACCGGGTATGTCATATGTATTAATATTTCTGCATGAATGAATGAAGCAAGCTATGCATATGTAGTAATAAGACAAGAAGCGGCTTAATTGGGATGGTAAGTGTAGAAAGGAAGAGACAGGAGAAGACAGTATGCAAGGAAATTGATCATAATGGTTGACTATGGATCTGACCAGTAAAGGAACATTGCTCTGCAGAGTTTTCGAATTACAGTCAATAATAGACACAGTTCATTCAGAAAGCTCTTCTCTGAGGATGTTCTAGGGAGGAGAGAGAAAGGGGCAATGCTCACACAAATGCTTAGAAAAAAATGTATTGGTTGTTTGGGTCTATGTAGTCCTCTGAAGCCAGTCCCATCTAAGGACTGAATACCTCCTGGACATTACTCAAGGACAAAGAGGAGCTGCCAGAGGAACCTGGGTCAGATCCAGCACCCTCCTTCCATCTTCCAATGCTTAAGAATTCCAGGCCTGGGTCTAATCACTACCTCTCAGTCTTCACCACCCCATCTGGCTTATCTTCTGCAGATTCAGCCCTTTGGAAGCCCTCCACTTACTCCCACTGAGACTTTCCTTTGGTTTCCGTCCCCAGCTAATCTCTGAATGACGTCTACAAAATACACAGTAACTTCACGGCCACAGGCATCTCCCTACCACCATCCTACTCCACACCCTATCTCTGGAATCTGAGCCCCAGCAATCTGCTCATCCAGGAAGAGGCTTAATCATTTTTGTCATTTCAGAAGGTAACTGAAGAAACAAAACCGAAGTAAATCAGCTAAGAAAGCAGACACGAGAGTTTTCTTGCTGTCTAGGCATAGGAAACTCCTCCTCCCACCCCTGCAAACTAGGGCGTGAGTACGTGGACAAGCCATCTTAAAAGGCTGCAATAATGTCTATACCCACATTCTGAGAAAGCCTGGCCAACAAGACACACAGAGACAAAATGCTAACATGATTAACTCCAGTCCCCTAGCCATCCTTCACAGCAATGGGGGTTAGTCACAGGAAAAGTAGGCCTGCTGAGCAAGCCGTTGACTTTTATCTTTAGACTCCAGCTGCTATCCATCAGTATCAATATTTCACAATGTAATCAACTTAGCCCTAGTCTGAGTCCAGGATATCTACATCATCAGGAGGACTCACCGCATCCTGGTAGCTAAGGACTTCCAAGATGCTGTTGAGCAATTCAACGCAGTACTTCCTCTCCAGGACCTGGTGTTGCATGTCATCCTTCTGCTCCAGCAGCTCCTTCAGCTCTTTGGTGATGACAGGAAGCAGAATGTCCCGGCATTCTGGAATAAAGACAGTTCAGAGTAGTGTAGAATTCCTCATTTTTTAGTTTCTTTTCTTTCATATATGCATACAATGTTTCATTAAATAAATAGTTCATGAAGACATTCTCCTTGTAAAAAATTAAAATATTAAAGATTAGGTTAAGATTTCCTGAGAACATCATTCACAATTCTAGTCCCTTTTCTAACCCTTCCTACCCAGAGGCAACCAGTTATTTTATTCTGTATATTCTAGTATGTTCTATATATTTTATATATACACATACATATAAAAATGTGCCATATGAAATATCTAGTGTTATTTTAACTTTGCATTTCATTTAAGTCTATTACTGTCACTATAAACTTCCAAGACCCTTTTATACAATTTTACTTATGTGTTTATCAGTATAAAACATATAGTTATTTTGGCTTTGTTTCCATTTTATACAAGGGGACCATGATGTATATATTACTCTGAACCTTGATTTTTTTTCACTCACTAATATTTCTTGGAGCACTTTCTGTATTATCACATTTAGGGACCAACTTAGTTATTTTTAACTGTTTTATAGTACTCCTTATCATGGATGTATTTTTCTATTCAGCCATACCTGTACTACTGAACATTCTTCTCTGGTACAGACAGTACAAAATGAACAACCTTCCACTTGCATCCTTCTGCACATTGCTTTCATTTACCAGCATGGCCAACGTGGCGAAAACCTGTCTCTACTAGAAATACTAAAATTAGTTGGGCATGGTGACATGCGCCTGTAATCCCAGCTCTTTGGGAGGCTGAGGCAGGAGAATCACTTGAACCCAGGAAATGGAGGTTGCAGTGAGCTGAGATGGTGCCACTGCACTCCAGCCTGGGTAACAGAGTGAGACTGCATCTCAAAAAAAGAAAGAAAGAAATTAAAACTTTTGCAGAGAAGGGTATGTCTCTTGACATTGCTGTTTCAGGGAAATTTCTGGAAGGTTCTGAAGCCCTTCGCAGCTTTGTCTCCATATTTCCCTTGAAAACAGAAAACCTTGAGGAAAAAAAAAAAATCCAAACATGTGTCAAGCTGCCCCGACTCAGATGCTGCTTGAGCTGCAATATGAATCATACACACCAGGATATCATTTTAAATCTAACAAATAGATGTTGGACATCTTTAATGTGAAGATACTCTCCTTATCAAGGTACAGAGATAAGATGTGGTTCTGCCCATTAGGTACTTAAAAACTGACAGAGGTGATTACAGGAAAAAAAAAAAAAAAGCAAAACCAATGAACAATGGCAGAAATTAGAATAAGACAAAGGTCAGAAGAGGTAGAGGACATCTCTTATTCTGTCAGCCCAAGAGCTACACCCACTCCTTCTGGCACAGCACCCTGACTGTACGTGGGGGAGTCATACTGTCATGGGCTATAATCCTGAGAAGCTGTCATAGGCTCCCTGCCTTCCCCTGGAGAAGGGCTGGACACCTGGCCCCAATTAGGATGGCCTCCTGAAATCTGAATCTTGAGGGAACGTTCATAATGATAACTGCCAACGGTACTAATACACAGTATTTTGAGTGCTTACAATGTGCTAGGCACTGTTGCAAGTGTCGTGCATGAATCATCTCAGTAAATTCTCCTAGTGACTAAGGGAGGTAGACACTATTATTTCCCCGTTTTGCTGATGAGGAAACAAAGGGACTTGTCATGTGTACACAGCTAGTAAGTGGTAAATCCAGCCCGACTGCAGAGACTGTGCTCTTAAGCACTACATGAAATGTGCAGTCTTGGCTGGGCATGGTGGCCTACGCCTGTAATCTCAGCACTTTGGGAGGCTAAGGCAGGTGGATCACTTGAGGTCAGGAGTGTCAGACCAGCCTGGCCAATATGGTGAAACCCCAAGTCTACTAAAAAAAAAAAAAAAAAAAAAAAAAAAAAAAAAAACCCAAAACTATCTGGGCATGGTGGCAGGCACCTGTAATCCCAGCGACTCAGGAGGCTGAGGCAGGAGAATAGCTTAAGCCAGGCAGAAGCTTAAACCAGGGAGGCAGAAATTGCAGTGAGCCAAGGTCACACAACTGCACTCCAGCCTGGGCAACAGAGCTAGACTCCATCTCAAAAAAAAAAAAAAAAAAAAAAAAAAAAAGAAAGAAAGAAAAGAAAAAAGAAAAAGAAAAAAGAAATATGTAGTCTCTCAGGCTCCGCTTTCATCCCAGAAGTGCCCCAAGGAGGCTGCCCAGGGGCACATGCTGAGTCCCCTCTCCCTCCAAGATTCTGAGTCTCTCCTCTCCGATAACTAGTTCCTCAGCATTTCCTCTGATTCTATGGATTATTCCCTTTCTTCTAAATACATTTGTTTTTACTTAAATTTACCAGAGTAGGATTCTGTTGCTTGAAACCAAAGAGTCCCAATTTACAGAGTCACAAAACAAATTGAATGCTTCAGAAGCCCTCTCATGAGCTCTGGTCAGAAGGTTCATAGAAGACTTTATAGGATCTAATAAGAGTATATCCCTTCTCTCAGAGCCAAATCTCAGTTTTTAATTAAATTCCAATAAACGTAATTAATGTCCATTCATCCCACTAAAGATTAAGCTCCATGAGAGCTGAACTAATATTCAAGTGCCTGATACAGTACCTGGTTCATAGCAGTGAGTCAGTAAATCTTGGCTGAATGAATGGAGGAGGTGGCATTTGAGACAGTCCGTGACAAGTGGATAATATTGCAATAGGAAGAGTGAGGATTTAGGGAACACTGGTGGTTTAGAGAATATAAATCTAGGGTTATATTCTCTTGGAAGGAGAATAATGAAAGATAACACTTAAAAGAAGTGTTCTTAATTGCAATGGAAGTGTCAGTTCTATGGAAACAGAAAATTATAGATGACAAAAATTTTGATTCTGCTTTGCTTAAAATTGTAGATAGAATCATAGGCCACAGCTTTAATGACACTTTATGAGAAATTTGGACTGAAGATATTGTTGGGGCTGAGCATGGTAGCTCACTCCTATAATTGCAGCACTTTGGGAGGTGGAGGCAGTAGGATAACTTGAGCCCAGGAGTTCAAGACCAGCCTGGGCAACATAGGAAGACCCCATCTCTACCAAAAATTTAAAAATTAGCTGGGCATAGTGATGGATGCCTGTAGTCCCAGCTACTCAGGAGGCTGAAGTGAGAAGATCAGAGCCCAGGAAGTAAAGGCTGCAGTTAGCCATGATCACACCGCTACACACCAGCCTGGGCGACAGAGTGAGACCCTGTCTCAAAAGAAAAAAAAACCAACTCGTTGGCCTAAGGACTTTTGAGAGTACAATACATTGATTAGCCACTACCCTTTGTTTAGAAAGATAAGGAAGAAAGTTGGAGAAAATATATCTATTACTTTATCAATTACCCTATTACTTAAGTTAAATATTTAGTCCATATCTTGCCATCATAAAGTTGAGATTTTCATCCAGATGTATTTATTAAGCAGGGTAAAAAAATGTCTTACAATATTCATTAAAAAGTTTATTTTAAAAGTTATCTTCTCTTTTTTCTTTTGCCTGGCTAAAAGTTATCTTCAAAAGGATGTGAACTTGTAATTTTGCAATCTTTTGTTTGCTAGAGGGAAATTAGGTGTTGAAATTCTTGTTGTAGAAAAACCAGGTGAGTTCATCTGAAGTGGTAAATGCTTTGTCATTGGGATACGAATAACTTCCCTAACTTAATGATACTTAGCTTCCCAATTATGCCTTCATTGATGTGATAATTAAGCCCAACCAGAAGATAAAAATTGTGCATTATCTTACTAAGTTAGATAAAGTGGTAAAGTCTTCCTCTTTGAAAAGTAAAATAAGAGATTCTAAAAAAGGAGATTTAAAATACAACAGAAAGTCTTGTTTTTCCACAGTCCTCTGGGTAAAAGGGAGTCACCAAAAGATGTGCCTTCAGGAAATCTGTGTCACTGCAGTGAAGATGCCATGGTGATGACAATCCAGGTGATGACAATGAGTATAAGAGTGCGCAGGTTGTCCCCTAGATTCCCAGCTTCTGACATAACGTATTTGGATTCTGCTGAAGCTAAAGATTTGATAAACTCTTGAAGCAAGGTAGTAAGAAACAAATCAAGCGTGGTCAATTGCCTTGAGCTTAAAGTACAAGATGACAATGTTTTAAGGCTTAAAATAGCTTTTTGTGGCTCAAGATTAAAAATTATTTAAAACTTTCTCCACCTGTAAAATGAGGTCAGTTGGACCTACAGGAAGGAACTATGTAAAGGCAGATCAAGAGCTAACCCATTCACACATTTAACTGACTCTTTCAGTCAGTCATTCTACACATTTATGGAAGGCTTACTATGTGCCAGTCACTATTCTAGGGTGGAAAGGAATGACCAAGGGTTAACTACCCAGCACTGCACGGAGCCAACAGAGATAAGAAGCAGACTTGAGTAGACAGGAAAAACACTTAGTACCTTTACATCTTAGGAGTGGCAACCTATTAGGAGTGGTCATAAAACAGAGCTGTGGAATAACTGAGGTCAGGGTTTTCCTTAAAAGGTCATTCTGTTAGCACTCTAGTTGAGATACCGCACATAAATCCCATTACTAAGATATGAATCCAAGGAAAAAGCCACTTAGGAGATTTTAGATATGAAAGATCTCCTTGGTAAGTCACCAGACTTTAAATCCCACTTAAAATTGAACTAAGCTAGTAGATTTTTCACGGGAAAGTCTGGCAGTAAGTTCTCCATTCCTAGAAGTATACAAGTAGTAGGTTGCTGTCTATAGATAGGCACAAGGAAGAGGTAAAGTATCAGATGAAGGGATGAACTGAATGATTATTAAGGCCACATGCAAAATTCTAGGATTCTACAAAACATAGGTTCCGAGGAAGTTGCAGGAGGAAGGATATATTTGCTAGGTGGAAAGACAGTGGGTGTTTGCCTTGCTCACAGAGTACTGAGGCTGTGGGAGCTGCAGACCAGGCACTAGGAGAAGCAATGGTTTATCAACCTGAAAGGCAGCTGCTTTACAGATTCTCAAAACCAGCATCCCCATAAGATGGAGGCTCATGGTGTGGAGAGTCAGCAAGATTTTCACTGAAGAGACCATTAATAACATGGCCTGTTTTTCAGAAGGTACTCTGTCTTCTCTTTAACCATGATTTCTCAGAAATGTCTGGCTCCTGTTTGTAGATGAAATAATTTTTCTCATTTGTAATTGGAGCTGTGAAATTATATTAGTCGTAAAGCTTCAGGAAGCAGCATTTCCAAATTGCTGCTTGATTGTCAAGCCAACAAACACAAATGGTTTTGAAGATAAATAGTTCACACCCTGAAATAAATCTTCATAGGCAGAGGTAATGAATGTCAGAGACCTGCACACCCAGGCTGGGTTCCTGCCTTAGGTATCCAATGTCTGACAAAGGCTGGGAGACTTACCACCGAGTGACAAGTCCAAATTATAATTCAGACCAGCCATGGGGGAATCTGCAGAACTACTCAACTCTTTGGGTTTTAATTGAAAGGGTTTTCTTTGTCCAAGTGACTGCAGAGAGGAAAATGCGGTATTTCTGGGTTCTGGGTCCTCCCTTAGGAAAGTTTTGTCATGTGGCGGTCAGTGCTACCTACCTGAATGCAAAGCCCTCTTGAAGTGTGGTGTGCTTTTGCAATTATTTGATGGCTCAGGGACACTTCAAATAAGAGGACCCTTTTTTCACCTGCTCCTTGCCAGTATCAGCTCCATTGGAAGAACTAAATGAAAATTCTTTGTCACTTTGGAAAACCACCTTGAGGTGCATCCAGCCAAAATCACATCTGCAATCACAGCCACAATCCAGCTCCAGCAGAAAACACTTCTAAAAACCATATCTGAATTGACCCTCTTCCCCACAAGTCTGTTCTTTCTCCTTTGCTGTCTCTCAAGAGTGAGGACACCCCCAGTCACACAGTCAACCAAGCAAAGAAATCATCTTTCAGTTCTTCTCTTTACATCAGCATCTAATCCATCATGAAGTTATGTCCATTCTACCCTCAAGCCAACTTCCTTCATGTTCTGTGTCAAGTCTCCTAACCACCCTACCTGCTCCCTGCACAGGAGTCCCTTGTGGTCAGGAAATTCTTCAGTAACTTCCTATTGCCCTCAGAATGAGTTTTTTCAACTCTCTGGCATGGCTGGAGGCCATCTGTGAGCAAGCTCTTCCCTTAACTCATCGTGGGCGCTCACCACTTTCCACTCCTCCACCTCCCTCTCTCTGTTCCAACCACAAACTCTCTCCTTCTCCTGAATTTTTGCATGTTATTTTCTTTGCCTAGAATACTCTTGTCCCAGCCATCTTCTCCTGACTCCTTCCCTTCTAGCTGTTAACTTAGATGTCAAATCCTCTAGGATGATTTTCCTGACACCCCGCCTTTGCCTTGGGTGACTCTTCTTCATTCCTATAGCACCCAGAATATATTTCGATATATTTCCATCTTACTATTTATCACACGATATGGTCATTGTCTATGTAACAGGAAAACCAGTGAGATTCTTGCTGTCATCCCATAAATGAAAGTAAGGCCCAAGCTGTAGTTGGGGTACACCATCATCCCTCCAGGTTTTTTGAGAGGTACCAGTTCAGGACCAGCCCTACACCAATCCACATGCACTCACCCAGAAATAATAGAAGGTCAGCAGTGGCCTTTTGATATAATGCAATTTCCATGGGATATGCCATTACCCCTCTCCTCCATGAAACTCATGTTGAGAGAAGGAGAACCCAAAGAATCACTCATAAAACATAAGACAAGATGGACACTATATCCCTGCTAGGGAAATGCTTGCCAATCTGTGAACCCAGGTACATCCTGGTCCCACCATCAGAATACAGATTTTAGGACATTCTGGAGTGTAGTGCACGGTACTTCTCTAGCCCCTCTCTTAGTGTTGGGGAAGAGGGTTAAACACAAGCAATGCATCTGTGTCAGGGCTCAGTCACATCCTCAGCATGAGTGCCCACGTTTCTAAGCCTGACTGTGGCAGCCTGCACTTGGAATCTCATTCCACTCATAACCAGCCCCAGACTTTGTCACCAGCACGGGTTAATCGACTCTTCAATCCTGTTCCATTTTTCACAGACTTTAAGGTGAAATTCATTCGGCTTTGGCCAAGTTCCTATTGACTGAAAGTCGAATTCTCCTCAGCTCAACTCTCTCGGAGGACTGGCAATGGGGAAGGGGCGGGGGATGCTATAGATATCACAGCTCACCCTGCCCTCCCTGTGTAATTGAAACCCAAAATTCTCCCAGGCAGGGCTGACCAGTGTAAATCCAGCTCTGCTCTGCCAGGCTGCTTTTCTTCTGTTCGGTTTGCGAGCATTTGCAGATGTTGAAAGCCACTTGGTTGGATCAACTGGACACAAAGGGAGATCTCCATAGACATGATTCTAGTCTGACAGTTAGCAATTTGTTCTCACAACCTCCCTCCTCCAGCCAGCATATCACGAAGAAAACTAATTCCGCCCACTGGGAAATCAATAACTACCCACAAATTTCATATTCCAGATCAGGTTACAAGCCTTTTACAACTTCACTAGCATTTTCCCCCAACGCATTCTTCAGCAGCTCCCCATGAGTCACTTGCCTCACCCCCAGAAACATGCCTCATTACAACACCCAGAATCATCACCTGCAGCCCTCTGGCGAGCCTCCGGCGCCATCTACGTCTCCACTTTATGAACCCCTCGGGGACCAAAATGTATCTCCCAGCTAAACAAACCCGGCCTATTTAGAAATGTTAGAACTCAGCACCTGGTTAAAATTCTCTCCAGGTATCTTAGAAGGGAGAAAATATAGTTAGGCGGTAAATCCTTAAGGAAAAATGTACTTCCAGAACTTTATACTAGATATCCATCGAAAGTCCAAACCAAGCTCTTGCTTTTACCATATATCCTTTATATTGAACGTAAAAAGTGATTTTGCACTAAACCTAATAAGCAAATACCCTATAAGTTGGCTCATGCCATTTAGAAACACAGAGACAGCAGGGAGGGTGGACTGACATGTAACTGATGGAACTGTTACTGTATATGTGTGTGTAGGGATGGGGTCTTGGTATGTTGCAGGCTGGTCTCAAACTCCTGGGCTTAAGCAATCCACACACCTTGGCCTCCCAAAGTAAAGAACTTTTTTGTGTGTTTGTTTGAGACAGAGTCTCGCACTGTCACCCAGGCTGGAGTGCAGTGGCGCGATCTCTGCTCACTGCAAGCTTCGCCTCCCAGGTTCATGCCATTCTGCTGCCTCAGCCTCCCAAGTAGCTGGGACTACAGGCGCCTGCCACCACACCCAGCTAATTTTTTGTATTTTTAGTAGAGACGGGTTTCACCGTGTTAGCCAGGATGGTCTCGATCTCCTGACCTCGTGATCCGCCCGCCTCGGCCTCCCAGAGTGCTGGGATTACAGATATGAGCCACTGTGCCCAGCTAAAGTAAATAACTTTTAACAGGATGTGAATATGTTTGTATCCCAAAAAGTCACACTGATTATAAATATAATTTGAAAGCTCTGAGAGTCGACATGCAATATATTTATATCCTTAAACATGTATGTTTAAATATATATACATATATATGCATACACACATAGTCAATACTCACTGTTCTCATGGATATTATATTCTAGTAAAGTGCTAAAGTGCTATAAATAATTAAATAAACAAGATAATAGTTGTCTTAGGTTAGATACTCCAGAAGCAAACTCTAACATGAAGTTTGGATGAAGAGGACTTATTAGGAGATGTTCCAGAAAAATATGCAAGAGGAGTGGGGAAGTGGAGGGAAGGAGGCCAAGCCGAGTACAAAAATCAAGCAAGCCTCACAAAAGGTAACTTTTGAACTCAATCCTATGAGGAGTTCTGGAGACAGTGTAGACTCCAGGGGTGATGAACCTGGAATGTTCAGACCCGGCGGGTGGACTGCGCTTTCGGTGGTTCCAGTTCCCGGGAAAAGTAGGGTCCTGCAGCCCGAGGGCAGCCCTGGGAGGCAGGTGCTGGAGTTGGGGGCCATGAGAGCTGATGTTACAACAATGGGCGCTGATAACTACCAGCAAGGAAATTAACCAGGTGACAGGATGAAGAGAATCTAGGGGCCTGTGAAGACCACTTCATACAGTGCAGTCAACGAAGGCCTCGCTGAGCCGGGCACACTTAAGCTGAGACCTGAACGGGGAGAAGGCAGCTGCATGCACTGATTTCAGGGAGGCACACTTGGAGAGGAAAGGGCATGGAAAGGCTCTGGGGTGGAAATCTGCAGAACTTGGAGGAATGATGTGGACACAAATGTGGCTGGATTGCAGGAAACAGGGGTTTAATGTGAGATGATAAATTTGGAGAAGTTGCCAGGGCCAGGTCTCATCAGGCCCTGGGGCCCATGGTAAAAAGTTTGATTCCTGGGTAGTGATAAACACTTTTCATTTTTGTGTTTTTAATGGCGGACCTAGAGAGGAAGGTGGGAAAACACTGAGGAGGCTTTCTGTAGAGGTAAAGAAGGGGTCTTGTACTTATTGCACCCTGACTGTCTACCAGGCATTCTCTCTATGAAGTATATCATTATACCTATTTTACAGATGAGGGAACTGAAGCCTAGAGAGGTTCAGTAACTTGCCTAAAATCACACAGCTAGTAAGCAGAGCTGCATTAAACTCAGGAAATATGATTCCAGAGCCCATATTCATACCTATTAAACTATCCTGCTTCCTTACTATAACAGTGCAGGGGAGAGAAGACAAAAGCTTGATTCATTTGCAGCAGTAGAGACAAGGGTGCAAGTACAGAGGGAAGTCGATGAACATGGGTTATTTTTTGAAGGCAGAGTCGACATGACCTGCTGATGGATTAGATGTGCTACATACCTGTGTAAGCATATGCATTTTGGAGCATTTGAGTGAGACAGCAATAGATTCATTTTAGGGTTTATCAAATTAGGGTGTAATCATAGAGACCATTTCCTGGCCTCAACTGGCAAGTAATGAAAGACTCCCATCAACATCTCTCCGATGGCAGGAAATGGCCACTGAGATAGCCTATCATCACGCCTTCTGAAAGCTACTAGGACATAAATAGTGTGTTCTGAAAGGTACTTGCACCCTTAGTTACCCCACTGCACTTGCCTGCAGCTGCTGGCTGGCCTCCTCATTGCTAGCTTGCTCATTAAATCCAGCTCCTTAGAAATGCTTTGGGAAAAATAAAAAGCCAATCCAGCTCCTTAGAAAGTGCTTTTAGAAAAATAAAAATGCATATATGGCCAATTGAATTGGGACCCAAAATTTGATTTGTTTCCTAATGCTTAGAATGATTACATTTGCAGTGCCACACCAGATGAATGCAGTTTGGGCTGTTGGAAGACTGTGCACCCACCTCTTCATCCTGGTGATGAAAGGAGCAGCAAATAAAAAAGCTTCTGGCTGACGAAGCTGCCTCTGTACTGGATAATCTTGACAGTCTTTAAAGAAGGATTCCTAGCTGGGTGCTGGGCATGCACCTGCAGTCCCAGCTACTCGGGACACTGAGATGGAAGGACTGCTTCAGCCCAGGAGTTCAAGGCCAGCCTGGGCAACATAACAAGACGCTCATCTTTAAAAAATATTTACGTATATATGCACACACACACACACACACATATATAAAATATATGTACACATATACATGTATACATATATAAAATATATATACACATATACATGTATACATATATAAAATATATATATACACACACACACATTACATAAATAAAGCAAGATTTTTAGGAAAGTGCTCTACTTCAAATTCATGCAAGAGGAAAAATGAGTCCAGTAACGTTGTGACTATGAAGATCTGTGTCTCACATCCTTTGACACCATTTCCAATTCGATGACATCTGAATTCACATGGATTTATAAGTGCTCAGGACACCTATCAGATTGGTCAGCACCTCCCACACCCTTCCAGGGCTATCATCCCTGACCCACTGTCTCTCATTTACATCACACCATACAGAATCCCTTATTCCCTCATGCCAGTCTCCTCTAGAGACTCATAGAATTCCATGGTTTCATGACTCTCAATCTCTACTTAACCAGGAACTCCTACACTTTTATCTCTTTATTAGCTAGTCCATGGTCACATACTCAAATAGAGTCTTCTCAGCAGCCAGGGTCACTATAACATATTTTTTTAAAGGGACAGAAATTATTGGTGTGAAGGGGAGTGAGAGAGTGGAATATTAATTGTGAGAGATATGCAATGTACATTGAACTCCTGCTAGATCCTAGGCATCATACTGAGAATTTATTTAATCCTTACCAAAACCTATTCAATGGATTGCATTGTCCCCATTTTACAGATGAGAAAATAGGAGCTCCATGTAGCTCACCCAGCTAGTGTGTCTCCAACAGAGGCAAGGCCCCAGCATGGACCTGTCTGACTCCAACGCCAGTGTTATTCCAGCCCCACTCACTCCGGCTCATGAGTGCAGGGCAATTATTACCAATTTCTAGATTCTGCTAGCTTGAGGCAGCCACCCTCTGAGTTTGTTAACTCCCTTAAGTTGGCCTTAAATAGAAAATCCAAGACCTGGATAGCTTGGTCTGTTTAATGATTGATTGATGTTTGTTGTGGTTTTATAAGTTACAGTCCCAGGGGACTGAAAAGAAATCTCAGTCCTAGAACCTCAGAATTAAACAATAATGAGCATTAGTCAACTCAGTGGTTGAGTCTTTAGTCCAATCATTCACTTCTTTCATTTTTTTATTCAACTATAGTCGGTTGGGCTTCCCCATCGCATTGCAGTTGGCTAGCAAACAGCAATCATGACTTCAAGCCATTCGCTACCTTTTCCTCATCAGACAGTGAGAGCCTGGGGTGAGATATCCAATCTCAATCAAGTCATGTCTCCTACAGTTCCTAGCACAATGCCTGTTATCCAGTAGGATCTTAGTAAGTGTTAGATGAATGAGTGAGTGTTTGCTGAAGGCAAATAAGGGGCCCGTATTTAGGGCAACTCACAGAATCAGAACCCTGTTTAGTGTTGGATTGATCAATACTCATTATTCAGTGTTATCCTTGAGGAAACTAGGTGGTAGCAGCTGGGGGTGGGATGGGAGGTGTAGAAGGAGAACTGCATGTGTGTTTCTTTACCTTCACCACCTCCCCTGAGCCGTTTTACCTAATCATAGAGGAAGGCATGGCATAGTAAGTAGAGCTTTGGGTTAAAGGTTGGGAGACCTGGGTTTGAATCCCAGCCTTACTACCACCAGGCTGTGTGTAACCTTGGATGAGCCATTTCACTTCTCTCCCTCCAAAAATGGAGATGAGAATGACTCTTTCATAAGAAGATCAAAGTAAAACATGATACAAATTCAGTTGCAGTTATTAAGTGCAATGAGGCATTGGGATCCAATGCTATGCAGAAGTTTTTCAGTCCAAAGGAGAGCATGTTAAAGCTTCAGTTTCCTTCCACTGTTGCTAACTTATAAATTTTACAAATGCCTGGTCCAGACAGGCTGGAATAAAGTGGACTTAAAGCTATTATCTGCATCATTCAAACAAACTACACTTTGGTCTGAATACCAAACTCAGAGAATTGAGTTCCAAGAGGTGGGTATAAATTGAAATAATTGGGATATATGCCTCAGATTTCCATTTTCCCTTTTGTATGTGGACAGACTAATGGAGGGCTCAGGCAAGCGTTCTCTGAATGTCCTTTTTAATTTCTGTTTGCAACTTAGAATAATAATACCACGTACTGACAATCCTCAAGCCACACATGAACAATCCTATATTGCCCCCATCACAAAACTTACAAATACCAAAAAGAACAAAAGCCAACAGCAATGTTTTGAATCAATATGAGCAGCTAGCATTCCATTTCTGGGAAAATCATGCATTAAAAGCCTCTTGTTTACATTTTAAGGCTAACAGAGGGGCCCTTCATTTCAGAGAATTAAATGAGAAAATTATCCTGGATTCAAGCATTAGCAAAATGGAATGGTTGTGTAATTGTTTCCAATCATCATCTGATTCTCCTCTTCCCTTACCTTCCCCATATCAGCTCTGAAGAAGAGGAGGCTGAAGCTCCTCTCATTTACAGCTCCACAGATTTAAAACCTAGTGTTGTTTATTACAAAAGGAAAACCAAGAAGTATACTATATTTCAAATAAACTGAAGAACTGGAAGCAAACTTCAAAGAGGAAAGGAAAAAACCACAGCCATTTTTCTCCCTATAAATAAAAATGGAAATGGGAAGAATTTATCCGCTGGCCTGGTTTTCTTTTCTAAAAGCACTCAGCTAAGAAGATAGAGAGATGAGACAGACTTGAGGCAGGGGCTCTTGCCTGCTTTATTTCTTCACTTGTGAAAAAGAGCCAAGGGGAGCCCTTCCCTAAAAGGCCCAAAGCAAAGAGTGATTTAAGAAATGTATCATAAACTTAGGCCCAATATTTAAATAAGAGGATCAAAGAGATTTTGCTTGGACTCTACAGCAATAAAAGAGGAACTGGGGAAAGTATGAGATGGGAGGAAATAAAGATAATAAATATCAGTTAAAGACATGTAATGAGCTCTCTGTGCAAACAGATGACAACATATGCTCCTTACCTTTGAACAGTCCATGTGTACTAAAGGAAAGAAGCAGTCAATTGATGGGAGCAGTAAGAAAACATATGTACAATGAAACATATTACATTTCACAGAACTACCATTTGATCCAGCAATCCCATTACTGGGTATTGACCCAAATAAATATAATTCGTTCTATTATAAAGACACATGCACACGTACATTCATTGCAGCACTATTCACAATTGCAAAGACATGGAATTAACCTAAATGCCTATTAATAAAAGACTGGATAAACAAAATGTGGTACATATACACCATGGAATACTATGTGGCCATAAAAAAGAACAAGATCATGTCCAAAGGTATGAGTGGAGACAGGGACATGGATGGAGCTGGAGGCCATTATCCTTAGCAAACTAATGCAGGAACAGAAAACCAGATACTACATGTTCTCACTTATAAGTGGGAGCTAAATGATGAGAACACATGGACACTCAGAGGGGAACAACCCTCACTGGGGTCTATCGGAGGGTGGAGAGTAGAAGGAGGGAGAGGATCAGGAAAAATAGCTAATGGGTATTAGGCTTAATACCTGGGTGACAAAATAATCTGCATAACAAATCCCCATGACACAAGTTTACCCATATAACAAACCCGCACATGGACCCCTGAACTTCAAATAAAAGTTAAAAAAAGAAACATACCATATTTCAAATTATGCTCAGTGCCCCCAACATGAATCTACAATTGTACTCCTATGAAATTGCAAGTAATTTTGCACATTATTTGTTCATGTGTTTATTATTAGTTATAAGTATTTCTTTATACATTACCTTAGTCCAAAAAGAATGAAAGAAGAAAGATGACATCCCAATGGAAAAGACAACATGAGCTCCAACTGCCCTTACTGGGGCCATAAGGGCAGCCCTCCAAGTTCTAGAGTTTGTTGATCATTAGGATAGAAGAGGACAAATTCCTTGCAGGAACCATAGCTTTTTCTGGCACGAAATTCTTAAAGAAATTTTTCATATTGTGTTTTAATGTTAATGTTCTACACTGAGTTTAGTAGTCATTTGCTGCTTTTGACTCAAATTGTGAAATCTTAGCTCTGAAAAGAACTGGAGAGAAGCTAATGGTTTCAAGTCACTTGACTGTGTTTAGTGCTCTTGTGAAACATAAAAAAAATAAAGGGAGGAGGTTTCATGAGCGTGTGCTTGTCCCTCCATGGCACTTCCGTTTCTCTATTCATGTGAAAAAGTATGTGTCAAGCGTCTGCCAAATGCCAAGCATTCCATATGACACACGGGTGTACAGGACCAGCATGCAAGTGATAAAGAGAGAGATGTGACCAGATTCAAGGCATATATGAGAAAGGTTCAAAGGCAGAAAAATCATGGAAGAGCAGAAGGTTTTCTTGAAAAGAATGAGTAAAGTTTTGGAAATAATGAGTTTGAGTATCTATAAGACACTCAAAACGAGATGTCAAAGGAATGATTGGCTAAATATGTCTGAAAATAATCTAGTACAAATGGGTAAGCATCAGTTTAACCATATGAGAGATACAGTGGATGCGGCTGCCCCCTACAAAAAAAATAATTTCCCATGGGCAATTACAATGCATTTAGCAGAGAGTGGCTTCTTAATTTTATTTGGTGGTGCTCATGAAGACCATGATAAAATGAAAAGGAGCAGAAAAAAGAGAGGAAGAATGAAGAGAAAAAGAAAAAAGAAGAGGTAAAAGAGGAAAAAAAGACGGAGAAAAAGAAGAAAGAGGAGGCAAAGAAAGAGAAGACAGACACAGAAGAGGAGGCAAAAAAAAAAAAAAAGCAAAAGTGGAGGAGGAAAAGCATAGCAACTGGGCAAGAATGAGGACTGACTGAGGAGAAATGAGTATGGGAAGCTGGGACAAGGGAGCCACAACAGGCCCAGAAACAGGAGGGATTTTCACTTGAAATTTTTAGACTATCAAAAGGACAAGGTTAAGACTGAGCCCAAAGGTGGCTAAGCAGCCCAAACTGGCAGGGGGCCCAGTGAGCCCACCTGTAAGTTTGTCAAAATTTCAAGTAGTGACAGTTGGGTGGGAGCTGGGGGACAGGATTTTCTGGGAGTAACAGTCAATGACTTCTTCTAGAGCACCTATCATGCATCTGAGTGTTGAAGGTAGGGATGGAACCATCTTTTCCCTCAAAGACTCTGCTAGAGTACCATGCACAGCCCGTCAGCCCAAGACAAGGTGGAATGATAAACTGGACTATGAAGAAGAGGAATGGAAGGAAATGTCGGCCATCAAGGAGGCTCCATTCTCATTCCTCTAATGTACTTAGTCAGTAATAGACCACATGGTAAGTGCTATATAGACAACGGTGAGCAGAGTGCGGAAGTGGAATATCGGTTATTGTCTGTGTGATCTTGGAGAAATCACTTAACCTCTCTGTATCTTTGTTTCTGTATCTGTAAAGTGGAAATAATAACAGCACCTCTCTTGGTGAGAATGAAACAAGATAACATAAAGCACTTAGATCAGCATACCTGGCCCATGGAAAGCATTATAAAAGTATAAGCTACTGTTATTTAGTTTTTAAAATATTTATATGTAACTTTCTGGGTAATGAAAATATACTGTATCTTGATAAGGGTCGTGGCTAATAGATTTACTATATACTTAAGATGTGTGCATTTTTCTATATGTAAATTATACTAAAGTTGTATTTAATTTTATATAAAATATAAATACGTGTGTGTGTACATGTATACATAGAGTCCATATTATTTTTCCTGTTTAAAACAGACAGTAAGTCTTGAAAAAGTCAAGTAAATTACCCAAGGGATTATACTGGAACTTGTAGTCAAGTACTTGGACTCCAGAGCCGGTGCTCTTAAAGATTGGGCTGGCTATGTTTCTATGTCAGCTGGGCCTTGGTACTCAACAGGACAGCAAATAGTTGCCTGAAGATGCTGTGCTGAACTCTTCTTGGAGAATCTCCTGCCATCAAGAGAGGGCAGCTCTTTTCTTATCTTTCCCATTCTTTCTCCCACCTTCCACATTCTTCTCATTTCAGCTCGGTTTCATCATCTCATTAAATATTAAAACCAAGATCCACGCCAGTCAACAAGCTGGCTGGTAATGGAGTACACACATTCCAGCAGGAAAACACCGGCAGACAGGCAGTGATTAAGAGCTACAAGGCACACACCCCAAGCTTCCCAAATTCCTCAGGGGCCAAAGATGCCCCCCTACTAACTGAAGTGTGCCCACTTTAAGTACACATGCAGCCCCTGCCAAGACAAAGAACACCAGCCAAAGAAGAGTGAGTGATCATAATTTATGAGGTGCTGTAGAAATTAATTTTGTATGCCCCTTCCATTAGCAGTAGGTCTGAATTAACTTTAATATGCAAGTTATCATGTTAATCTTTGATACTAAAAAAGAATGTATCATCATTAACCTTTCTAGCCCTGAACTGGGAAATGCAGTCTTTTTATTAGTGGTAATAGAAGTAGCATTATTTCTTGGCATCTCTGTACTCTACCCATTTGTATGCAGTTCCACCAGTCACTTTGTAAAATCTCTGCTGATTCAGAAGCCCATTTTTCAAACGTTTGACTCTAACTGCCCATAAGTCACCAGAAGTTGACTCCGCCTTCTTTTTTTTGTCACCAGATTCCTCTAAATGAGAATAAATTTTCCAATGAAGGAGCATTCCACAAAAAAACACTAATGGCCAGCAGAAGAAGCCCACAGGAAGAGGGGGCATGAATGAGTTGTGTGTGGCATTTAGGAAAGGCAAGCTCATCTTAGCCAAACCATAATGGGTCTTCAGAGCTCCAGGATCCCTGGATAACTAAATCATAGCTAAGAAGAAACTTCTGCTTTAGGGAGCAGGGAAACAAATTAAGCAATACTGGAAGAATTGCTATTAAAGATAATGGGAAAAACACTCAAATACTGCAATCTAGTACATCTTTCTTTCCAGGTATTCATTTGATATTGGTAAATTATAGATGAAAGAAATATGTGGAGAGTTCTACTCTCCATTTTAATGAATAACTTTAATATTCCTATTCCATTTGTTCTATATATGCTAATCTCTAAAATGTGTTAATAGTGGGAAAATATTTGATAAATTGCATTTTGCCATCTTTTTCTTCATTCACACTCTCTGATGGAAGAGCAAGATGATCAGAAAGTAGAGAACTTCTTAGGAAGGATAAAAAGGCAAGAATAAGGTATAAAATATCTTAAAATACAGCATCAGTTCCTGAAAAATGAAACTAGTTTCTGTTTTCAAATGCATTCACATACTGTTTATAACGTAAAATATAAACAAAACTACCTCCATACTGAAATTAGATTGGCTGCTGATCCAACTTTTTGGCTTGTAGGGAAGCTACCCATAATGAGGTTATCAACATACGAGTTCATCTCTTATACGGGTAGTTTTTATGATCTTCTTTTAGATCTAATGATTGTTTTTCTGACTGCTCCATAAAAAGGACATGACATGAATAAGAAGGAAACTGGGATTTAGCCATATCTATCTTCATAGAGCTTAGAGCTTTCTAAAGGGCAAAATCCAGTCAAGTATTTTCCAAGCTTTAGTTTATCATTATGTTTTTCAGTGGGAAACCTGCTATGTATTCATCATAATTTCCACCTGCACTATTGTTTACTTAATATTTTTCATAAAGTAAATTCATTTGAATCTGCTTAAGTTTATTTTGAAAGAAAACTTTGCTACCTCAACCAGAAAACCAGTATCCTTTGCCATAAATGGAAGATATCATAACAATCAATACAATAAAAATAAACACTTATATTAAATACTAAGAGAAGCTTGAGCCTGATGTCTGCTCCATCTTTGTTATCAAAGGAGATTATTAGAGAAAGATAAAAACAAAACAGCAAAGATACACAATCGTTGACATAATCAGAAAGATTGAAAAGGAATTGAATGAATGAACTTCCCTTCTGGATACAGTACTCTATTTGTACACACCTGAAATTATCTTTCATGCCAAGGAAAATAGTTTTGCTTACTCTGCAAATGAAAGAAAGAAACTAAAATCTGGATTCCTAACTTTTAATCCCAATTCTGCCACCAACTTGTGGTGTGACCTTGGGCAGGTCATGTCCCCTCAGAACCACACTTTCCTGGGCTGAAAATGAAGAGGTTGGATTAGGCAGTTTCTCCAAGGAGCCACTCAACTTTTCCCGTCTGTGTTTTGTGAAATCATTAAACATGTTCAAAAATATCATCATCATCGTCTGAAATGTGTGGTTGTTGATTGCATTTACACTGTTACCTGAAAGTCTTACCAGGAAAAAATAGCAAAAGGTTTGAAAAGATCAGCTATTTGGGGAGCAAAAGAGCATTTTGAAACTGTTGTGTTGAGAAAAAAAAAAAAATCAATGAAATTGACCACAATCCACGCACAACAGAACCTGACTGCCCAAAATATATACCTGCACATCCCTGGACTTTGAAAGCCAGTGGGCAAGACACTGATTTAAATTGGCCTTACAAATCACCTCATCACTTGCCTGGGTCAAACAGTCCTTTATGCTGGTTGAGTAAAAGAGGGTGCTAATTTCAAACTATCAGGTTTATCTCCGCCTTCCTAGGAGACAGTAGATTGTGAGGGGAAAAAACAAATACATCAATAGTTAAAAATTAGTTAAGTATCTGCAAGCTTGCTTATTGGAAAGAACTGGCACATTTAAGCAGGTTTATCCATCTGTAAAATAGTGATAACAACCTACTTTGTAAGTTTTTATAAAAATTATTAAAAGTAACTAGTATCGTAATTATTATAGTATATATGAACACCCTTTCTCCCATAGCTTTTTTTCTATCTTGATATTCTAAAAAGTCAATTTAAGCAACTTTTTATTTTTAATGCTCTACAGTGTCTCTAACTTCAAACTGATAATAAAAATGGGTATAATAATTATTAATGAATAATTAAAATGGAAATAATAATCATACTAATTTCAAACTATCATTTATCTAGCATTTATTGCCATTCAGGGACTGTGTTGAGCATTGTTATTTAATATTCACATTTAACCCCACTATAATCCAGATTTTACAGATCAAGAAGCCAAGAACCAAAAAACTGACATGACTTTTCCAAAGTCACCGATGAATACAATTCAACTATGAAACCAAATGGAAAACCCTGAAATGGCTCTCTGGAACTCTAGACTTTGGTAAGGAGATCATCCAACAAACACTCTTTGTACATTTGGGGCCAAAGTCAAGATCATGAAAAAATCAGAGGTTACCAAATCTAATATAATAAAAGTTGAATATTTCCAATTTCTGAAGTTCTTTGGTGTTTCTTGTTCATTTTAAATAATCTTTTGGAGGTTTTAAACTACAAGAATGACTTTAACATCCTCTGGCTCTCTCCTCTGAAGTCTCATGGCGCTTTGCTTATTATCTCTACTATAAAATATTCATTCTGCATTATAATAAAGAATGCCTCATTTTGCAAATAAAGGCAAGCTCCTTGAGGACATCACCATATTTTCATCATCTTTGTATTTTCTAAATGGCTACAAAATGTTTTGTTTATGCCAGAGAATCAATAAACATTTTTTGAATTGGAAAACCTGTTCTAAACATTGCCTCTCTTCATCAAAAATGTGGCTCCAACTATCACATGTGGAATTTGATATGTCAGAGAGCCAGTTAACGATACAGGTCTTGGGATGAAGGTGAAGACGTAGACTAAAAATTAAGTTTTGCAGCTGTAGGCAGCAGGATGGCATTGAGCCAGCAGAGTGGATGAAATCCCCTCTAGGCAAGGATGGGTAAAGCAAACCTCGAATGCAGTTGAGAACCGAAGACCTACATGGCTGTTGAATTTCTCCAAAACAGTTAGGTAGTCCTGCTCTCTGTGTTCCCCCTATTTCTGACCCTAAGGCGTAGAAAGAAGGACCTGGAGACCTGCAATCACACAGCAGGCATTCTGTGGATGTACCCATTTCCCAGGATGAATCAAGAAATTAAAAAAAAAAAAAAAAAACTAAGGAGGAAGCTGCCTAGTGTTCTCCCCCTAGGTTGGCAGGAGACAGAGAAAGGAGTAACTGGTCAGCTTTAGGCCTGGAGATGAAACAGCTGCAAGGAACCTGATCACGAATAAGGAGACTACAACCACAGTTTCCCGTCTTCTTGGAAACAGAGCAAGAAATAACCAGCTCTCCTGCTTGTACCCCAAACCCAGGGTCTGTCTCTTGATGTATGTGGCTATCTCCTGATAAACTAGAAGAGGGAGCAACACATCTTATGCTCAGGGAATTATTCTCTCCTTTTCCTGCTGAACCACAACATAAGCCAGTCTGCTGTTTGCTGACAGGTCCCACTACCTATCAAGATTTGCAACTCGCTGTAGTCCCCTGAAATACCACAAATTTTCTGAGAGGTAACTGGGACCTACTTAATTTCTCAGCACAGGCCTTGAACAGACAGCAGAGTGCTGTGGTGAACCTCCTGTTACCTGGATTGTAATTGATTTTAAAACCTGCCACTGCACCCAGAGACAGAGCCCAGAATCCCCATAAACCAACAAACAAAACAAAGCATCCTGCTGCAGACGGGGGTTCTGGCAAATCTGGGACATCGGCAGGGATGAGCCTGATGAAAAGCAAATTTTTGAGACCCACACAAACACTTGCATGGAGAGAAACATCCACCTGCAAAAGGGGGCAATGTCCTGACTGCTGCCCCTCTCTGTGGGGGCGGGAGAGGGGGCGTGGAGAAGGGCAGAAAGTGGTAGAGTTCCAGGTCCCATGCCAAGAAACACAGAACTAGTTCTAACAAGCCTCTCAATGACACACTGGATTCACACACCACGGCCTGTGTGGACAATACCCTAATCTGGGTACATCCAAACACAGTGAGTCCTTCTGTGTCTTTCATGTCAGGCTGACACTAGTGCCCACAAAACCCCAGGATAACAGAATGCCTTTCAGGCAGTTTAAATAGTACTTGAAGCTGCTGTCTCTTGTTCTATGCTGTCCTGGCAACAGAGACTGGCTGACTGTCAGAGATGAACAGGATCTCAGAGATCCAACATTCTGATTATACAATGTGAAATGAAGCCCAGAGAGGTTAAGTGGTTTGTCCAAGGTCACACTGCTTGTTAGTAGCTTTCCTGGACTAGAGTTTAAATTTTCCAGCTCTTAGCACAGCAGGTCTTGAATAACATCGTTTCATTCAATGTTGTTTTGTTATAACCTTGATGAGAAAAAAAATCAATTCCCAGCTGGGGCCACTGTCTGTGGAGTTTGCACGTTCTCCCCATTTCTATGTGGATTTTCTCCAGGTACTCCAATTTCCTCCCACATTCCAAAGACATGTGCATCAGGTTCATTTAGCATGTCCACATGGCCACTGTGTGAGTGAGCATAGGTGTGTGAGTGCACCTCGTGACGGAATGGCATCCTGTCCAAGGCTGGTTTCCGCCCGGCACCCTGAGATGCCAGCATGGGCTCTAGCCACCAGGACCCTGAACTGGAATAAGTGGGTAAGTCATGATCTTACTTGTTTTTATTATTCTTAAATGTATGTATAGCTCACATTTATTTTAATGTATAATATTAGAAGTGTTTTGGTCTTTATTTAGAAGTATGGCGATATTTTATGGTGATATTTTAAGTTAGGAACTTAACTCTTGTTTATATCAATTAGCCTATGGCAAAATTGGTTTTGTTATACATCATTTCACTTAAAGTTACGGTTCCCAAGAACCTATGGATGACAATAAGTGAAGACGTACTGTGTAGTGTTTTCTTCAATAGACGATATTACCATCTTTCAATGAAGGCAACTGGTCCTTTCACCTTCAAACACCTATCCCAGTGCCAGTTACTGGGAATACAGAGAGAAAACACACACTCTTTACCTGAAGTCAGGAAGCTGGTGTTACGTAAGCACAAGGAAAATCTTAGAGAAGCACGAGAAGGAGGAGAGGCCCCTGAGATCCCGAATACATGGATTCTCAGTGCTTTTGTTTGGCTTATGATGAAACAAATACGAACAGGGAGGAAACCGTCAACCTGCCCAGAAGCTGCCAGCACACAAGGCCCAGAGGTACTTTATTGGATGCCAAATTCTTTTAACACACCATGAGAAAAGAAGTTGACAACTTTCCCATGCATTTTGGAAGGTGTGTTAGAACGATTCAACACACACACACACACACACACACACACACACACACACACACACATTTATTGGGTTGGGGGAGCCTTAAAACTTACAAATCTAACCAGAGCTGACTCCGTCCCTCCTCAGTCATAGAGCAGAGTTTACAGCTAGGGGAAGGTGGCAATCACCAGGGCAAACTGGGCTCACGCTGGATGGGCAAGAGCCACATGCTTCTTAGCACAGCAATGCCAGGGTTGCTAGATCCAAAAGGATCAAGGCCAAAGCCATGGTGGAAGGGGAAATACATGACCCCCAAAGTAGATTAGAAGACGCTGGGTCTGAGAAAAAAATAATGCTCACCTTGGCAAGGTGTGCCTTACTGCTTCGGTGACCCAGAAAGAAAACTGGTTAGAGCTCTCTCTGGGAGGGCAAATGCAACGGGATGAATTCCTGCAGCCTACACTCTCTACGGGGCCACAGTCAGTCACCACACCTCCTCCACACCTGGAACCTGAGGGGACTGAGTGGAGAACTGCCTCCCTAGGAACTGGCTGGTGTCTAAGCTGATGCGAGTTGTTCAGGCTTAAGAAGAGAGCAAGGGGAAAGGGGGAGTTCCTCTAGGGATGGGGTGAAGCAGAAGATTTTAGAAAAGGGGCTGCATGGGATGATGCGGGGGTGGGGTGGGGACAGAACAAATGAGAGACAGACAGAGACGGACAGGGAGATGGCTGGACCTGCATAGCTAGAAGCTGGTGGGGCAGAAAGCCTGAACCCATCTGAACCTCAGCCACCACCTAATCATCTTGTGAGTTCCTCTAGAGCTGGCCCTAGGAAATTATCCCACTGTCCCAGCAATGAGCCAGTGTGAGCCATTGGACACCACCACCAACAGCTCACAATCGCAGGCACAGTGATGCCAGGGAGCCAGCAATGGCAGAGATGTCCCCTCCCCCCAACCACAGGCACCACCATGAGCACAGGCAGTGAAACTGAAGCCCCACCACCCCCTCCCTAAGTCACTGAAGTGTACCCTTTAAGCCAGGGAGGGACAGGGCCACACTTTCAGTGCTAACAATTGGTAAGTAAATTGGTATGTGGGCAGAAAAAGCTGAACCAGGGGTTCTATCTTAACTCTTCTACTCAGTAGCCTTAGAAGAGCCACTTCCTCTTTCAGGGCCTTTTTTCCTCCTCTGTAAAATGGATCAGGGGTGGTGGTAATTCAGGTCAATGTTTGTACTGTATTTGTTTTTTATTTTTGGAGTAGTTTTGTTTAAAGAGCAGCTTTAGGTTCACAGCAAAATTGAGTCAAAAGTACACAGTTCCCATATATCCCCTGTCCCCACCCACACGTGGCCTTCCCCACTATCAACATCCCTCATCAGAGCCAGATCAATTTTTCACGTGATGCTAACTGAAATAAGCCAGGCACAGAAAAACGAATACCACATACTTCTTTAGACTTAGAATTTTTTTGCTGAAAATTTTCTTGGATATATAGATAGATAGATTGGTAGATCAGTAGACTGACAGAGACATAGATACAGTGAGCTATTCTAAGAAGCAGGGAGAAGTGGGCCTGCTTGTTATACACCCAAGGTGAAGCCCCTTCAGGGTTTCTCTCAATTGCTGAATTTGACTATCTCTGGGCAGCTGGTTGCTAACATTCCTTTCAGCTCAAACACTCGATATGCCCAATGTGCAAATTCTTTAATGCACACACGCATATACAATCCTTCGTGTAGCTCAAAATGACTCTACCAGGCAAGTAGGGCAGAGCAACTGTTTATCAGTCTCATTTTACAGAGAGAGAAAGTTAGACAGGGCTAAGGTAGCAGGAGCTGCCCCCAAAGTCTTACAGGTGTTGCCTTCCTGACTTTTGTGCCTACAATTTTGAAAGGACTGAGTAAAAGAGAGAAGAGTGCAATAAGAGCACACTGCTGAGTGTCCTCTCCATCCCAGTTCTTCCAAATCCTCGAGTGCAGCCCAACCAATATTTATAAGAACAAAAATATTACTACTCACTACTGAACACTGTGGACACAGAGACCATTTAGTATGGGTGTTAGGAGCCTATGTTTAAATCCCAGCTTCCTATATAAATCTCAGCTTTAGCACCTGCAAAGAGGTGATCATAACAGCCCTTGTAAGACAGTGTTGATGGGAGGATTCATGAAGGTAATGATATATGGTTCTCAGCACAATGCACCTCTGTGTGTTAGTAAGAACTCCAGAAATAGTAACTGAGGAGCCAGGTTCCCACCATCCAGGAGCACTTGTGGCAGTGGAAGGTGCTGAGTGCTGCTGCACAGAGTAACTCAAACCCTGAACCCTAGGTTACAGTTAGCTTAGGACCACAAACCTCAGGAGGGAATGTGTGCTCACGTATCCCCTCATTCAAGCTTCTCATTTGAGAAATGAGGAAAATGAAGACGGAGGGATGAATTCATTCTCTAAGTTGGAATGCACAGGAAACTGCAGAGCTGAGACTCCAGCTCTCCTGACTTCCAGTTGTACCTTCTATGATGCTACCAGATGACTGCAAATAATAGTAGCACTAGTAATAGTTATTAATGATGAAACTTGGCTTATGAGTCCTTACTAAGGACCAGGCCTCTCTATGCCTCTCACCGGCAACATCACATTCAATGCTCACGGGAAACCAGTGAGGTCAACCGTCTATATTGTTTTCCTTTCACAGGTGAAGAATCAGATGCTTACAGAGGTGAAGTATCCCGGGTAAGGTAGCAAAATCAGGAATTGATCCAGCCCCTTATTCTGAACAACTGTCCTGTGTTGTGCCTACACCAGAAATGGGAAGTCTCTCCTCAAATAATTTCCCACTCTTTAGCTAAAGCTGTAATTAGAGTCTCATTTGCCTTTGGATAATTGGCTCCCCTCTCCACTGTGGCGTCTGGTTCCATGTGGGCAGTCTCTCCAGCCTGGATGGTGGCATGCTCAGCAAATCTACTTTGGCTGCCTAGGACTAATGAGGGCTCTCAGTGTGGTCGCATTTAAGTGCTTGGTATTGCAGGGAACGTCCACACACAGACACACCCCCTGCCATCAAGGATAACGGCGGAGTTGTGAAAACATGTCCCTCCCGAATTGGATCATGTTACTCCAACTCCTTAACTCAAGGACAACACAGTCTGCTCCATGCTGAGTCTATCACACAGGGAGGAAGCAAAATCCTCTGTGTGTGTGTGCATGCACCTTTGTGTTTGAAAAGTAGGGAAAAGGGAGAGTCAAAACCTGGACAAACACTGGTAAGTTTGGGTGAGACTCACATCCAATGGTAAACAAATAATAAGCAAAGAGGACAATGATTTGTCTATTAAGGGTATGAATTCCAGGAAGTTTTTCTAGCATACAATGAAATGAACCTAAATGTCCTTAAAGAAGAAAATATTACAATTGGTTGTATTAGTCCATTCTTATGCTGCTATAAAGAAATACCTGAGACTGGGTAATTTATAAAGGAAAGAGATTTAACTGACTCACAGTTCCGCATTGCTAGGGAGGCCTCAGAAAACTTACAATCATGGCGGAAGGCAAAGGAGAAGCAAGCACCTTTTTCACAGGGCAGCAGGACGAAGTGAGAATGCGTGGCGAGCAAAGGGGGAAGCCTCTTATAAAACTATCAGATCTCATGAGAACAGCATGGGGAAAACTGCTGCCATGATTCAGTTATCTTCACCTGGTTCCACCCTTGACACGTGGGGGTTATTATAATTCAAGGTCAGATTTGGTCAGGGGCGCAGAGCCAAGCCATAAAATTGACTATAGCCAGTGTCCTTCAAAGAGTCCTGTGAAGCCCTTAAAAATAGAATGGGAAAATGTTCCTAATAATTTTCAGAAATCAGATTACACAGCATGCAAAACAAGATCCCAATTATATAAAATATATGATACAGGCCAAGTGTGGTGGCTCACACTTGTTATCCCAGCACTTTGGGAGGCTGAAGTGGAAGAATCACTTGAGGCTAGGAATTCAAGACCAGCCTGGGCAATGTAGTGAGACCCTGTCCCTACAAAAAATATTTTGAAATTAGCTAGCCATGGTGATGTGTGCCTGCATTCCTAGCTACTTAGGAGGCTGAGGTGGGAAGATTGCTTGAGCCCAGGAGGTCAAGGTTGCAGTGAGCTATGATCATGCCACTGCACTCTAGACTGGGCAACAGAGTGAGACCTATATATATATATTTATATAAATATATATATTTATATAAATATAATATGATTCATATCATATCATATATATGATACAAAAGAGAGGAAGAATAAACAATGGTTTCCTCTAAATCGTGAGATCATGGACATTTTATACATTTCCAAATGTCTTACAATCAACTCACAATATTTTGATAATCCTAACTTACATAAAGAATAAATGCCATTTTTCCCATCTCTGGGCCAACATCTTCAGAAGCATGCCTAGCAGAGGTCTCGGTGTGGTCCAAGGCCCCCCTTAGCAAGGAAGCATATCAGGCAAGGAGGAATCCCAAGGGCTGCTGAGGTTGAGAAGCAGGCATCTCTCAGCTCAGACACTCCAAGATCTCCCACAGGCTGTCATCCAGAGAGGGCCTGTGTCACATACACTGGCCTTTCATGTTCGGCTGACATCCTGCCTTCTCCATAAAACTGTCCCCAATGTTCCAACAGCCCTGTTTCCACTGAATTCTGGCAATAGTCATTCTTATAGGGTTATTTATAAACATAATAACTTATAAGTTATCATATTTATAATTGTATAAAACTTTATTATAAAATTTATTTATAATAAATTAATGAAAACCTTATAAATTTATTAAAACTCTATAAACATTATATTTGCACCAGAGACTGCTATTCTGGGTCCATCTGTAGGTTTTGTCTGTTTTCTATATCATTTGAAAATAAATCAGCAGGTCTCCACTTGGGAGACTTATCTCAAAAAAAAGAAAAAAGAAAGAGAGACAGACTATCAAGCAGCACTGTGTCTGCATATTGACATGGCCCTGCCTCACTGCTGTCCTGTTTACCCATGGCACAGACTCTGCCCCAGTCCTCACCAATCCCTATAGTCTCTCCTCCCAGAGCTGACTGGCCATTGATTTCTGTCACTCTTGCTTCCTTAGTAGCAAAGAAACATTTCACCATACACTTGTCTCTGTCACACATAGGCATATGGCTGGGTGTGGTGGCTCATGCCTGTAATCCCAACACTTTGGGAGGCCGAGGTGGGCAGATCACCTGAGGTCAGAAGTTCGAGACCAGCTTGGTCAACAGGGTGAAACACTGTCTCCACTAGAAATACAAAAAATTAGCCAGGCATGGTGGCTCATGCCTGTTATCCCAGCTACTCCGGGGGCTGAGGCAAGAGAATCGCTTGAACCTGGGAAGCGGAGGCTGCGGTGAGCCAAGATTGTGCCACCACACTCCAGCCTGGGTGACAGAATGAGACTCTGTCTCAAAAGAAAACAACAACAACAACAACAACAACAAAAAACAGTCATGGGGATATGGATGACTAACCAGATGGCACTGTGTTTTAGGGAGGAAAATTAAAGAAATCAGATTTCTCTGTGAAGTAAAGAAGGTTCCCACATGTTTAATAGGCAAGTAGAAAATCTGAGTTGTAAAAATACAAGTGAAGGTGACATTAGGACTATCTACTCGGAAAGGAATGATTATCTTAGCAAATCTCATAATAACTATGACCCTGCCCCTTCACTCATTTGTATTACCTGCCCAGCATGTGTGAGCTCAAATTTAAAGAGATCTTTGGGTAAATCTTTTCTTCTCCAATCGTAAGCTCCTGGGGACAGAAACTCTTCTGTTCCAGAAGTCATCCAGCATGGCAGTTCAGTGTGTGCTGGGGAATCAGACAGACCCCAGTTGGAATGGTGTCTCTGCTGTTACTTGGTGTGTAACTATTGGCAAGTTTTAAAACCTCCTTAACTGGCAAGTTTTTAAACCTCCTTATCAGTTTCCTCACCTGTTAAATAGGAATAGTGATACCTACACTTTACATGGATGTCATGATAATTAAACTAGTTAATTATTTGGGGCCTGGCACAAAATCATGGTTAAATAAGTGGTGGCCATACATTACTTATTACTGTATTTTGTTAATAGTCCCCACAGTACAGTGCTGCCACAGTTTTAGATTTTTAATAAATATTACTTGAACTGAAATGAATCTGCAGCAAATTTTCAATTCAACTGTATTGTCGTCTTCAGGAAATTTCCTTCTATTCTAAGATGTTGGGGAAAAATAACCTAGCAAAATCAAATTTCAACAGATCAACATAAAAGTCTCAGGATGCTTGTATTAGCCCATTTTCACGCTGCTGATAAAGACATACCCAAGACTGGGTAATTTATAAAGAAAAAGAGGTTTAATGGACTCAGTTCTATGTGGCTAGGGAGGTCTCACAATAATGGCAGGGGGCAAAAGGCACGTCTTACATGGCAGCAGGCAAGAGGGAATGAGAAGCAAGCGAACGGGGTTTCCCCTTATAAAACCATCAGATCTCGTGAGACTTATTCACTACCATGAGAACAGTATAAGGGAAACTGCCCCCATGATTCAATTATCTCCCACCAGGTCACACCCACAACACGTGGGAATTATGGGAGCTCCAATTCAAGATGAGATTTGGGTGGGGACACAGCCAAACCATACAAACATTCTAAAACCCCACCTCAGCATAATGGGAATCATTCATGATTGCAATTTCACAGTGAAAACAAAATTTTGGAGTAAATGCATAACCTTATAAAGATTTATATAAATGCCCTCATTATGTATGCTTCCATTAATGCAAAGAATCATTCCAAAACTAGATAAGAATCCCATGGAATATAGTTTGAAAGATATGAGAACAGAGTGATTTTGTTGTTCTCTATTTTTAATGAGGTAAATTACACACACACACACACACACGAAGAGTTTATTGAGTTTATTTACATTGCTATTAAAGAAGTGATCGGGAATTTTTTTCTCCCCTAATTAAATTGTAGTTCATAAGGCCATTGAAAGCTGCTATTCTAAGTATTTTTGGAAGTTTAAGACAGATTTTTTTCCTTGATTGTATGCCAATTTTTTTTAACTTCAGTGCACCCTCACCCCCAACAGACACTTTCATAAATCTCTCTTGGACTTGTTCTGCAGCACATTAAATCACTGTCTTCTCTGATTCTGGATCTGAAGGTTTCTCTCTGAGAATGAAGTCTGCAATCTGTCACATCAGAACAGGAAGAGAGGATTTGAGGGAGAACCCCTTCTCAGATCTCCAGAGTGTGGAAGGGACGTTTTGGTGCTGGCTATGGCTTTGTGACACTGCAGTTGAAACGGGCAAAGTGGGCTCCTCACTTGAAGAACTTTGATGCCTCTAAATGCTCTGATGAGAAAAAACTTGTCCTCAAAATCGATGGTACTTTCTTGAAGAAATGAAACGCTCCAGCACATGAGGCACTGTTAAATGACCAGCTGTGTAACCTCGAATGCATCATGTAATTGCCCTCCATTCACTTAAGGTTCTATAAAATGGCCTCATCCCTTGCCCCCAGCTGAGGCAGGATGCTGAGACGTACTGGGGGAATGCTTCTCAATACTTCTCAACACAGTATTGGGAGAATATTTTTCAATGGGAAGAGGAGGGTTTTTAAGGCACTAAATGGTATTATGTGAAAAAGATTCAGAATTATTATCACTGTGAAGCAGAGGATGACTTTTTTAAAACATAGATTTTCATTGTTGGTGGAACACTACAAAATCTTGTTCAGTGTCATCATTTACAGTTGTTCTACAGAGGTTAAGGGACATGCCCAAGATCTCACAACTGTGCACTAAATGAGATAATATACCTAACTGTTTAGCACAGTGCCAGTGCATAATAAGCAGTCAATAAACGTCAGTTGCTGTTGCAACTGCTGATGTTGTTTTTACTATGATTCAGGTCTCCTCACTCCCAGTTCAGTGCTGTTATTATCAAATACAAAAAGAAACTACAGGAAGGTAGCTTTATGAGCCCAAGCAATTTCTTACCATAAGGAAAATTATTTCTTTCATAATTGAGAAAGTGCAAGCCGAGAGAAGGTAAGTGCTATGCCTTGGCACATAATTCCCAGGATGCTAACATCACACTGAAGACTAATTCAGGGGCTTGACTGGAGGAGGAGAGGCTACTCCTTTTTCCTAATCCTTCAGCTCTCAGTGAGCGATAGCACAGAGAACCTGCATGTTGTGGACCAGAGACTGAATCCAGTCTACAGCAACCCTGTCCTCAGCACCGGAGATTGAATCTAGGCTATAGCAACTCAGCCCACAGCCTGTAGGAAAGAGCAATGTCCTGAAAATGCAAAATGACACTGGCATGGAGAAAGGAGAAACTGTCCAGCAGATGAAGCTGGGAAAGAGGTGTGGTCAAATGGGAAAAAAACAAAAATGAAAGACAAAAATCAGATTCCTACTCACACTATATATAAAACATAAACTCTGTAGATAAAGGATTTATGTATCAAAACTAAAATTATAGAATTCTTAGTAAAAATAATGAACATCTTTTAGACTTCAGGACTGAGAAAGATTTCTTAAGGCACACACAAAAATTTGACTAAAAAAACATTGATTTGATTGTGTTAAAATTAAGAACTTTTGCTCATGAAAATGCATCTTAAATAAAAAGACAAGGTATAAACTGGGAGAAGATATTCACAATACATAAAATCAGCAAAAGATAAGTAGAAAGAATATATTAAATATCCTATAGATCAATAAGAAAAATACAACCAATCTGACAGAAAGACAAAAGGCCGGGTGCGGTGGCTCACACCTGTAATCTCAGCACTTTGGGAGGCCGAGGCAGAGGGATCACAAGGTCAGGAGTTCAAGACCAGCCTGACCAACACGGTGAAACCTGTCTCTACTAAAAATACAAAAATTAGCCAGGCGTGGTGGCACACACCTGTAATCCCAGCTACTCAGGAAACTGAGGCAGGAGAATCGCTTGAACCTGGGAGGCAGAGGTTGCAGTGAGCCGAGATCACGCCACTGCACTCCACCAGCCTGGGCGACAGAGCGAGACTCCGTCTCAAAAAGAAAAAAGAAAAACAGTCAAAAGACATGAAAAGACATAGCAAAGAAACAAAACACGAGTGGCAAAGAAAACAGAACAAAGGATTTTCAGCATTACTGGTGATCAAGGAAATGCAACTGAAGACAGTGATGATGTAGTCTAAGCCCATTTTAGTGGCAAAGGTTAAGAAGTAGGGCAATATCCAGCATTAAAGAGACTGTGGCTACACAGGTCCACTTCGGCATTGCTGGTGGGAGTGTAAATTGGTACAACCACCTTTGGAAAAGAGTGTTCACTATCTCCTAAAGATTCTGATCCCTTATGGCCAAGCAAATCTACTAGTAGTTCTATCCCCAAAGGAGACTCTTGAACATTTACAACAAGAGACATGTACAAGAATGTTCTTAGCAGCAGTGCTTTCAATAGAAGAAACACTGACACAACCCAATGCCTGAAATTGAAAGCATGAATGAACAAATTATGGCTTATTCACACAATGGAATTTCCTACCGTCATCAAAACAATGAACTCCAGCAATCAGTAATATGGATGATTCCTAGTTTAATATTAAGTAAAAAAAATAAATTCCTTCAAATTATCAACAGTTCAATACACTTTTCGTAAAGTTCAAATAACTAAAATACTGGGAATATATATAAATGCAATACAACTGCATGAAAAGGAAAGCAGTGGAATGATTAACAAAAGATTCAAGAGGCTGGGTGCAATGGCTCATGCTTGTAATCTCAGTGCTTTGAGAGGCCAAGGCAGAAGGATCACTTAAGCCCAGGGGTCTGAGACCAGCCTGGGGAATATAGGGAGACCCTATCTCTACAAAGTTTTTTTTAAAAAACTTCACCAGACATGGTGGTATGTCCCTGTAGTCCTAACTACTCAGAAGCTGAAGCAGGAGGATTGCTTGAGTCCAGGAGCTCAGGGTTACAATAAGCTATGACTGTGCCACTGTGCTTCAGCCTAGGTGACAAAGCAAGACCCTGTCTCAAAAAAAAAAAAAAAAAAAAAAAGACTCAAGAATGTGGTTACCTTAGGTGGGGAAAGGCAGTCATGTGGTTACACGTAAGTGATTGTTAACTTCCTAGCTTCTGTTTTGTGTGGTGAATGCATGGATGCTTCATTTGTTATTAAAAATAATGAATAGAACATTTAAATAAATAAAAGCATGTCTTGTGTGGATCAATAATAAGATGTATTTTGAATTAATGGCCAGGACTGCTCCAGCTCTGTACAATTGAGGTCTGTTCTTTTCCTTTTCTTAAAGGGACACTGGCCATTGAATAATGCTTTTACTACCGAGGTCCACAGACCAGCCTCTGAGAGCTGGTATCAGTAAGACCAGGCACATAAACGTGTGTATAGACCAGGAACGTAAATAAAACAAAACTTACAACTTCCCTTATCCTTAAGGAGTTCATTCCATCAGTATAGACAGTCCCATAAACAGAGAATGCTAGAATGATATGTCAAGTGTCATGATGGAAATTTGTACTCTGCAATGGGGGAGCCATGTCCTTGCCCACACTGCTTTCCTTTCCCTCCTCAGGCTCCTGGAGCTGTGTCTCCCATTTGAGAGAGGTCAAGGGCCACCTGCATCCAAAGCCCCTTGGCGGGCTGATACCATGCACATCCCTGGCCTCCTCCCCAGATATTCAGAGTCAGAATCTTTGGAGTAGGGTCCAGGATTCTGCAATTTTAGCAAACTCCTCAGGGACATCTAAGCTTTGAGGTTAGATGCGTTGTTTTGCCCCCTTTGGGAATCAGGGTAATATCTGCAATGTATTCAACCCTCTACTTTCACATCTTTCCCCATTCATCAGGTACCCTGGCAGCCATTCTCTTTCTACCATCCCAGGGACAGAGATGAGGACAGACTCCTCAGAAAGGAAGGCGATAAGATGGAGAGGAAGGGTCAGCTGCTCCTTCACCTGGCATTGAGACCCAAAGCCACAAAATTTGTGTGTACCAACATCCCCTCTGGGGCTAAAGTCCCAAAGGGAGTCATTTTAGATAAACTGAGGGAAACGTCAAAACCTGTGCCTTTCTTCCCCTTCCTATTTGAGTTCCTAGGAGGGTGGGGACTGTTTTGAGTCAGAAAAACTGGTTAAATCTAGAGCCATAAGATACCATGTATTGAAATTTTTAAGTTGCCACAGCACAAAGTAGAGACTCAAAAAGAAGATTAAATTAGATTAAAAACAAAAAGAAGCAGCTTCATTTTCTTTGCACAGAGATCACGGTGCAGAAGTTTGCAAACTCGTCACAATTGTATCCACATTGCTTCCCCAGGGACTAAATGTTGAATGGAATTGAGCTGAAATGCCTGAGACATCAGGGAGGACTTACTGCAGGCTTGAGGTCTACTTTGGTTCTTAAAGGGATGAGTAGGAGTTGCCTGTTGAGCATGGCTAGGGGTTGAGGTAGGGAATGGGAGGCAGTAGAAGGTATTCCAGGCACTATATGCAATGAACTGAATTTTGCAAGGGCATGTAAGGTACAAAGAGAGATGACAGCCCCACTATGAGGCTAGAGCACATCCTGAGAGGGAGAGGCTTTGTTCTCCTAACTGCCTTTTCCTTCTGAACAGTCTCAGAAGCAGAGCCTCATGTCAACATTCCAAGTCTTGGGCAGCCTGCTAACACCCCGGCTTGCTGCAGGGAAGCTGTGCCCTGAGAAGCCACAGGTGACACAGCAACTGCTGGCAGCAAGAGCCTCATCCCCCTCCCAGGCAAGGGTCCCTGTGCACACCTGTCAGAGTTCATGTATAGCCTGGCATTTGGAACAGGAGTTGGGAGCAGGGAATGGAAATAAACAAATCCTTCAGGAGGAATGGTGAGGCACTTGTTCTCACATGGAGAAGGAAGAATTACCAAGTCAATACACCACTATTTTCTCCTTTTTAGTCCTCATAAGAATAAAGCATAGTGAGAAAAAGGTGGGTTCTGTTATTCAAATGACTTGCACTCAGAATCAGCTCCAGCACTTACTACCTGTGAGCCGTAGAGACAGCGCTCATCAAATATTGCATGTGCGTGTGCTTCGTTTACATCCCAGATTCTCTGGTGTTAGCACATGTGATGTGTTCTGGCCAATGGACTGTGGGTGGAACTGGCAGAGCACATGTGATGTGTTCTGGCCAACGGACCGTGGGTGGAACTGGCAGGTGTCACTTCCAGGCCAAGGTCATTAAGAGCCACTGTGCTCCTTCCCTCCCTTCTTATCTTTCCTGCTACAGGGAGGCCACATGCACCAGCTGGCACAACTTCAGGAGGGACAAAAGGCATATGACCTTCATCAGACTTTGCACAGGAGAGAAATAAACCTTTCCATTATCAAACCACTGAGATTTGGAGATTAATTTGTAACCCTAGCATCACATAGTCCAAAATATTAATACCCTAATACGTTGTGTAATATTTGATCTCACTGGAATGAAAATTACTTAACTTTCTAGGCCATTAGGTTTTTGTAAAAACTTAATATATATTTATGCTGTATGTAATACCTGATACAGAGCTGGCATTTGATAAATATTAAGTCTCTCCCTTTAAGTTGCTGTTGATGTCGTTACTATTGTTATGGTTAGTACTGTTATACAACAGACAAAATAGATGCATTTTAATAAGCAGCAGCTGGGTCTCTGGCACTCTGCTAGTTGCTTTTCATAAGTTATCACATTTCTGTAGCTAAAGAAGCTACAGCTCAGAGAGGTTACTTGTTCAAAGGAACACAGCTAGCATGCAATCAAGCCAGGATCCAAAATAAGGATATCCTGACTCAAAGGTCTCTTATTCTATGACACTCCTATTCACATTTTTCAAATTTTTCTGACATGGAACCCGAGGCTCAGAGATGTTAAAGAAGATCACCAAAGTAATAACCACTAGAATAAAATCAAAAATTGACAAGTGGGACCTAATTAAACTAAACAGCAAAAGCAACTATCAACAGAGTAAATGGACGACCTACAGAATAGGGGAAAGTATTTGCAAATGATGCATCTCACAAAGGTCTAATATCCAGAATCTAATGAACTTAAACAAATTAACAAGCAAAAACAACAACCCCATTAAAAAGCGGACAAAGGACATGAACAGACACTTCTTAAAAGAAGACATACATGCAGCCAACAAGCATATGAAAAAATGCTCAGCATCACTAGTCATTAGAGATATGCAAATCAAAACCACAGTGAGATACCATCTCTCGCCACTCAAAATGGCTATTATGAAAAAGTCAAAAATTGGCCAAGCGCAGTGGCCCATGCCCATAATCCCAGCACTTTGGGAGGCTGAGGCAGGCAGATCGCCAGAGGACAGGAGTTTGAGACCAGCCTGGCCAGCATGGTGAAACCCCGTCTCTACTAAAATACAAAAGCCAGGCACAGTGGTGCACCTCCCAGCTACTTGGGAGGCTGAGGCAGGAGAATCTCTTGAACCCAGGAGGTGGGGGTTTCAGTGAGCTGAGACCGCACCATTGCACTCCAGCCTGGGTGACAAGAGCAAAACTCAGTCTCAAAAAAAATAAATAAATAAAAAGTCAAAAATTAACAGATTCTGGTGAGGTTTTGGTGAAAAGGGGATGCATATACACTGCTGGAGGGAATGTAAATTAGTTCAGCCATCATGGAAAGCAGTTTGGAGATTTCTCAAAGTACTTAAAACAGAACTACCCCTCGACCCAGGAATCCCATTACTGGGTATGTATGCAAAGGAGGATAAATCGTTCTACCACAAAGACATTAACATTCATAAACATATGCCTGTGTATGTTCATCACAGCTTTATTCACAATAGCAAAGACGTGGAATCAACCTAAACACGCGCTGATGGTGGACTGGATAAAGAAAATGTGGTACATATACATGATGAAATACTACGCAGCCATAAAAAAGATTAAAATCACATACTTTTGCAGAGCACTGATGAAGCCAGAGGCCATTATTCTAAGCAAATTAACACAGGAGCAGAAAACCAAATGCCGCATGTTCTCACTTATAAGTGAGAGCTAAACATTGAGTTCACATGGATGCAAAGAGCGGAACAATAGACACTGGGGCCTGCTTGAGGGTAGAGGGTGGGAGGAGGGTAAGGATCAAAAAACTGCCTATCAGGTCTATGCGTATTACCTGGGTGACAAAATTATCTGCACATGAAACCCCTGACATGAAATCAATTCATGTAACAAACCTGCACATGTTCCTCATGAACCTGAAATAAAAGTTGAAAAGAAAAAAAAGGTAGTAACTGCTAGAGTCAGAGGGTTGTTTATTCCTAGCCCAATGCTGCAATGATATGTTGATTAGAAAAGATATAGGCACAATTATTTCCATCCCTCTTTTCCCCAACCGTTGTCCAGCCCCTTGTACACTGTGAATGGGGGACCCAGCATCTCCAGATACTGTGGGCAACAGATGAGAGGGAAGAAGGAAGCTAAGCTTTAATAAAAGGGAAACTGGATGCTTTGCTCAAAAAACAGCTTCTCAATAAAGTTCCCAGTGAAAAAAACCCACCAGCTGAAAATAAACATTGAAAGAGCTTCCAAATCTCTGTCAGGTGTCTGTCTCTCTCTCTCCCTCTCTCCCCCCTTCTTCCCTCTCTCTTTCTGTCAATCTCTCTCTGTGTTTGTTTTGGAAATTTGAAGAGAAATCTCTAGCAATGTGGATCCTAAAGCAGTTTACACTGAACCAGATGGTGCCTCTGATTAGCATCAGACTAAAAAGACACATTTCTTGGAGATGAGGTTCTTGTAGGGACAAATCTGTTTCAAAGGCACAGAGGGTTTGCTTTTCTTCTAGACTCCTCTTGGAGCTTTCTCCGGGCATATCTGTGCGTCCTTTCTCCTGTCATCACCACCAGGCAGGTCTGAGCTTGTGTTGGAGAAGACAGCAAATTAGTGTTTGTAAGTTTCTCAGTTCTCCTCTCACTGAAGCCTGAAGTCATCCACAGGGAGCAAGACATTCCATGTGGGAACCTGGCTGGTGATGACTCCTTACTCCTGCAATTCCTAGGCTAACTAGCCACATGTGCCACTGATGAACAAGCAACCCAAGGGGACCCATTCTGTGACTATTCCCATTTTACAGATGCAGAAATTAAGACTTACAAGGATTAAGTAATTTACTCAATATCACAGGTCAAATCAAAGTTGAGGCTAATTGCCTCCATAAAGAAAACAAGGAAAAAACTGTGTGTGGGGTGTGTGTGTGTGTGTGTGTGTGTGTGTGTGTGCGCTAAAAGAGCCCTGAGGGGTAAATCATCAGAGAGGATAGCTGTCAAGTGTCCAAAACTATGTAACTATGTTGGAGCCTGTAGTAACACAAACAATGAAGTGAGAAATCACAAATATTTCACCTTGACCTCTACTTCTTCCAGGCATATGTAACATGGCCCCTTTACAAAAACATTCTAGGGCAATAAAAATTGAAAACAACAACAACAACAACAACAACAACAAACACGTTCAAAGTCAGAATGGAGAGCATGTACCAACCAAGGCCCTTTTATTCATTAGGTCCTGTGTCTCTCGGACCCTGAGGAAAACCATGTAGTTGAGGGTTGTGTGCAACTATCAAACGTTAAGGGATGCCCTTATTGCAAGGAATTTAAAGGTCAGCACGGAAATTGGGATCAGCAGGAAAAACAACCACAACACCAATAATAACAATTGCTGTTTAGTATGAAACATTATGCTGAGCCCAGTGCTGTGTCAAGTACTTTAAATGCATCATCCATCTCATTAGCCCACACTATCACCCTCTAAGACAGACGTTATTGTTCTTATTCCCACTTTCCAGATGAGCTTACTGAGAATCAGAGAGGTTTAGAAAATTACCCATAGTCACACAGTCATGTAAAAAGCTGAACCAGGAAGTAAACTCGGGTCTAGTGTGACCCAAGAACCACCGTCCTTAACCAGTAAACCCTTCTCCACCTTCTCCATAGGATCCTTCTGATGACAGGCCAATAGGGTAGTCTGCCAAAATCCCAGAAAGTGCTTAAAAGCCTTCTGGTCCCTCCGCTTAATGTCAATACAAATGTTCAAGGCTGTGAGTACAAGCAACTGTCACTGAAAATACTCCAGGCAATTTGCACATCTGGCAGTTAAATGAGTGCAGGCTCAAAGCAAATCACGTCCCCGAGGCACAGGACACTTCACAGGGAGAATAACAGGAGGAATTTCATTACTGCTCAAACTTGGCCAGAGGAATCACACTCACCTTATTTAAGGGTATAAAGAGAGATGCTCACCCGAGGTCGATGGACACCTAGTAAGCATAATGAATTCAGGTTTTATTCATTGGGAACTTGAGGATTTAAGAAAGGGGATGAGCTGAAGTTTCCCTTTGGGACTATTTTGGTAACAGGGCTCACTTAGCAAATAGATGGTGGGAGAGGAGTTACCTTTCAGCTGTGAATAAGGTCATACGACTTTCACATGTGAGCCGAGCGTGGCTACACTAATTACACTTTGCCTCCTCTTTGAAAGGGGTCCCCAAAGGATACTTTGTCTACCTCTAGTCTCTGTATGTATTTAAAGGTAAGAATTTTGCTTTCTTTTTTAACTGTGTACAACGCCAGGGCTGGCCTTCTGTCAGTTAATATTAATCAGAGGGTTTCTACTGAATCTGAAACCCAGACACACAGCAGGACTGAGAAGCAGCAGCTGTCCAGCCTGCCCTGCCATGATGCTAACCCTCAGAGGCCTCCTCCCAGCCCTGGAGATGTGGCTGCAGTCAAGGAATTACTCCGACTTCCAAGAGGCTGGAATTGACACCACATGCCCAGCCCAGGCCCGTGCTAGCACTCCATCTGGCCTTGATGCCAAGCCGGGCCCCTGACAATGACAGCAGCTCTGAACAATGAAGAAGAGCCAAGCAGCCCACTCCCTGCTGCCTGTGCCACACCATATGCGTAGCTAGAGTCGTCCTTGTCATGTCTCTAGGATGGGACTCAATTTGCCTCTGCAGTGGCACCACCTGAAATCCTGAGAGGGGCTTCCAGGGCAGGAAGGGGCAGACATATTTCAATGCTTTTGGGGTGAGGGAAATTTATTTGGAGGTGGAAATCAGAACTTTAAAACCATGGAAGTCTCACTTTAAAAAGGCACAGTGACACAAGAAGTGCAACAAGACTTACCAGAATTAGTCTCCATAACCTCACAAAAACCACCTGGCTCAAACAAACTACATATTTATTGGATTAATCTGTTGTCACATATCTGTCTAAAGGGTCAGGAAACCACACACATAAATATTAAAATCACAAGAACATTTTCATCCCCACATCCTCCTCCTACCCTTAACTCTGGGGAGAGGATACAGACAGCAATTTTGGATGCACCATGTTAACCAGGCATTGGAAAAAAACATCTTTACAGTGAAGTGGTTCCTGAATATTTCTGTGATTACCAGGCAATTTGCATAAATATTCAGGCTTCACTCCCTGAATAAATTCCAGTTGGGTGATGGCTGATCCTCTGAATTCTAAGACCCTTTGTTTCTTGCACAGTTTGCTTCGCATTTTATTATTGACACCAGTGTGGATAGAGAAATTGAAAATTGGAGAGGCTGGGTCTTAGGATACAGAAAAAAGTACTGACCCTGAAAAGTCATTTCTTCACCCTTACAGAAAGGAGTGAAGGAATGCAGTTTCTGAACAGGTCATTCTTTTACATGGAGCAAAAGGCATGATCCATTTTGAAAATCTAGGCATGCAGAGCATTCCTAGAGATGAGGTAGAGGATGAATATGAGCTTCTGAATCCTGCCTGATCAAATCTGATGGAGCTATCGACATCCAGTTGACTGACCTTGAAAATAGGGAACTCTAAGTCTTCTGCCAGTGGGGCCCAGTGGTGACCAGTTTAGGGTAAGCAGAAGCTCTGAACATAACTTCTGTGCAAATCCACTGTCATTCCATGATCTCCCAAAAATATATACCATTAAGTGAAGAAAGGCAAAGTGCAGAACAGTTACATAGCATGCTACCATTTGCATGATAATAATAAAGAGTATATAGCATATACGTAATTGATTCCACATCCACAGAGTGTGCCTAGAAGCAAACACAAGAAACTGGATATGCCTTTTGCCACAGAGAAGGGACTGGGATTAGCCATGCACAGGGTCTGGAGGGACCATTTCCACATGGTACCCTTTCATACCTTTTCATTTTCATCCATGTAAATGCGTTACCTTTTCCAAAATAATTTACATTTTTCTAAAAACTTTAAAAAATGTTAATTCCTACTCAATTAGACTCTTCGAGCTAGGTCTCAGGAATTAGCATTTTAATAAGCTCTCCAGTTTATTCTTACACACTCAAAATTTTGAGAACTTCCCCGTGAAAGGCTCTTTCTACTAAAAGGAACTTTATCCATTTCCCTTTGAGTTAAAGACAGCAATAATAAACCATACAGGGGGAAAAAAAAACCTCATTAAACTTTCTCAAGAGAAATAAACAATGCAACCTCAGCTTTCCTAAAATCAATTTAGATTCTGATATCTAAGTTGTCAGCTACTTTCTACTTTTTGCATTTATGCAGACCAAGGGAGTTGTGAGAAAAGAGATGTTATAGTCACTGGACAGGTTGCCCTCTCCTGCCAAGCTTCCCCAAAATGATGTGGGGTTTATTGGCCCCTTACCCCACCCCAGCAAGGGTGCTGTGTACTCACCTTGCTTTTTAAAGAGGTTGCTCTGGACTATCTCATTCATAGACTGTACTTTCTGCTTCTGGAGTTTCACAGGAGGGATGCAGGTGTAGAACTCATACAGGAGTTGGCTGAGGGCAGGAAAAATAGGAGCTGGTAGAGCAAGGCAGACCCATGTCTCCCAGCTCATAGCACTTACAGTCCATCCCTGGACCTCTAGCTCTGGGAAACCCCCAAGTCCTGGCAGAGCATGAGGTGCAAGGTAAGCCTTCAGTAAAAATGTACAAGTTGTTCTTGGTATAGAATATTAGTAGCATTAAAAGAGACGTAAAAATCTGAAAATACCCATAGCCCTGAGCAGTTACCGTGTACCAAGCACACACTTTGCATTTTGCATTCATTATGCCATGTAGACTTCATAACTCTACAAGCTATATACAATACTTATCCCAATTTTATAAGTTAGAAAGCTCAGGTTTAGAAAGGCTAACTTTTCTAAGGTTATGCAGCTAGGAAGTTAAAGAAACAAGAGTTCAAAACAAGGTTCTGACTTCATTACCATACCATTTTACTTACAAATGTTTTATGCTTGGTAATGCTTTATGATAAGTCTTAAAATCAAAATCTCTAATTTTTTTTAAAACTATGAAAAATTGTGGATTAGAACCAGTTTGGGACATCAAAAGGGAGATAGCTCTTCCCAAATAGGGTGAGAATCAAAATACCCTGAAACAAAATTATAGTCCTTGTCGGCTTTCCAAAATAAACTTATTGTATTCATTTATTCTTTCAAGGACTTATTAAACATCTACTTAATATGAGACAGGCAAAGCGCAGAGAAATGGGGATATAATGGGAACAGACTGGGTCCCATTTGGCATGGAACTTACATTCTAATAGAGGTCATCAAATGACACAGAAGCAAACAAATCAATACACAGCGATGTATGCAGTGGAGGAAATAAATAGGGAGCTGTGTCAGAGAATAATGGCACAGGGGCTGGGGGAGAAATTTAATTTATTTACAATATCCAGCAGTAGCTTTTCCAAGATAACATTTAGCCTGAGGGTCTGAAGGATGAGAAGGAGCTAGCAAAAATCTTCCATATGAACAGAAAAAGGACATCCATGAAAAAACTGGTAACATCTGAATAAAGTCCAGAGTGCAGTTAAAATAACTGTATCCATGTTAATTTCTCAGTTTTTATAAATGTGCCATAGTTATTTAAATGTTAACATTAGGGGAAGCTGGGTGAAGGGCATATGATAACTCTCTGTATGTAATCTTTGCAACTCTCTTCTAAATCTATAAGTATTTAAATATAAAAAGTCTTTTAAGTCTGTTATCTGTAAACTACAATACATTTTTTAAAAAGAAGAAGGTATATCTGATTGAAATGCCCCTATTCCAACAGCATAATCACATTAAAATAACGTGTTCATCTATGAGCTGAACGTAGTTAAGAAGTAGAAGGCAAAAGGGAGCTGTCTCCATTATCTCTTTAGGTATGCTTAGGCTGTTCTCCATTTGCAACTGTGGGGTCTACAAGGCAAAGAGTGGAACCCAAAATAACCTTCAGGCCCAGGTGAAATGGAAACATTCATCTCAAACATCAATTTTTTTTAACCTATATGATTAATTTTCATATCATCAAAGAGGGATGCTTATTATACAGTTGGTTTTCACCAAAGTCTGGCACAAGAAAACCAAAAGGTAAAAATACCACACCGGAAACCCTGAAAACATCCCCTGCCACAGGTCTTCCCCATCCCCAAGCTGAGTGCCCATCTGGAGCTCCCCATAAGAGCCCTCCTCCCACTCTGAATCCCTAGCTTGCCAGCAGAGCCCAAGAAAGTACAACATGAGCTCTCACCTGAGTAACTTCGCATCAAAGACCATTTCTACATCATGCAGGACAGATGGGATGTATTTCAAAGCCGCCACCTAGGTGGAATGTAAAATACATATAAGTGATCCTCACATCAACAAGTCTGTGCTGGCAAAGAGGGTACTTTGCAGCATGACACAGATCAGAGGAGAATGATTCTGCATCCTGGACATTACAATATTGATGGAAGCCTCTGTATGGACATCAAAACATAAGCACGGACTTCTTTGTATACAAAAGTGAAGTCACAACTCCTGTCTTCAAGGAGGCAATAACATAGACTAGAATGACCACAGACCTTGTAGTTCTATAGATCTGCAAATTCTGTTTCCACACCTTATTAGCCATGAGGCTTTGGACAAAACACTTAACCTCTCAGACATTTACTTATCTGTGAAATAGACAAAGTTATATGTATTCTGAAGGATTGCGAAGATTAAAAATAATATATGTGAGGCATCCAACAGAGCACCAGGCCTATTTTAGTGCTCAATAAATGGTGACATATTATTAATGGAAGATGGTGTACTTGAATTGCTTTGCTGGTGACAAGTTATTCATATTTCCTCTCCCTGGCCACTTTGTGAATAATAGTGGGTATGTTTTGGTCCACTAGCTGGGTTGGGAAAGCTGAGCATTGTAGTGGATTGCTTCCTCTCTTAAAGTAACTGATGCATCCAGAGATAGGAGCCACACTCACCCCCTGCATAGCAACACCACTTGCTAAGCAGCAGGGCAGACTACAGTTTCAGTAGAAAGAACTGTAAGTCACATGAATGGAAAATAATGTGTAAGGGTCTAATGGAAGTATGCATTTTTTATTTATTTTTCTGTATATTTTAGGTGTTCTGTTACTAACATGTATCACCCTTTAACAATCAGACTCAAGTAAAAAATCGTGAAAATTACTTTCCTAAAGAAAATCTTCCTCCTAGCCATATACAACTGAGATTCTTAACATAAATAATGATTATGATTATTCTCTAAGAATTTACAACAGGGCAGAAGCTGTACCAAAGACTGCTAATAGATTAGCTTATTAGTTACAACCCTGCAAGGGAAACATTATTTGCATAAATAAGGAATCTCTGGTGCATCACAATTAAATAACTAGCCTGGGGTTGAAAAGTTAGCAAGTGGAGAGCCAGGATTCAAATTCAGGCAGGCTGCACTTAGAGCCATTTCTCGTAACCCTTAAGCTACATGGTCACCTTACTCAAATAGCAACCCTCTCTCTCTCTATGCCTTCATCCCTTTTTTAATCTTGTTTATAATTTTTAAATTTTAAAAAGTCAATACTCTATGTTTGATGTAAAAACATTCATACCAGATAAGGCATGAGGGTGAAAATTGTTTCCAAAGTCCTATATCGCATCCTCCTCTGGGTCCCAATCTCTCCTCCCCAGAGAGGGGAGGACCACTGTTAGTTAACATTGTGATGAATTTCCTTCCAGACTGCTTTCTATGCATGAACCTACATGTGCATGTGTGTGTATGTAAATATACATGTCTGCAACTTGCTTTTTGTAGTTAACTGCACACCAGTGGCATCCTGCCTTCTCATAGAGTGGATTCTTTTCATTTCTAACCACTGCCCAGCACTGCTCAAATGGGTACATTATACCTTCTTCAGCCCACCCCTGATCATAGGCTCCATGCTATTGTCAATTTTTATTATAAATACGTGGTAAAAAAAATACTGTTTGTATATCTGTAAAGATCCTTGTAGGATAGATTGTTCAAAGAAGAATTAGTGCATGAAAACATATAGACATATACATTTTAGGAGAGATTGTCAATTACCTTGGAAGATACAGTAACCAATTTCCTTTAATTGACCATTTCCCCATAACCTTGCTACCATTGGACATACAATCTTGTAGATTTTTGTTGATCTGATGTGTAATTTGCAACTTTTTGGTGGCTAGTATGGTTGAGCATCTTTTCCATATTTATTGAACATCTATATTTACTAAATTGCATGTTCATATCCTTTTTCTATTCTTATTTTGGGTATTTTTTTCTTATTGGTTTTTAAAATTTTTCATGCATCATTAATAGTAACCCTTTTACAGTAACATATTTTACAAGAATTTTCTCCCACTTATCCTGTTGTTCCATTGCATAGAAAGATTTTAATTTGCAGGCTGTCATATTTGTCAGACTTTTACTTTATGGTTATTGGATTTTGTATCTAGAGATTTATTCTTTATTCTTTTAAATGTAGATTATAAGATAAAACAACATTCCAAAGCCATTGTCTCTGAAACTATGTTCTATTGGAGCCTCTTGTCCCATAGGATGGTGCTAGGTATTCTGTAGGGGAAAAGGGTTCGCAATCAAAGAATTTTGGAAAGCATTGGCTTAAGCAAAGATAAACCAGTGAGTTTTTTTTTAACTATAGAACTTTTCATAATTTTAATATGCTAAGAAGCATTATGACATTCCTCCAGGCAGTCACAGTATCCAGTACATTCCAACCTAGTTGGTCAAGGACCATCTTTATCAGGAAACATCAAGCAGATGTAGCAAAATCAGATGACTGCAGGGCTAGACAAGCAACAGAAAGAAGTGATATGGAATGAGGACAGGGCAGTGGGAAGTGATGAGGTGTGTGGATTCCATTCTCTCCCTAAAGACTCAGTTATTCCTATCAATTGTTTTAACACTTTGATTTAACGCTTTGATTTGCTAGACAAATCAAACACAAATGCAGGCTGCATTTCTCCCAGAGGCTACTAATTTACAACCTCTGAAGTCTAAAGGGATACCATATACTGAGGCATGTGCCCTGAAAAGAGGCTAGTCCAAGCATTTCATTTTTTTTTTTTTTTTGAGACAGAGTTTCACTCTTGTTGCCCAGGCTAGAGTGCAATGGGGTGATCTCAGCTCACTGCAAACTCCACCTCCCAGGTTCAAGCGATTCTCCTGCCTCAGCCTCCTGAGTAGCTGGGATTACAGGCGTGTGCCACCACGTCCAGCTAATTTTGTATTTTTAGTTGAGATGGGGTTTCACCACGTTGGTCAGGCTGGTCTTGAACTCCTGACCTCAAGTGATCTACCCGCCTTGACCTCCCAAAGTGCTGGGCTCACAGGCATGAGCCACCATGCCTGGCCTGGTGCAAGCACTTCTAGCAAACTGTTTCTTCATCCACTCTTAGGCCAAAGAACATACAGCCCTCAGGGCCCTGAGCTCTCCACCCAGCACCGCATGAGCCTAGGCTCATTTGTTCACTCCTTGAGCCTCAGCCTCTTCATGATGGTGTGTGCTGAGTTTCTTCCCATCTCATTACTCAAGCACTGGCCATCATACCCCACACCTGGACAGATTATAACGCGTACTCATCATAATTAAGGCCAAAGTGAGAAACATGCACAGAAACAAACCCCTGTGGGGAAAGGCAGGACTTCAGTGTCTGCTGCGAGTTGCTGGCTTTCAAGAGCTGCATGTCATTCCAGGACTTTGGAGGGACACGATGGAACCGCAGTTATCAGGAGTCTCCACAGCCCGCACACTTACATGCTTTAGCTATTAGCAGGCAGCTGCACAGGCTGCGGGAGGGGCTGCTCAGAAGAAGCCCATCTTCCCAGCCTCCCACTCCAGGTAGGCCATACAGTCAAATGAAGCAAGTAGCTGTCACCTGAGTCTCAGAGGGTTTTAGCAACATGACAGGGGAGTATTAAATTTGCATCTAGTCCAGGCGGCCTCACAGAGAAGTGGCAGGCCTGTGGTTCTTTTTCCCAATGGGGACAGCCCATCTCTGCCTACTGAAGTTTGCCAAGACTGTTGTCACGGTCAGCATTTGTCAGAGGACTTCTGTCTATGGTCTTGCCCTGACACACTGGGGCAGGTGACAACAGGCAAGTTCAGGAGGTGCCAGCACCAAACGCTCCCAGAAGGCAGAGCACCTCAACCATAAGACCTATGGGAGACTCCATATGTTACATGTTTCTATCCTGGGAACTGAGTTTCACTCTTCTATTATTATTATTGTTTTTAATTTATTTATTTATTTTGAGACGGAGTCTCACTCTGTCGCCCAGGATGCAGTGCAGTGGCACAATCTCTGCTCACTGTAACCTCCACCTCCCAGGTTCAAGCAATTGTCCTGCCTCAACCTCAGGAGTAGCTGGGATTATAGGCACCCGCCACCACGCCCGGCTAGTTTTTTATATTTATAGTAGAGACAGGATTTCACTATGTTGGCCAGTCTGGGTTCAAACCCCTGACCTCAGGTGATCCACCCGCCTCAGCCTCCCAAAGTGCTGGGATTACAGGCTGGAGCCACCGTGCCCAGCCGTTCTATTATTTTTACTCTCATTATTACTACCATTCTTCATAAAATAATATTGTATCATTATTACTTTCATTCCATAGTCTATATTCCTATATTGTGTATAATACTTAAAACACACATACATATATATACCTATACACATAAACATACATGTGATGCATATACACACATACTCATATAATACGATTATGAATTATAGGGTTTTTAAGTGGGAATCATGGCTGGGCATGGTTGCCCATGCCTATAATCCCAGCACTTCAGGAGGCCAAGGGATTGATCACTTGAGCCCAGGGTTTCAAGACCAGCCTAAGCAACATGGCAAGACTTAATCTCTACAAAATATATATATGTAAAAAAAATACCCAGGCATGGTGGCACAGGCCTGTGATCCCAGCTACTCAGGAGGCTGAGGCAAGAGGATTGCTTCAACACAGGAGCTAGAGGCTACAGTGTTCTGTCTTTTGCCACTGCACTCCAGCCAGGGTGACAGACAGAAACATTGTCTCAAAAATAAATAAATAAATAAATAAATAAATAAATAATAAAAAATAGGAACCATTATTGGAAACTGTTTACATGCCAAATACTTTACATGCATGATCTCATTTAATTCTTTCAACTACTCTATGAGTGGAAAATGTTAATCCCATTTTACCAATGTGAAAACTATGGCATGGAGAAGAAGTTAAATAACTTGCCAGAAGCCATGTAGCTAATGAGAAGCAAAGCAAGGATGTGTACCCAGCTCTGTCCTGCTGGCTGTTATCCAGTACGTCCACTACTGCCTGTCATGCTGTAGGAAAGGCATTCTATCTCGGCAAGTGGGGAGGATTCAGCAGGGGCGAGAAGGCTAATTTGGAGGAGGAAGTGGAAAAAGAGCTTCCCCCACCCTTTGTAAGAATAGTTTTTGAAAATAAAGTGCAGTTCTTCTGACATTCCTTAAGTTAAGGATCCTCATTACCACATCTATAGGGGGTTGCAAGAATGGCCAACAGGAAAATGCTATCTTGCTAATTAGGTGATCATGTGGCACTGAGTGAATTTCCTAGATTAAGGGTCCACTCTGAACCCCTCTGCCAAAGGCCAGGTACATCCCTCAAGAAGAGAATCAAACCCAAAGCAACCAAGAGTGGTTTTACTGTCCCAGAGGTAAATCAAGGGAGGACACTTGAGATCATTGCTATCTAGATGGACTTCACCAGAATTAGAAAACGGCAAGTGTTTAAACATAACAACAAAAATCAAAACCAGACTAGGATGCCTCCAAACTCAGAGGGACTTGTCTGCTGAGTGCTTTCAGGCTTTCCTGTTCTCTCTTTCACTCTTTCTCTCTCTCTCTCCTCCCTTTCTCTCTCTTTCAAACAGAGTGACCAGTGTTGGTGCCAGTACACTCAGACTTCTGGCCAAAATGAACATGTCTTGAAATGATACACAGTTATGCAAGAATGCTACCAGATAGCTTCCTCATTCAAGAGCCACAGGCATTCAAAACAAGTACTATTCCCCTCAATTTTTAATCCTTTTATTTTAGCCAAGCAGTGGATGATCAAGGTCCATAGAAACTGGAAAAACGATGTCACAGGAATTCCCCATAGCATGACCATAAGAAGGCAGTTTCCTTTGAGATGCTGAGTTGTCCCCGAGGAAAATAAATGCAGCTCTCTCAGGACATTCAGTCTCATCACTAATCTCTCAGGCAAAGTGAAGGGAAAGGAACCAACAGGTTCCAGAATATGTGTGTTTCCATCCTTTCTGTAACTCAACTTTATGGGGTCCCCTGAGTCTTATCCACCTGGGGTTTTGCCAGAAGACTTTAGTCTTAATGAAATTGCGCTATTGTTTGGTGGTGATTAAGAACTCAAACTCTGGACTTACACAGCCAAAATTTAAATCCAAGATATACTAATTTTCAGCCAAGGTAAGTTACTTAACCTCTTTAAGCCTCATTTTCCTCATTTGGAAAGCAGAGATAAAGCCCATTTGTCTTTGCATATAGTCTTTATCTCCGCTTTATACCAAATGTTCTCGCTCATAAGTGGGAGAGCAAGAATAAGAACACAGGGTGGGGAACAACACACAGGGGAGCTGTCAGGGGGTGGGGGGGGGTGAGGGCAGGGAGAACATCGGGACAAATAGCTGATGCACGCAGGGCTTAAAACCTAGATGACAGGTTGATAGGTGCAGCAAACCACCATGGCACATGTATATCTATGTAACAAACCTGCACATTCTGTGCAGGTATGTCATGGAACTTAAAAAGACTATTTGTCTTATAAGGTTGTTGTTACAAAGATCAATTGAGCTAACAATATATGTAAAGCTTTTAGCTCAACACTTGACACTTAATAAACACTGAAACATCAAACTAAACAAAATGATAGAAGTAATTATTTTATTTTTAGATAGAGTCTTGCTCTGTCGCCAGGCTGGAGTGCAATGGCGCAATCTCGGCTCACTGCAACCTCCACCTCCCAGGTTCAAGCAATTCTCCTACCTCAGCCTCCCGAATACCTGGGATTACAGGCACCCGCCACCACGCCCAGCTAATTTTTGTATTTTTAGTAGAGGCGAGATTTCACCATGTTGGCCAGGCTGATCTCAAACTCCAGACCTTGTGATCCACCCTCCTCGGTCTCCCAAAGTGCTGGGATTACAGGCGTGAGTCACGGCGCCCGGCAGTATTTATTTATTTATTTTAAGAGACAGGGTCTTGCTTTGTCACCCAAGCTGAAATGCAGTGGCATTATCACAGCTCACTGCAGCCTTGATCCCCTAGGCTCAAGTGATCTTCCTGCCTCAGCTTCCTGAGTAGCTGTGACCACAAGCATACACCACTAGGCATGGGCAGGCCCCCATGCCTAGCTAATTTTTTTTTTTTTAATTTTTTGTCGAGACAGGGTCTCACTATGTTCCCCAGCCTGGTCTTGAACTCCTAGGCTTGAGAGATCCTCTCACCTCAGCCTCCTAAAGTGCTGGGATTACAGGCATGCACCATTGCACCCAGCCATATTCATTCATTCATTCATTCAGACAGTAGATATTTGAGCACTTTCTGTGTGGCAGCCATTGTTCCAGACATTGGGGATATAAATGGCAGAGTCCCCTGCCCTCCTGGACACTCCAGGGGCTTCATTAGCATAAGTGGCATTCACAGTGGCCAAGAGAGCATGTCATTCAATACAAGCTGTTCATTTAATTCCACTTGTGCCATCAAATTGGAGCATTATGAAATACCATGGATCGTAAGGAGAGTGGGGCAAATTGGCCTGCACAACATCGCCATATGTCTTTTACTAACTTTTGAGCTCTATCTAATTTACATGTGTGTGGTGTTGACCCTCTGAATCTGCCATCAGTTTTATCAACCACGCTCACAGGGCTGGCACACACAAGGACTTCTGAGCATGTGGTCCATTGTTGAAAACACATGGGAATCCCTGGCCTAAACCTTACCTGTGGCATAGAGAATAGTGCTTTGGAGGCAGATGACCTGGATGGATTCAAATCCTAGCTCCAGCACTATGAATACATGTAATTTGGGATGAACTATTTAACTTTATGAGCCTCCTATGAACACTGAGGATAGTGGTTCCTTGAAGATCTCTGGTGGGATTTAAAACACTGTATATGAAGATCCCAGTTCCATGTCTGGAACATGGTAGGTACCTGATCAGCAGAAAGTGTTTTTATTGCTCCTTTCCTCTGAACTACTGGCTTTCAATTCTCCGTGGTCTTGGTGAGCTGCTGCCACGCCGACTCAGAACAATAAGAAAAACCACAGAAAGCAACTCACAAAAGCTGGGTGAGCATTAGAGATGGGCAATAACTTGCTTAGGTTTCAGAGTTAACAGTGGACACAGCTGAGATTTGAACCAGATCTGCTCTACTCACAATTAAATTGGTCACAAAAGAGGGTTTCCAACATAAGCCGCTACCCAGCTGGATGTGAAAAGTTTGAACCAGGAACATCAACCACGGGCATTCATATCCTCTGCACCCAGCCAGCACTTATGGCTGATGTTACTAATAGCTCACACCCCATGCAGGCTCAGAATCAAGACTCCGGTCACCTCGTACTATTTCACTAGCTGAAACTTTCCCATGCATGTTTTCATACAGTCACTTCTTGTGGGTTTATTCTCTTAAGAATGTATATTTATATTTCTTGATCTAACTGAATAACTGAACATCCTAACACTATTTAGTCTTGTGTAACAAAATTAGGAACACAAATGCCCGCCTTCTGAATCCTCACTAGTAAAATACCCAAAAAGCTTCTGTTTTATGATGAAGTAAAGGAGGAAGAGGTATAAATGATTAAAAAATGATTTAAACCAAACTATGTAACAGGCTTTATACTTCAGGTTTCACATATATTACTTTATTTCACCCCCTCAATAATCCCCTAAATTACACATTTGGCCTTCCATGTTACAGAGGATAAACTGAGGCCGAGAAAGCTGAAACGATGTGCCTAAGGCTACATGTCCACATCTCTCTGGTCAAAAGCCAAAGCTCCCTCTCCTGCAGCAAATCTCAAAGTCTATAGAAGAGTCCTTGTGTGGGATTTGCTGACATCACATGGGCTTGACACCTCTGCCCTCATCATTAAGTTCTCTTCATATGGTACTGCTCTCCATATTAGAATGTAACTTTAAATTCTTCTTCGATAACTTTTCAATAGCTATGTAAATAGGTGGAAAGCATCATTGGTTTTATGAAAATCCCTGAGGCTAAATTTGACCCTTAGAGCAAATTGAAAAAGAGATGAAGCCCCTTTCTATGTCTCTGGAGTGGAAATCTATGAGAACAAACCAACAAACCTGGCCCAAATTATAAGGAAAGCAAGGTATTTCTAACACAGCTACCCAGACAAGAACCACCTGGGTAAAAAGACTTATGCCAAAACCATAATAATCATATTAGTTCACTGCATTTGCATAGCATTTTATAATTTGTTCTTTTGCAGACAATGTTTATTTGATCCTCACCCACACAATGAAATCTTATAGATGAGGAAACTGAGGCATTGAGAAGTTAAGTGACCAATGTAAGGTCATGCAGCTGATAAAGAAGGGCATTCCTATTGACCAGGTGTCTTGAGAGCGGCAAATGCTCACTTGTTCCTCTTTGCTTCCTTTTTTTCTCCTTCTTTCTTTCCCTGCCTTCTTACTGTCTCTCTCCCTTTGTTCCTTCCCCAAATATATGTGTAGCCCATCGTAGGGAAACAGGTGCTGAAATTAGAAAGAGTAGCTCCAAAATTACCTATTCCCTCTTCCATTCTTCTCTCCATGGCACCTCAACTTCTTTGGGGCATCAGCGCCTTTCTCCTCTGGGATGAGAAACTGGCTTTATCTATTGGCTCATCATTTCTGCTCTTTCACACTTCAGCTTCCTTGGAGCTGATTTCACACCTGATTCAACCCTATAGCCTCTCTCATGGCAATTGGTCATCCTTGGCTCTCTCCAGATATCCCAACACTGTGTGGCTACTCACTAGAAGCTCAGTTGCTTCCAGTGTGATACAGATGCAGTGGCTGGCTGGGGCTCCTGCCGCATCTCCTCATGCTGTCCCCTGCTCCTGTTATCCCCTTAGTCAGAGAATGATGAAGGGGTTAGGAATATGAGGAATACATTTTTTGTTTGTTTGCTTTTTAACCAGGAGGGGGTAAGGGAAAAATAAAAACTAGAAGACTGCAGTCCCAACTAATCCATAGGAAGACATCCATCCCCAGCAGGGACTAAAGAAACAGTATAAAGAACAGGCTAATGCCGTGGTAGTGAGTATGGTCTTTAGAGCCAGGCAGGAACAGATATGAATCTGAGCCATCCCACTTCTCAGCAATGGTGCCTGGAGGAAGCTGTTTCAACTGTCTGAGCTTCAATTCCCTCATCAATAAAATAGAAACCTTAAGACGTATCCCTAGTGTTATACATTAATTAATTCAACAGATATCTATTAAGCATCAACTAATAAATGATTATTAGTTGAAGACACACTAATCATTGTGTTTTCAACACTCAGAATAATCCTAATATTAGGATTAGAGAACTCATATGATTATTATGGTTTTGGCATAAGTCTTTTTACCCAGGTTCTTCTTGTCCGGGTAGCTGTGTTAGAAATGCCTTGTTTTCCTTGTGATTTGGGCCAGATTATGCTGGTTTCTTCCCATAGATTTCCACCTCAGAGACATAGAAAGGGGCTTCATCTCTTTTTCAATTTGCTCTAAGGGCCAAATTTAGCCTCAGGGATTTTCATAAAACCAATGATGCTTTCCACCTATGTGTATGGCTGTTGAAAAGTTATCAAAGAAGAATTTAAAGTTATGTTCAAATATGGAAAGCAGTACCATGTGAAGAGAACTTAGTGATGAGGGCAGAGGGGTGAAGCCCATGTGATGTCAGCAAATCCCACACAAGGACTCTTCTATAGACTTTGAGATTTGCTGCAGGAGAAGGAGCTTTGGCTTTTGACCAGAGAGATGTGGGCATGTAGCCTTAGGCACATCGTTTCAGCTTTCTGAGCCTCAGTTTATCCTTTTATAACATGGCAGGCCTAATGTGTAATTTAGAGGATTTTTGAGAGGGTGAAATAAAGTAATATATGTGAAGCATGAAATATAAAGCCTGTTACATAGTTTGGTTTAAATCATTTTTAATCATTTATACCTCTTCCTCCTCTATCTCATCATAAAACAGAAGCTTTTTGGGTATTTTACTAGTGGATTCTAGAGGAGGGTATTTATGTTCCTAACCTTGTTACATAAGACCAAATAGTGTTAGGACCTTCAGTTATTCAGTTAGATCAAGAAATACAGATACACATTCTGAGGAGAATAAATTTTAGAATTATCAGGATTATTCTGAGTGTTGAAGACACATATGAATAAGATAGTTGCCTTCCCCAACACACAGGTTTCCACTGTTTGTTAAATTAAAGGAAGCCATCAGCAGAGTGGTTCTCAAACTTTGCTTCACAGTAAAATCACCTGGGGAATTTTTTAAATCCCCTGGCCTGGGTCACACTCCATACCAATTAAATTAGAAAGTCGGGTGGTTGTAACCAGGCATCAGAATTTATTAAAGATCCCCACACAATTCTAACGTGCACAGTCTGGACCCATAGCATGAGAAGCAAACATTCCCCAGGCTGACTTCCACCTCTGCTTCCTCACCTTCATTCTAGCTAAACACTAGTACGTCATTAATTCTAACCAGTGCCTGGGCATCTCAGGCATAATGGATCTTTAAATTAGCATCTAAAAGAATAATATTGATTTAAAAAAAAAAAGCAGCAGCAATCTGCATTAACTCATTGATTTAGATAAATGTGTTTGGGCTTCGTTTATTCACAGCACATCAGGCACTCCCAGCTTCCCCCACCCGCACCCCCAGTGCCTGCAAGTGCATTCTGTGAAAGTTCTGAAGTCTCCCTGAAACAGCCTCTTCATTCAGACTCTTAGCTGCTCAACTCCTTCCCAAACACAGGGATAGGCCTCACAGTTTCTCAAAGATTTGCAGTCTTCACAGATTAGCATCGTGGACCACACATGAGAGGACTCATTCTCTCCAAAGCACCTCTTGTTTATTGAGGAGCCCTCTTTAATCCCAAAAGGGTCCCTGACTTTATGTTGTCGAGAATTAAACTCAGTTTAAGAGACTGCTACCATGAACTGTTCTCTCCATTGGAAGTGGATCCGGTTTGACTAATTTCCTTCTAGGTAACAAAAATTTCAGAGCTATTTTAAAAGAAGGCACTGCTAGCTTCATGGGTAACAAACAATAAATACGTTTTCTCTTGTCCTGAGGAGCCCTTGGTCTTTAACCTAGTGGCCAGCCCAGGCCTTCACTGGATACAAGTTTGCATATTTAAGTAAAAGAAGATATTATCTTAGCATGCTGTTATTTACTGGATGGCCAAGGAGAAGATAGATTTTATTGTAGCATAAACCAACCTGCAAAAGGATGGTAGTTTTGTATTGACTTTTCATCAGATTGTTGATGGATTCAAAGAGCCGTCTCATGGATTCTTCAAACTCCATCTGTTCTTTGCCTTCATAAAGCCTGAAACAAGATACATCTGGGTCATTTCTCAAGCTAACAGACAATACTTTTAAAAGTGTGTACTAGGCACAAACTTCATTTAAAATTTAAAACAAAAAGGAGTGGGAGGTGGGGACTTCAAGGAGGAGAGGATTCTGCAGATGCTGCGTGCATCATTCTCTCAAGGGAAAAGCCTCATATCCACCATACCCAACAGAAACCCACCAACTAACAGGGCATACACCTTCTGCCGTATTTTTTTAAACCCCAAGGAAACCCCAAAGGAAGGAAATTTGTCTGAGCTGAGGAGACATTAATAATTTCACCCTTCTGCAAGAATCAGAGGAAAGATTGTGATCATCAGATTTTCAAAGTAACTTGGAAATATCAAGGAGAAATATTTTCAAATGCACTGCCATTTCCGCCACCCATTGTCTGTTTGTCGGATGAGCCCCAACAACCTGTTTTATGTCAGGGGCCATTGCTTTCCCTTCCTTCATTTCAGGAGTTAACTTATTACCTTAAGCCTTTGTTTCTCTGATTATAAAATCCCTACACTGTAAAACATGTAAACCTAACTGAAATACATAACTTAGAAGGTGAGACTCCTCATTAATCCAACCAGGGAGGTTAGCTATTGTCAAAGTTTTAATGGGTATCCTTCTAGGGACTTTCAATGCCTATAATAATATACAAGTGTAAAATTGCATAGAACCAGTCCCTCATGTAAAACCAGTCTCCAGGTACCTGCCTGTTATCAACCCCTTCCCCCAGCCTTAGGAGTGTTGCTCTGCTCAAGGCTTCTCCAAACAAATGTTTATCACCAACCGTGAAATATCCGCAGCCTAATCTGTGGCATCCAGTGTGAAATGCACAGAAGAGTGCTCCTGTCTCCAATTCAGATAAAGAGAGTCTCTCCTGTCACAGCCCTACACGCTCAAAAAGCTCCTCAGTGTGCCCGGGCCTTGGCAAAGGTGCTTTCCTAGATAAAGCACTGACACACTTAACAGGTTTGTTTGCTCCTCAACCACAGAGCAGGCCAGCCAGTCACAGCCCCCTCAGCACTGTCTCTGCAAAATCCCCATCCTTCCCCTCACCCTTCTTTCCCGTCTTTCTACTTCATTTCTGTGGCTTTAAGTGTGTGCCTCTTCTGTTTATCTTCTTGAGTGTCAATCACTCTCTTTCTCTCCTTGGGTTTCTATGTCTTTATATCTAGTTCTCTCCCCACCCTCCCCCTGACTTCATCACTCTCTTTCTGTCTTAGTCACTCTCTGTCTCTCTTTCTTTCCTTCTTTTTCTAACTAACCCCCTCTCTAAAGCCCTCCTGAAGTCAGAAGCATAAGTGAAGTCAGTGCTGAATGTTCCCGTTGGTTATGGGGACTCAGCAATTGCTGCTGACCTTCTGGGTCCAGCTCAAGGTCACAGAGACAAGGAGTGTTGAAGTGGCTACGTGCCTAGGGCTCCTCATTCTCTTCCTCTCCCTAGTTCCATAGCTCCCTCTGCTAACTCACCCCCACCCCGGCTTTTACACAGCTCACTCCTGAGCCTTCTTGTTCTGCCACCAGAGATAACTGCCACAGCATATATATTCTAGAGTCAATCTGCTTTGGGTTCAAATCCCCACTGCCCGGCAGGCACTTTATTACAAACAACAGCAAACATTACAGAGCACTGCTCTGCTCCAGGCACCTTCCTGGATGCCTGTGAAATCACTCACTCCTCACAACCACAGCATGAGGCAGGCACTAGTATCACACCCACTTTACAAATTAATGAAGCTCACGCAACATGCCAGAAAACACCAGGCCAGTGAGTGTCAGAGCCAGAATTCAAAACTGGCCATCAGCTCCTGAGCCCAGCCTCTCAGTCTCTTTGCACACTGCTTTGCTCTACACTTTACTGCCCCCTTAATTCCCACAAGCCTTGGGCAAAGTGTAAACCATAACAGTACTGTGTCAGAGGATTGCGAGGATCAACCCACATGGGAAGTTCTCAGCATGGGTGCCTGGCCCCAGCAGATGTTAGCGCCTGCCGTACTGTTGTCAGTTGGAAGAGTAGCATGATTATCATTGCTCTCATCCCCACTTCACAGATAAGGAAACAGAAAAACTCTCAAGAGGTTGAAACTTGCCCAAATGTCATCAAAGTAGAAAAGATGGGACCAGAGTACCCTGTCCTTGACCTGGCTGAAAAGAGAGGATCCTAATCCAGCATGGTGGTGGTCAGCCTCCCCATGAGATCACACTGTTTGTCTTTCTTTGTGCCCACAGCCACCAGCAATCCCTAATGGACTGTCCACTCATCATGCCTTTTGCCTTGAAGTCTGTTACTCTTCCATGAGGCACAGCTGCCTGAAAACGCTGAATGAATTCCATCACCATGGCTGCTACTGGTCTAGAGTATTGAACCTGCCCACTGTGTCTCCCACCCACATTTAACATCCCGACCTGGCTTCCCAATCATTTACAGACACATGGGCTCTTTCTGTAGGGTGTACCTGTGTGTGTGGTGGGGAGTTCTGCCCAGGTCCTCCTGGGAACCACCTGCTCCTCCAACAAGGCTGGGCTCCAGCAACACTTTCCTGCTGGTTGGCCTGTCCAATCCTACCCTCCATAACTGAATGGCCCCCTGGCAGTTCTCCTTCTGGAATTTGTCATTTTTAAGAAAGAAACATAAAAACAGGCTTTTTTGGAGTGATCTTAATGGCAGCACTCCAGGGGGAAGGGTCATGAGCTCCTGCTGAAGAGATCCCTGAGGCTGTCCTGGTTCCCAACTTCTCTGTGTCTCATTATTTAACTTTTTTTTTTTTGATTTTATGAGCTGCACAAATATCTTTAAAATAAACTCTCCTTTTTGCCTAGACTAGCCCTGGCTGGTTTTGTTGCAAACCCTCACTAGTCAGAACTTGGCAGAGTAGAGCCAGCTTCTTCCTGCAGCTCCCCTGAGTTTGAAACCAAGAGCTGCTGGGAAGTCCGGTGAGCATTTAGTTCTTGCTCTTATTGTACAGATGAAGAGACTCAGGGCCAGAGAGGGCAAGTGACTTGGCTTCACCATCTTATAAATATTATGTGACTGAACTGGAAGGAAAAAAGATTTTTAGTCTGTAAGACTAAACCAAGGCTCTGCTCAACTTTAAATTTTGTAGGAAACTAAATTTGATTTTCACGAGAAAGAGAGCAGTGATCTGCTCTAGGTCACAGACTGTGCCAATGATATAGCTTGAACCAGAACCTGGTATTCTTCTTCTATGTTCTCAGCATCTAACAGGGGAAGGCAGATAACACAAATCCCAGGAAGCCATGATTAGGGGCCTCCACTCCAGTGGGAATCCAATCTGCTCCTTGCTATTCATGTCACAAGTTAAGGGTCTTGACACCACACTTGAGTCCAGGGATGAAAATATATCCTGCACCTGCCTAAGTCTTATAAAGGATAAAAAAACAATTCTAGGAGGAAAATGGGGGAAAAGTACATATATATATATAATAATATAAATCTTAAATTTATAATTTAAATATAAGTTTATACAAATTTAAATATAAATCATAAATTATATATTATCTATATGTCTTAAAATATAAATATATATATCTAAAATATATATACATATTTTAAAATATTTACTTTCTTTTTAGCTGAAGAATGGCTGGGAATGGGAAGAAGAGTCACAGGACATGACTACAGCTGGGAAGAAGAAAGGAAAGAAAAATCTATTTCATATAAAGCGCTTTGCTATCAAGCCAGACTCCTCCATATACTTGCTGTGTGGCCTCAGTTAATTACTTTTCTGAAATTTTACTTTTATTCCTGATAAAAAGGAGTCCTAATGCTCATTCAAATGGTTATTTTGAGGTGAAAAACATGAGATAATTATTTTTAAGTGCTTAATATTGTAGCTGGCATTTAATCAGCGTTAAGTAAACATTATAAATTCTTGTTCTTGATTCCTAAGCACAGAAGTGATTATTTGGGCAAACTCTCTGATCTGAGCATAAGAGGAATATTTTGTAAGATACAGGGTCTCAATATGTTGCCCAAGCTGGCCTCAAACTCCCAGACTCAAGTGATCCTCCAGCCTCAGCCTCCTGAGTAGCTGGGATGACAGGCACAAGCCACCAATGCCCAGCTATAAAAAGAAATATTTCAATTAAGGAGTGACTAAGGAAAAAAATTCATAAGGGTTTTAGATTACAAGGAAGAAATAACCTGATGACAGCAGGGTGATTAAGCATTAAGCATTGTGGGACCCCCCCTTGAAAAGCTTGAAAAGAAAATAAAAATGCCTCATCTGTCTGCGATTCTTCAGATGTGGCCTTGAAGTCAAGGGCACAGCAGATGTAGCTTCCAGGTTCTTTTTTAGCGCTTGATCTCTGTTACAGCTTCAGGATGTAAACATTTTTTCTGGCCTAGAACGCCTGGAAAGATACTTCAGAAACCAGCAGATTTTGCCAGGGAACAAATTATTGAAGGGCCCTAAGGCCCTGACCACAAGGAAAACTGGAACAACCTGCAAGGCACTGTTCTGGGGCATGCAAGTCGACCACAGCCAGCACTCCGGCTCCCAGGGCTTGGATAAATATAGCGATGCTCGGCTTGCATGTGATTCATTAAGGAGACACTGTGCACAGCTGAGCACTCACTAAATGCAAATGGAGCCCCATATGTTGTGTACAATGCTCTGTACCACCTCTTTCACGCAGGTACATAAAGCCTCAGCCCAAAACTGAGATGCCAACCTCAGGCTAGCATCCCAGGGGAGCAGAATCTAACCAAAGCAACCTCAGGATGCAGAAAGCAAGTGGGAAGATTCCCTTGAGAATCAGGGGTGGAGGGAGAGCCTCCTAACACCCTGACCCTCTTTTATTTTCTGTACCTCAGTCACTTCCACATTTATAGGCATCCATCCCTCCGATTCCTTCTCTGACTCTTCGAAGCAATAGAGAAGTTTAGGCAGCACTGCCTGGGTTCCTAGCCTTGCTCTGTCGCTTATTAGTTGGGTGACCTTGGCTAAGGTACCTAATCTCTCTGAGACTCAGATTTCTCATTAGTAAAATTGTATTAGCCCCATAAGGTTGCTCGAAAATCAAACAATGCACATAAAGCCATTAGCAGAGTCTAGTACATAGTCAACAACAGATGTCAGCTACTATTACATCATATACAGTTTTTCTTCCGGATACACCCATTTTTGCTTCCTGAACTGTAAGAAGAAAGAAATCAGCATTTTCATAAAGACAACTACCATTTACTGAGCACTTACTACATGCCAGGCACCACACTGCAGATAAAAATGAGTAAAAGGGCTGGGCGCAGTGGCTCACACCTGTAATCCCAGCACTTTGGGAGGCCGAGATGGGCAGATCACGAGGTCAGGAGATTGAGACCATCCTGGCTAACACGGTGAAACTCCATCTCTACTATAAAAAAAATATTTAAAAAATTAGCTGGGCAGGGTGGTGGGCGCCTGTAGTCTCAGCTACTTGGGAGGCTGAGGCAGGAGGATGGCGTGAACCCGGGAGGCAGAGCTTGCGGTAAGCTGAGATCGCACCACTGCACTCCAGCCTGGGAGACAGAGCGAGACTCCGTCTCAAAAAAAAAAAAAAAAAAAAAAAATAGTAAAAGATCCTGGGAGATAAGTGGCAGCTAAATAATTTATGACCCCAGGAACAAGAGCAAGTCAGTGGGTAGGGAGGCATCCGTTATCCAGGGGATGACGCTATGGGACTGTTGGAGGGAAGCTAGAAGGCTGGCTCTACGCTTTTTCTATTCAAGCTCTAAAACCAAGGTGACTTGGCTGGTGTTCCTTCCCCTGAGCCAATAATTTGCCCTATTCAGATAAGTGTAAATTAGTGACTTTACAAAAAGAACCATTGAATCTTTCCTGGTTTCAAAAGAGTGATTACTCTGGGAAAATCATAATACTTTAAGACAAGAGTCAAGGAGTGATGTGTATTCTCTCCCTCTCTCCCTCCCACCCCACAACCTGGGACCAAGAATAATTACAGCTAAACCAGTGGCTGAGTCTGTCTGAAGATCATCCTTGCACTTCCCAATCCTGTTCATAGAATGAGACCCTTCAATGCACTAGGCAGGCACATTTAAGTCAATGAAATAGGCATGCAAAGGATTCGTGAAAGAGACGGTTCCCTTCCTAATTCATCCCTTCCCTGTAAGGTCACTGCCACCATCCCCACCTCTTCCCCACCATCAAGGTGTATGGACCTGAAATAAATAAGAAATTGCAAAGACACAGAATCTGAGAGTTAGCTGTCTTACTCAGCAATGGTCAGATGGCTGGGTGCAGTGGCTCACACCTATAATCCCAACACTTTGGGAGGCCGAAATGGGAGGATCACTTGAGCCTAGGAGTTCAAGACCAACCTGGGAAAATGTCTCCACAAAAAAATACAAAAATTAGCTAGGTGTGGTGGTGCATGCCTGTGGTTAAAGCTATTTGGGAGGCTGAGGCTGGAGGATCGCCCGAGCCCAGGAAGTCAAGGTTGCAGTGAGCCATAATCAAGCCACTGCACTCCAGCCTAGGTGACACAATGAGACCCTGTCTCCAAAAACAAAAACAAAAACAAAACACATACACAGTGGTCAGAGAAATTCTCCTCTAAAGGGTAACAAAGTTGAAGTGGAAATATTTATTCTGTCAGAAGAGAAAGAGCAAAGCCTCATGAGAAACAGAATATGTAAGGAACGGTTAGGATGACTACAGTGTTGCTAGTGTCAACTGTCAAGCAGCCCTAGAGGCCACAGAGGTGCCTGTGCAGGCTTTACTTCATTGAATACCCCCAGCAGCCAACAGGCGGGGTGCAGATCAGCTCCTGGTGCCAAGTACTTTTGTCAATGACGAGATTATTTCTATTGAGCTGTTACTTTTCCAGAGCCTGACATTTGGGGTGGGATCACTCCTTAGGGCAAATAGCAAAGGAGATTCACTAACATCTTCCTGTAAATAACACCAGGAAAGAATGATTTGTGGATGAGAGAAAAGAAGACAAACTCAACATGTGGAGATTCTGTTTGAAAAATGTCTAGAATGAACACATAAAAATTAATGCAATCACTGAAGAAAAACTGCCTCTGATGGAAGTATAAACAGTTCTAAATAAAAAAAAAAGAAGTTAACAATATGGGAGAAATGAAAGAAAAACAATCCATCTGAAACATTCACTTTACTTTTAAAATATGGCAACCCTGTGTAATAAATTAATAGTAAGTAGGTAATAAGATGCAGGAAAAAGCCTGAAAAGAACTTTAAGTTATGAACAGTGTGTGATGTGTGCCCATGCCATCCTTCATTCTATTCAGAGGAGCTGCACACTTTATGTAATTTGGCGAGAAAACTAAGTTGCATAATTCTGCACTTAAGTAAATTTCTCCATTAGCATGAAAAATGGTATTTAGGGTTTTTCCCCCCAATATAATTAGAAATTGAATGTTTCCAAAACAATATTCCTAAGGATAGAAAGAAGCACACGCATGCACACTCTCTATCTCTCTTTCTTTCTTCCCTGCTTCCAAGACATACAGAGAAATATATAGATTACATCATCTACTTGAAAAAGCAGCTAATATTCAGCACACTCCTTCCAGCTCTTTCTCTATGGCCCAGTTGGTATAAAAGTCTGGGTGCCAAGAAGAAGTTGGATTTTGACCACTTCTTTTATCATTTGTTCCCTCAGTGTTTTTATTTGTTTGTTTACAATCTAGGAGGTTTCTATATAATTGAAAATATATAACAGAAAAAAATGGCTTGCCAGATGATTACGCAGACACACGTGCAAAGCTAATAAAATCTGCAAATCTGTACATTAAATTGATAATTTAGCTACCTCTTGGAAAAGGGGATTAGGTATAACATGCCCATTATATACACTTATTTTATATTCTGATTTTTAAACACAAGTGAAATTTTCATTTAACTTTAAAAAGAGAGATCTACTCTTTCTTTGGTGTATTTCTTGCCTTATAGCTCCTTCCTACAACAGTCCATTTCTCCAAAGCCTTTCCTGAAATTTCTCATTCTCATGTGGGAATAAGGCTGGGGCTGGAGAATCTAACTGAAGGTCACATACAACTAGAGGCCATTTTCCCTCTACAATTACAGAATCAAGATGCTGATTTTTCACCTGCCTCCCAGTTTCTGGCATAAACTGCAGCTAGAGACACAACGGCCCAAGAAATGCCAAGTTATTATTACTCTAAACTATGGTCATGCCAAGAGCATTGAACTTCATCCTTTGATTCCATGGCTTCCTGAAAAGGATAATTAACCCCAGGCTCTTCCACTGAGAGCCCTGACATTTGGTGTGTGTAGTTAAGTGATTTCTTCTTTTAACATTTTCCTTGCTAATGGTGCCAGTTTTAAAAATGCATGTGCAATAAAACTCTTTGTTTTGAAATTTGGGAACACCCAAGGAATGTGGAGATCAAACACACTGAGGTTTGAGTGCCTGGAGACCTCTTTGAGCAGTAGGATGACCAAGGGCCCACCAGGCTGCCCGCAGAGGACAGGGTAACAGAAGGAGCAATGGTATCGGTCACAGGACTGAGTGAATTCTAAACCAGACTAGCATTTACAGACATTCAGACTTTAGATCACTCCTGTCTGGGCCCTTGTGTCCTCATCTTTAGGTAAACTATTTACCATTGAGGTAATTCTCCAGGATTCTTATCTGGCTTCTATTGTCAAAGAGTTCTTCCTTACGTTCAGCAATAACACGTTACATACATGTTCCATACATACTGGCCCATAAGACTTAGCTTCTTTTTTAAGCACCTGAGTTGAAAATGAACATTACTATCTATTTCAGAACATGTATTGTCCAAAACCAAGCCTGTTTTTGGACAATAAAAAAACACCCTCTAGTTTCCAAGCACAGCCTAAAGGCCCCACTGGTGCCCAAGTCAAAGCCTTGGGCTAAGAAGGGACTATCTTGAATTGCTTGAAAGTTATTGAGTCATCAAGACCCATTAATTCCACCCCAAAAGCCATTTACCCCTCTCCATCTTCATCAGTACCATGGAGGACCAAGCCTCCATTTCCTTTCACCTGTGGGGGTCTCTGAACCAGTGTCCCTTCCCTCTCTCTTATTTTCTTTCAATCCAGTTTCTACATAATGGTCAGAGGGACCTTTCTAAAAACACAGATGCGATCATAGCATTTTCCTGTTGAAAATCCTTTAAAAATTCCTAAGTGGAAAAAACACACGCTACTTTCCCTCTGCTCCCATGCCGCAACCATGAACACAGAAGACATCTGTAACAAATGTGCGAGAGTCTATCCCCACCACCAAGCAAGCAATGAATTCTGCAGTGGACACAGCTGGTGTCCTCTAATTCAGTCCAAACCCAACATTATCTACCTGGAGAGAGTCAGATCCTATTGGGTGAGGGCTCAGTCCCCAGGACTGCCCCCCATTTCCAATGCCAATCATAAGCCCAGGTTGTTTTACCTGTGCCTCTGACCAACTGGCTATTAATTTGAGTTCCCAAAACTCCCTCCTCGGGTTTGATTAACTTGCTAGAGCTGCTCACAGAACTCAGGGAAACACATTTACCTATTTGATATAAAGGGTATTTATTACAAAAGATACAGGAATGGGGAGGAAGGTATGCGGAGCTTCCATGCCCGGTCCAGGAATGCCACCTTCCAGGAAGTGCCACGTGTTCAGCTGTCTGGAATTGCTGGGTTCTCTCAGAACCCAGTCCTTTTGTGATTTTATATAGGCTTTGTTATGTAGCATTGGCCATTGGTGATCAAGTTAACTTCAACCCTCTCCCCTCCCTATGGGGGAGGCTGAAAGTCTCAACCCTCTAATTCTGCCTTGCTCTTTCAGATGGCCACCCCTCATCCTGAAACTACCTAAGGGTTTCCAGGCTTCAGTCAACTCATTAGCATGCAAAAAGACATCACTTTTTGGAGATTCTAAGGATTCTAGGACATGTATGCCAGGAAAAAGGATCAAAGACCAAGTATACACTTCATAATATCACAGCTCCCCATTTCCCTAAGATAATTTCTAGAGGTCATGGCCTGACACTCAAGGTTCTTCAAGAGCCACCCCTTCCTACCCTTTTAGGCAATGTCCAGTCATTCTATCCCTTGGTCACTGAATTCCAGCCACCCTAGACTTTCCACAGTTCCTTTGGGTCAAACTCCCTCCTATCTCAGGGAGCTCCCTCTGGCTTTATTTTCACCTACTACACCCTCCTCCTCTTCACCTGCCAACTCCTACTCATCATTCAGGTCACAGCTTAGATGGTACTTCCTCAGAGAAGTATTCCTGACCCTGTGATGAAAGCTGATCTCTTCATAGCATGATCCCAGGGCACCTCACATGCATTTCCCCTTGATTTTACATGCACCCACATGATTATCTGCTTCATGTCTCTTCTCAACTACACTAAAAACTTTCATACCTTTGTCTAATTCCACTAGTCTGTCCAGTTCATTGTTATATTTCTAGTACCTAGCATAGTGGCCTACTCGATATGTGTTGGATAAACATGTGATTACTAATGCAAACCAAAGTTCTACCACTAGACACGTATTTGAACTTATTTTGAGATAGAAACTTTCATTATCTACTCATGTGCTTAAAAAAAGAAACTAAGTTTTATGGCCCAGTATGCATGGGACAGGTATGTGATGCATTGTTGCTGAATGTAAGGATGAATAAATCCTGAGTTAAAGGTGTTTTGGAAGCTACAGGCTTTAAGAGCAATTTGTTAAAAGTTAAGAAATACCCATATACTGAAAAATTGTTCACCATCTTTATATTCCAGGCTGAGAAACCCACAGATGCCTTCCAAAGTGGGAACACCATGACAAAAGCCCAGGTAGAAAATCTGGGCATGCAATGCACACAGCAGACAAAGGCTGGGGTGCAAACCAGTGCAGGGCATTTAACACACCCTGTGTGGACTTCTAGGGTTTAGGAGAGGTCACATTCTAACACTTACTGCAATGGAGAGGCACTAGAATATTACATTAAAACATATCAGAGGAGGAAAAGTTGATAAAAGAAGAAGGCCCCTGACCCAAACAGGTGAGCTTTAAAATCCAGGGCTGCATTTCAGCTACCAGACCCTGCTGACCCAGCTGTGCATACCTGGCCTGAAACCAGTGAAAAGACCCATCACTTTACCCCAGGAAGCAAGCCACGAGGGGTGAAAGAAATAAAAACTCAAAAATCATGGACTCTCAATTCTAGGAGAAGGGCTGTGATATGGTTTGGTTCCACATCCCCGCCCAAATCTCCTGTCAAATTGTAATTTACAATGTTGGGGGAGGGACCTGGCGAGAGATGATTGGATCATGGGGGCAGATTCCCTTCTTGCTGTTCTCATGACAGTGAGTGAGTTCTCATAAGATCTGGTTGTTTAAAAGTGTGTAGTACTTCCCACTTGGTTCTCTCTCACTCTCTCTCTCCCTCTCTCTCTCTCTCTCTCTCCCTCTCCCCCCTGCTCTGCCATGCTAAGGCATGCTTGCTTCCCCTTCACCTTCTGCCATGTTTGTAAGTTTCCTGAAGCCTCCCAGCCATGCTTCCTGTACAGCCTGTGGAAGTGTTGAGTCCATTAAACTTACTCTTTTCTTCATAAATTACCCAGGCTCAGGTAGTTCTTTATAGCAATTGAGAACAGACTAATACCGGCAGCTTTTACTTGGCTAAAGTAGGTGTGCTTAGGGTCTCCATAAGATAAGTTATTCAACTAACAAAAATGTGTTTTTGTTATTGTGCCAATGACGGTGCTGAGCATCTACTATGCACCAGTCACTGTGCAATTAAGGAATTTATACAAATAAATAAAAACTGACGTCTATACATGTAAAACAGAAACTGTGATATGTACTTCAAACACAAAATACGTGGGCAATGAAAAGGTAAAATAGGGAGCTTTGACCTAGCCAGAAAATACAGGGATAGATTCCCTGAGAAAGTGATGCTTGAGAGGACACAGGAAAGATAAATAAGAGAAAATTAGGTAAGAAGGAGAGGGAAGAGCAGTTCAGGTTGAAGGAACAGCAAGTGCACAGGCCCCACAGCAGAAGGGAGCTGAGAGAATCAGAGGAGCTGAATGAAAGCCACCAATTCCAGAGTGGAGAAAGACTTCTCCTTTCACCTAGGGAAGTCAGGTCAAAGGGGACCAGAGGGGCTACAGGGCCAGACCAGGAGACCCTTGCAGGCCACATTAGGTTTTGTCTTCATCCTAAGAAGAATAAAAAGAAATAAGAGGATTTTAAGAAGGTGAGTACTGTGATCTGATTTGAACTGTGGAAAGATCACTCTGACTGTAGGGTGAAGTTTAAAGACTTCCATTTCTGACAGTATGGTGAACAAAATATCCTGGAAAACCTGTCAGTGAAAACAACTATCAAAGCTGGATTTTAAATATAAGTCACTAAACTGTCAAGAAAGTAAGGAATACACCGAGGACAAACACAAAGCAAAGCAGGTCTCTGGGTACGTCAGAGCAATGCAGCCAGCTTTGCCCCAAAGGCGTCTGCAAGCCCTCGTGTCCTTAAAGTTCTATTTTGATGGCTGCCTGGGGAATAGAAGAAATGAGATCAATCCTAGGGCCTGCATATTGGAGACCCTCATATAAAGCTGGTTTCCCAGTTTGTTGCATCTTCTTCAAAATAGAGGAAAAGAAATAAACCTATTGCACAAAAGGAAACAGGAAGGAAATGCCCTGGTCTTCGATGCTGTATGTAGAAGAAAAACGCAAACATATCTCCAGTGAGAATTCTTAACCACAAGTCAGTCCTGACCTGTGTTTTGTTTTTGTTTTCCAATTCATGTTCCTTGCTTGTATCCATAAACAGAAATTTTAACTAATGAGGTATCTGGTTGGTATTGCCCCAGGTGAATGAAAGAAGGAAACTCTGATTTTCTTTGGAGGAAAATAAAAAACTTTAATTAAAATATATACCAACTGATGAAGTTCCAAGGACAATTAGCTTTAGGAAATAATAAAAACAACAAAATGCATAAAGAAGCAGGGTCACCCAAAACAGAGAGACAGAATGAGAACCCACAAAGATTCCCACTACTGGAATTATGCAACAAAGTGTACAAACCCAGCACACTCACTATGCTTCAAAACATTAAAAAGATGCTTGAAAATATGATCAAGAAACAAAATATTATAAAAACAAAAAATTAGATTTGAAAAAGAACAAAATGGAGTTTTTGAAAATAATATTGTAATTGAAAGAAAAACCTCAGTCAGTTAAAGAACATATTAGACAAAGCTAAAGAGAGAACTTGGTAAGCTGGAAAATGGGTTTAAAGAAATTAGGCAGAATGAACCGAGAAAACAAAAAAGATAGAAAATATGAAAGAGAATTTATGAGAACTAGAGAATATAATGAGGTCTAACATATGCTGATTGATATTTCAGAGAGATAATAAAATATATGGAGAAATGTGAATATTTAAAAAAGCAAGAATAATAGTTTTTTTGGAATTGGTATTAAATATTCAAAACTTCAAATCCAGGAAAACTAACTTTTAGCAACATCAACAAAATCATTCCTAAGTACATCATGGTGAAACTGCAGAACATCAAAGAGAAAGAGATGATCTTACAAGCCACCAGAGAGATAAAACCAGAATGCCTATAAAGAAACAATAGTAAGACTAACAGTTAACATTAACAGTAGATGACAGTAAACAAAAAATGAGCTATAAGTCTATATCTAGAAAAACTTCCTTTCGAGTTTCAGAATAAAATCAGATAATTTAATTTCAGGGATTTTACCAACAGAATTTCTTAAAGTTAAGTCTACAAGATTAACTTCAGAAAGAAAGTAAGCAAATATGAAATGTCTAAGATAAGAGAAAGAGTGATGAGCTTTTTTTTAATTGTGGTTAAAAACATATAACATAAAATTTACCATCTTAATCATTTTTAAGTATACAGTAGAATAGTGTTGAACTTTTATTGGTAAAAACATAAATACTAACTGTTTAAAACAATAATAATATCTAGTATGTGGAGTTATTTTTAGAAAGTAAAACTAAAATGCTGCATAATTCTAGCATGATATTTAAGAAGGAGGTGACAGAGCCTTCTGAAATCTTATTACTCAGGGAAATGTTAAAAATGTAACTTTAGACTTTACTAAGTTAAATATGTATGATAAAATATGCAGGTAGCCACTAATATAATTAAACACAGAATGTAACTTTCAAACTAATAAAGGGGAAAAAAGGGAATGAGGAAATTGAAAACAATCCCAAAAAAAGAAAGGGAGAAAAAGGACAGAAAAATCAGGGGGTGGTGTGGAGGATGCACAGCTAAAATGGTAGAAATGAATTCAAAACATCAGTCATCACAATTAAACCTCTTATCTCTTCATAACAGACATAATTATTGACTTCCTTAAACTGATGAAAAGCATCTACAATAAATATCCAAAGCACAATATGTATTACCATTTCTATTCAACACTGACCTAGACTCCTAGCCCGTACAGTAAGACAGGGAGAAAAAGAATTAAGATTAGAAAGGGAGGTACAAAATGTTCTATATTTATAGATGCTATAATTGTCTATTTAGGAAATCCAAAAACCTTTATAGAGAATAGACTGTAGGAAGGCAAGAATGGATATAGCAAGACCACTGGAGAAAGCAAATACAGTATTCCACATGTGAGAGGGTGAGAACATGGAGTAGGAGGTTAGCAGTAAAGATGGAAAGATATAGATAAATTGAGATACGTTTCAGGGAGAAAGGTTTGAGACTTGACTGTGGACCATATGTGGAGTAACAGAATGAGGTGTCAAGAATGAGTCCCTCTTTTCTGTCTCACGCTGCATACTGGTTTGTGGGTCAGTGAGATAGAGCACATCATGAATTTGATTCCCGATGTGCTAACTTTGAGTTGCCTTTGATATACTAGAAAAGAAGATATCAAGTGATTGGATATATGGATCTGGAACTTGGTGAAGAGGTGAGGCTGGATTTCTGTGTTACCTGCATAGAAATGATAACTGAAGCAACGGGCGTGGATGCATTCAGCTAGGGAGTGGGAAGCGAGTGAAAGGAGGACACCAAAAAGCATTTAGGACCTCCAGAGAGAAAATAACGGTATGAGGAATACAAAAAGAGTTCTGTGTTAGTGAGCCAAGGGAAGAAAAGTGATTCCAGGAAGAGACAGAGGTCAGCAGAATAAAATGCTGTGGCTCATGCTATTTAGGGTATTCTTAATTATTAGCATGATAGTATTATCACCTGTGGCTTATTCACAAAATATGGTTATTGTTTTTTGTTTTGTTTTAAGATGGGGTCTCACTCTGTCACCCAGGCTGGAGTGCAGTGGTGCAATCTCGGCTCACTGCAACTTCTGCCTCCCGGGTTGAAGTGATTCTCCTGCCTCAGCTTCCCGAGTAGCTGGGACTTCAGGCTGTGCCACCATGCCAGACTAATTTTTGTAGTTTTAGTAGAGATGGGGTTTCACCATGTTGCCCAGGCTAGTCTCAAACTCCTGAGCTCAGGTGATCCTCCCACCTCAGCCTCCCAAAGTGCAAGATTACAGGCATGAGCCACCACACCAGGCCCCAAATATAGGCAAGCTCTTCATTTTATCACTCCTATGGCACTCAAGACATGCAAGTTTGCCCTTCCCCAAAGAATGTCCATCTGATAGGAACTCAGGAAAAAAATAATTAATACCCTTTAGCCCAGCAAATTATACTTTGGAAGAACCTTATTCTGAGGAAAATACACTTGTGTACAAGAATGTACCTGGGCACAATGACTGCTAATAATCACATCAAATGGCTTTTATAGCATCTGTTACTTTGAGGAATAAGGGTCTGTATTAGTCCGTTTTCGTGTTGCTGATAAAGACATAGCCGAGACTAGGCCATTTACAAAAGAAAGAGGTTTAATGGACTTACATTCCATGTGTCTGGGGAAGCCTCACAATCACGGGGAAAGGCAAGGAGAAGCAACTCACGTTTTACACGGATGGCAGCAGGCAAAGAGGGAGCTTGTGCAGGAAAACTACAGTTTTTAAAACCATCAGATCTCATGAGACTCATTCACTATCATGAGAACAGCACAGAAAAGACCCACCCCTGTAATTCAATCACCTCCCATAGGGCTCCTCCCAGGACACATGGGAATTGTGGGAGTTACAATTCAAGATGAGATTTGGGTGTGGACACAGCCAAACCATATCAGGGTCTTTAGACCGATACATTAACACAGCATTGAGAAGTGGCAAGGCTGGGTGTGGTGGCTCACACCTGTACTCTCAGCATTTTGGGAGACTGAGGTGGGAGGATCACTTGAGGCCAGAAGTTCAAGACCAGCCTCAGCAACACAGTGAGACTGCATCTCCACAAAAAAATTTAAAAATTAGCTGGGCATTAGTCCTAGCTACTTGGGAGGCCAAAACAGGAGGATCACTTGAGCCCAGGAGTTCAAGGCTACAGTGAGCTGTGATCATGCCACTGTACTTCAGCCTGTGCAACAGAGCAAGACCTTGTCTCTAAAAAAAAGAGAGAGAGAGAGAGTGGTAGCTATAATCATATACCTAAAATTAAAAAATAAACTTGTTCAAAACTGTAACCAAAAATTCATGGTGGCTGAAACATAAATGGCTCTTAAAAATAGTAAGTGTGGTGACTGTAGAACAAAAATGCTTAAGGGAGTTGAGCGATTGCTAGAACTCTAGGGATTGTTCACTGATTTGAGGAAACACAGGATGTCCATCCTCCATCTAGCATGATTAAAGAATGGACAGTTTATGTCCTATATATCTTAAGTGAGGTAACTAAAGAGACTTGTAGAGGTTACGACACACGTGTGGTCCATGACACAAACCCTTCTTGTCACCCAAGTATTATACGTGCTACCTGCCATACAAGCGTTTTTAGTTAAATCCCCTCTGAGCAGTTTGCAATGTGCCTAGAATAATCCCTGCATGGTAGCCTCTGACTCGCTGTCCAAATTCATCTTTCTCCTGTTCTCCCCTATGCTCACCTTACATCCCCCAGCACCAGTCTTCTCTAACTTTCTGAAAAGCTTCACCCTGTGAGAGCACTTGCTCATAGCTTTCCTCCCTGCACCTCCTTCTCCCATCCAGCCATCGCATGGCTGATTCATTTGCATCTATCACATCTCAGTTTACAGGGCCAGGAGCAGTGGCTCATGCCTGTAATCCCAGCACTTTGGGAGGCTGAGGCAGGCAGATAAGCTGAGGTCAGGAGTTCAAGACCAGCCTGGTCAACATGGCAAAACCCCATCTCTACTAAAAATACAAAAATTAGCTGGGTGTGGTGGTGCATGCCTGTAGTCCCAGCTACTCGGGAGGCTGAGGCAGGAGAATCACTTGAACCCAGGAGGCAGAGGCTGCAGTGAGTCGAGATTGTGCCATTGCACTCCAGCCTGGGCAACAGAGTGAGACTCCACCTCCAAAATATAAATATAAATAAATAAATATCACATTTTCAGAACCCTCACAATAACATTCTGAGGTAATCCCCACTTTAGACCAGGAAACTAAGACCCAGAGGTGAAGTGACTTTGCCCAAGGTCACAGTTACTGGGATTCAAACCCAGGCAGTGTGGCTCCAGAGCCTCACCACTGTGCTATACCCTGCACTCTGCTACCCCCCACCCTCACTACCCCTGTCTCAGCCACACACTTGCTTATTCCTTCACTGACATTTATTACCATTTGAAACAACTTGGTTTATTCATTTCTCTATGTTTTTCCATCTCCCCCAGTATAATATAAGGGCAGCATGAAGAAGACACTCCATCTGTCTTTTTCACTAGAGTCTCCTAGCATAGAACTTGGCCAAATAGTAAGACTCAAAAGTGACTATTGAATACACAAATGAATGAATGAAATCAATGTGTCTCTGTAGCAGGCTATATGTCTCTCCTGTATGTGGGAGAGTAGATCTGCCAGGTAGAGGGGCCAGTTTAGAGACTTGAAGGACAGTGACCATATGTGCCACATGATGAAGTCCTTTTCAATCTTCCTTCCACCCCAAAGACACAATAAATAACAAGCCCAATGAGTGAGCAATATATTATTTTCTACTAAGGAAACAAATTCTCCTTCGGGGTGATGCCTGCCTCAAGTACATTTGACGAAGATCACAAAGTACGTCTAGTCATACCAATTGCACTTAGCATCCCTGACAATTGCGTTAGCATGGCAAATTTCACCCTTCTGGCAAACTAGACCCTTCTTATCCGGTATGTTCATATTTCGTTACAGGGGATTTGCAAATGCAGTTTCTAAATCTACACGTTTATTCAGTAAATTGCTCTCCCACCCAAGTCATTCTCTGAGCAACTGTCAGCCTCAGCATTTGACAGAAATAGCCATCTTTGCTCTCAGGCAAGGGTTCAACCAGCAATCTAGCTCCCAGATTTCCAATAATGAGTTAACAATCAGAGGAAATAGTTTACCATTTCAACCTAAAAGAATGAATATCTGTGTCCTCCACAGCCTTACCCTTAATTGTCTACAGCACAGGATAGCCTCATTCCACACCATTTAAAGGGAGGTGGAAGCAGACAAGACCAGTGTCTTACGCTTTGCTATGAGTGAAGTATGAAATTTTCCCCAGATTCTGAAGGATGGATGGGGGAAGTCAGTCTAGGATTACACCCTGGAAAAAGGCAATCCAAATGTAGGTAATTCACAAACAGATAAGAGGAAATCAAATGCACTTCAAACTTTGACCCCTTGCTCTGATGGCCTTTGGACCAGATATTAGGAAAGATGCTAAGCTCTGGGAAAGGGTTGGCTAACTTAACAATGACCTTCTATTGCAAAATATCATGCCTCTAATCAGTTTCCAGTCCCATGATCTCCCTGTAGCACCTGACACTGCCGACACTCCCTCCTTGAAACACTGTCCTTCCTGGTTCCTGGAATGACAATCCTTTCTGCCTGTTATCCTATGTCCCTAATCCAGCTTTCAGTGGGACCCTTTTTTCACCCATCCCTTCAATGGGCTGACTCCCTGGGTTTCATTCTGAGTTTTATAGTATTACTCACCTTGTGCTATAGCTTCAAATATCTCTTTGGATCAATTTCAACCAAAACTGTGTCTCCATTCTCCTGAACTCCTAATCTGTATCTAACTGCCTGCTATACATTTTCATCCGGTTCTGCCAATAAACACCTCAAACATTTTATGTCCCAAACCCAATACACTATAAAAACCCACTACTCCCCTGTATTTCTCATGCTGGTTTGCAATGCCAGGTCAAATGGACCAGAAAGTCCAGAGTCAGATCATCTGGCTTGGCCCTCTCCTTGAATTCCATTCCTACATTCAATTAGTTCTGGCCATCTCCTCATCTGTAAACCTTTATCTTCTTCCTCTCCTCTTCCCCAGTACCACCGTCACTACCTTAGTTCAAGAGCTCTTGCCTGGATTATTGTGATAGCTTCACCATTGATCACCCGTCTCCATCTCTTGCTTTCTATCTCATCTTCCACGAACTAACCTTTCTTCCCCAGTACTCTATCCAAAAGATGAATCTAATCATGTTAATCCCCTGCTTTAGAACTTCAGTGGCTCCCCACCGCCAAAAGCAGAAGTTTCCAAACTGCTCCTTGGAGAAAAAAATTTTTTTTTTCATTTTAAGCACAAAACTCAATAGATGCTTATTTATTTATAAATGATATCCATCTGCTAGTCTAAATTAAGTGTTTATAAGTTTAATGTCTTCATGTGAGATAAAATAATTTTAATAGTTTTATCTGATCCCAATAGCTTAGTGTGTACACCTACTGGGGCACTCACTGTGTGCTCTCTAAGAGTAAAAGGTAGGATCTACATCAAAATCCCCCTGGATACAGGATGACGTCAAGCTGCTGGGTCTGACATTCAAGGTGTTTCACAATTCAGCTTCAAGCCACCTCTCCAGATGCATCAGGCCCCCCTCCACCACCACGGCTTCATTCACTAGCTACTCTTCTCCACAAACATGACATTCGTGTGTGGGTACAGCACAACAGCAAGAACCTCAGCTTGAGTGTCAGATCCCTCCCCGCCGACATCTAGAGTGTGACCTGGAGTCACTTTCTGTACCTTTCTGAGCCTCATTTTCTCTTTTATATAATGAACATCATAATACCTATGCTTTGCAGCGTTGTTGTATTAAGTGAGGTGGAGTAAAAAGCAATGCAGGGCCAAGCACAGAGGAGAGGCTTCATAAATGATACTGAAGAGAAGCAGGAGTCATTGGAAGTTCTATTTCACAGATTGTATTTAGAATTAGAGAGTCTCTTTCGTCCCATGGACTGGCTCCTTTTCTTTTCTTTCTTTCTTTTTTCTTTTTTTTTTTTTTGAGACAGGGTCGCACTCTATCACTCAGACTGGAGTGCAGTGGCACGATCTCAGCTCACTGCAACCTCCACCCCCCAGTTCAAGCAATTCTTTCACCTCAGCCTCTCCAGTAGCCACCGCACCTGGCTAGCCTGGCTTCTTAAATACATTTCAATGTCTAGTTTGAAACATCACCTCCTCTGAGAAGAATTACTGATCCTCCCAAGGTAAGGTTTGTCATTCAAATCTGTCTGCTCCCACAAGAACAATTTCCAGGCCTCCACTGTGATATTGCATCACTGATCATTGCTTATCCCAGGCAACTGTGATTTGATTGCTGGGATGCATGTTTATCTTGTCCACTACATTGCCAATACTTGAGGAAGGCTGACTTACTAATTTCAGGGTCCCCATGACTTAACAAAGTGCCTAGCACATAATAGGTGCCCAATAAATATTTACTAATATTTCCATAGGCAAAGGGAACAGAGAACTATTTAAAAGTTCATGCATAAGACTTCATGACTAAAACACCAAAAGCAATGGCAAAAAAAGCCAAAATAGACAAATGGGATCTAATTAAACTAAAGAGCTTCTGCACAGCAAAAGAAACTACCATCAGAGTGAACAGGCAACCTACAGAACGGGAGAAAATTTTTACAATCTTCCTATCTGACAAAGGGCTAATATGCAGAATCTACAAAGAACTTAAACAAATTTACAAGAAAAAATCAAACAACCCCATCAAAAAGTGGGCAAAGTATATAAACAGACACTTCTCAAAAGAAGACATTTATGCAGCCAACAAACATGAAAAAAATGCTCATTATCACTGGTCATTAGGGAAATGCAAATCAAAACCACAATGAGATACCATCTCACACCAGTTAGAATGGCGATCATTAAAAAGTCAGGAAACAACAGATGCTGGAGAGGATGTGGAGAAATAGGAACACTTTTACACTCTTGGTGGGAGTGTAAATTAGTTCAATCATTGTGGAAGACAGTGTGGCGATTCCTCAAGGATCTAGAACCAGAAACACCATTTGACCCAGGGATCCCATTACTGGGTATGTACCCAAAGGATTATAAATCATGCTGCTATAAAGACACATGCACATGTATTTTTTATTGCAGCACTATTCACAATAGCAAAGACTTGGAACCAACCCAAATGTCCATCAATGATAGACTGGATTTAAAAATGTGGCACATATACACCATGGAATACTATGCAGCCATAAAAAAGGATGAGTTCATGTCCTTTGCAGGGACATGAATGAAGCTGGAAACCATCATTCTAAGCAAACTATCGCAAGGAGAGAAAACCAAACACCGCATGTTCTCACTCATAGGTGAGAGGTGAACAATGAGAACACATGGACACATGGTGGGGAACATCACACACCGGGGCCTGTCGGGGGTTGGGGGCTGGGGGAGGAATAGCATTAGGAGAAATACCTAATGTAAATGATGAGCTGATGGGTGCAGCAAACCAACATGGCACATGTATACCTATGTAACAAATGTGCACTTTGTGCACATGTACCCTAGAACTTAAGATATAATTTTAAAAAAGAAAAATAATAAATAAATAAATAAATAAAAAGAAAAAACAGCTCATGCATATGCACAATTTCATGTTATAATCAGGCAACTTACTTAACAGTTGACAAACCACTTTCACATATGTTCATGAGAAAGGCTGTTTAGCTTTCCCTGAGTACTGCAGCAATTCATAAAATAAATAATAAAGAGAAGTCACTGTTTGATGATATCCTTTCGGTGACAGTTTTCTCTTTCATCCTGATCTGACGCCAAGTTAATGCTATCATAAAATAGTTCCATTAACTGCAATTGTTCAGTTTACTAAGCCATTACTGTCTTCAAAAAGTGAAATTATATTCAAAACCAAAAACAGAGGCTTACACAGAAATAAATGGCATTAATATGCAAACAAATTACACGCAGAAGAAACAGGAATCTCAATGTCACAGGCATTTCAGCTCATGCTCGGCATAAACAGATGATTACATTTTAATATTTATTCATACATGAACAATAAAAACAAATCACACTGGCAAGCACCTCTGAGTTAAATTCATATTTGTTTCAAAAGGCAGAGGCTTATGTGCTCCCTCCGACTGCAAGCTACACTGACTTGCCCTGAGCTTTATTCAGACAATCTTGCTGCCTAACATATTCATGACCTAGAGGGTAAACTACTATGCAATATTTACATAGGAAGAAACTGAGCTGGTGGGAGGGGATAAGGTGGAGGTTGATTGGTAGGGTGGCACGGAATAAATAAATAGGCAAATAAGAAAAAAAAAAAAAAGACAAAAGAAAGTACCAGAAAGCCGGTGTCTGGGGTCTGGTCATTGATGCTGAAGGCAATTAGAGAAAGGGCAATCACGTCTGGCCCTGGGTGAGGTAAGCTAGACTGGAGGCGTCGCTGAGCTGCGAACCATGCTCCTGAGATGCCCTTGTTAATGTGGTGGCAGCTCCAGTGCAGGCCAGTGGAACTGTGCACACCAGGGCAGGCTTTCTCGGCTCTCGGGGGTAGGGAGCAGGATGAAGCTTCCAGGTGCTGAAGCTCCCATCAGGACACAGAGTGCAATTTTTCTCTCCCCAACCAGTGACTTGTTCCCAAGGAGTGTGAGCTCACCTGGCCTGCCCTGTGTCAACTTTTCTTTATTCATTCCCTGGGGATGAAGACAAAGTCACATTTGCCTGAATAGCTTCACTATAACAGCAAGGATGCCTTTCCTGACCACTCCTGCTCCAGCTCATCTTGTTGTTGTTGTTTGCAGAATTCCTACTGCACTTAGGGATGTTACCATGCTTCCTAGCACTGAAACCCAAGGAGCCATGTGCCTCTCAGCAGCCCCTAATGTCACTCAGTACGTCAGCCCCTCCAGTCAGAGTCGCCCTCCCTCAGGACAGCCCCTCAACATGGCCAGCCAGACTTCACATTTGCATGGCCCAGAAAAATGATCAGGTTCTCACATTTGCTTCATCAGATGAGGCAGAGTGCAAAGCCTCACTCTGCTATATTTCTTAGCTGTGTGATCATTGAGCTTGACTCTAAGCCTCAGTCTCCTTCTTTGTGAAAGGGGGCTAGAAATGGTGTCCAATTTCATACTTAATGAGTGCTTACTACATTCTAGTTGCTTTAGTGTACCACAGAGTACAAAACAGTCAAAGGTTCCTGTACTGATGGATCTGACATTCCAGCAAGGAAGGGACAGTCAACAAAAGCATGATTACTATATAGTATGCCATGTTTAGTTCTATGGGGAGAAAAAGACATCAAAAGGAAGAGAGAAATCAGCAGTGCTCGGGACAGGGGTTGCAATTTTAAATAGGGTAGTGAAAGAGAGGTTTGAGCAAAGATATAAAAATGGTGAGGGAGTTAACAAATGGATCTGGGGAAGGGTGCAAAGGTCTTCAAGGAAGGAAGGAGCTTGAGCCACAGCAAGTCCAGTGTGGTTGGCACAAAGTGAGTGAGGAGTAGCAGGAGATAAAGTCAGAAAATGGGGTCCTCCGTAGAATTTTTGTGAAGACTGCTGAAGATGATAAGTGAATAACCATGTATACTGGCTATGTGACCAGCACTGTGCTAAGTAAGTACCTTACATCCATTGGGCTCACTTAGTCTGTACACCAACCCTGTATGGTAGGTACTATTATGACCGTGTTACATATGAGGAAATTGAGCTTTAGGCAGATTAAATAATTTGTCCAAGGTTGTAAATGCTAGTAAATGTAATGGCAAGATTCCAACTCAGAATTCACACCCAAGCAGACTTGGCTTTGGAGACTGTGCCTTTCACCTCTGAGCTGGCAGTTTCTCATAAGCAAATGAGCTGGAGCTGGGGCTGGTGAAGGAGGAGTTTGTGGAAGCAGGAGATCAGGGTTAAATGGAGATGGGGAAGGAAGCAAGACCCAAATAAGCAGGTCTGTAATAAGAGCAGAAGGCAGGATGCAAAGAAAAGCAGGCATAGCAAGCAGGGGCCAGAGACCCGGGCACCACAGCTGCTCTGGCCAGAGGGGCCTGATCACACTCACAGAGGAAATAAGAGCAACACACAGAATCAGGACCACCCAGTGAGGGCTAGCAGTAGACCAGCGTGAATTCCTGGGGCCAGGAGAGTACCACATTGTGGTCCTCAAAAAGCACAGACACCTGGTAAAAGTTATCCCTGCCTCCAGAGAAATAAACTGTAAGAAATGTTTAGGATAGTATGAGTAGTAAGTCAAATTTTAAGCTTGAATCAAGACCCTGGAATTTCTTCTTAATAATTTAAATCTGAGTTTTTGAAAAAAGCACCCTTGCTGTTTCTCCTAAGTGAAAACATGATACCAGCTAACATTTATTAAATTTATGAAATAAGTACCAGATATTGCATGGAGCACTTTGTACCCATAATCTCATTTCATCATTGAAACACAATGAACTGGTTTATCCCCATTTATAGATGAGGATGCTGAGGCTCAGAGAGGCTGATTCAATCACTAACCCAGGTACTTATAGAGGCAGAGATACCACTATACCCATTGTCTGTCCTGCATGAACATCTCCTCATAACTCTTACTCCATGCTGCCCCTTGCACTCTAGCCTGGGGCAGCATGAGGATCTGTGAGGAGCAGAGACAAGTGGGAGCAACTCCTGTTGCAGCACAGTGTTCTGGTTCCTCTCCCTTTTAGAGAGTTATCCTAACTCTGCAGTCTGATTCTCTGTGCCTGCCAGTAGGACAGGGAGCTGCTTAGTGTCCATCACATGGAACAGGGAAGCATGGTCTGCTCCAAACTTTGTGTAATTCCACAAGCTCAGAAACCTTGGGCATCTGCACAGCTGGTTGTCTGAGCTTCAGGATTAAAGGCACTGCAAGGGGCTTTGTAAAGAAGCTGAATCGTAGAAGATTATCACTTCAACTCTTTCTGAATGTTCCTTACAATGCTCAATACCTCCCAGGAGCTCAGTCATTCTACAAAAGCCTAGTGGATATTGGACATATTTATGGCCACCAGCATCTTTCAGACACACTTCCTATAATTTAGGAATTACTCATAAGACTGCCTCCCTGTGGCAGAAGCTAGAACCTGCTCTGCCAGCTTCCTTTGCAGCTACAGCACTGGCATGTGCCTAATCAGAGACACTTGATCCAGACTTTGACTCAGGAGCTAGTGACACAAGAAGCGAGGGACAAGGAACTCACTCTCTTCTTTCTTTGGCTATAGATAAAAATGAATCCTTCTGAACAATATAGTAAAATAAAAATTCCACCCCTTCTCCACAACGACTCTTCTTTCCTTACCCAACTATACGTTGCATACTGACACAGGAAAATCCTTAGCCCTTGCAAGTGTTCCTGGGCAGGATGTGCAAAAAATAATGGCAAGGGAACAAATAATGGGAGCTAGATCCGCTGCAGTTATGCAAGCAGGGAAAGAGAATAAAGGATTCACAGGAAACAGACACACAATACCAGATACAATTAGCCCCAAACCAATAATTCAATTCTGATTTCCCAACAGCTGGGTTAGACATCTCAAAGCATTGAAACTTCTGTTTTCTAGTTTCCCACAGAAGATGCCCCCTCGTATGGAGAAATACCCCAATAGCTTCCCAATGCCCTAGAGACTCCACTGGAGAGCAGATCATTGCTAAAGATTCTAAAAAGAACAAGACACAAAACCTACCTTCTCCTAGCATGAGGTCCTAGACCGTCTTTGCAGGTCAGCCTACATTTCTGTTCATGAGGAAGGATTCAAGATTAGGCTTGGGTTGCTTTAGAGACCTCTCCTGACCAAATGTCAGTGATGTGCTGCTATTCTAGGGATACAGCAAGGAATAACAGATCACCCTGCTCCTGAATAAGCCAAAAGTCACTTAGCATTTACGTCACAGCAGCACTGAATTTACACCAGTTAAAGAGTTAGGGGTTCTGCAAGATTATATGCCTTGAGGCAGAGAAGAGCAAAACAAATGCACAAATGTATTTTGTCCCAGTAGATGGAAAACACAAAAACTAACAGACGTAAGACATGAGAGAGTTATACTGGCTGGGCGCAGTGGCTCACGCCTGTAATCCCAGCACTTTGGGAGGCCGAGGTGGGCAGATCACGAGATCAGGAGATCAAGACCATCCTGGCCAACATGGTGAAACCCCGTCTCTACTAAAAAATTAGCTGGGTGTGGTGATGCGTGCCTGTAATCCCAACTACTTGGGAGGCTGAGGCAGGAGAATCAGTTGAAGGTGGGAGGCGGAGATCGCAGTGAGCCATGATTGTGCCATTGCCCTCTAGCCGTGATTGCGCCATTGCTCTAGTGACAGAGCAAGACTCTGTCTCAAAATTAATAAATAAATAAGAGAGTTATCTTAACAGAAGCTCTGCAGTCTCATCTCCATGTGCCTTCCAGTAGGAAGGGGAGCCGCTCAGTGTCCATCTCATGGAACAGGGAAGCTCAGCCTGCTCCAAACTCTGTATAATTCCACAAGCTCAGAACCCTTGAGGATTAGCGCAGCTGGTTGTCTGAGCTTCAGGCACTGCAAGAGGCTTTGTAAAGAAGCTCAATCCTTGAAAATGGAAGGAAAAAATGGAAGGAAGGAAGGAAGAAAGGGAGGGAGGAAGGGATGGAAAAGGAAAGAAATATAGGAGAGAGGAGAAGCAATAAAATAAATACACCAAAAGGAAGAACTGAAAAGGTCTGAGAAGTAGAAAAGACATATTCTACTTATACATAAAACATTCTCACTTGGAAGATGGGATAAGATATCCTTGACTTTTAAGCTGTAACTGCAATGTCTGAATTCTTGAACTCCTCCAAGAAAATCACTCTTAGATTCACTGGAGTCTCATTGGTTTTCCCAAATCACTGAGAAGTATCTCTCAAACCTAGAATACCCGACTCAGACTTGACTAAATGACAAGCCAGAGGAATCTGAAACAGACACTTCACTTTCAGAATGACCTAAGTGCATTTGTTCTGTCGCATGGTTCAAGACACTCACATCTTTCTATTCATAACCTGAAATCTCAAAGAATGTGTTAAGAGAATCCCAAATGATTGCCTGTTTCAGATGCACTGTCAAATATAAAGCTTTAGCAGCCCATCCATTGTCATGATCACAATCACAATGATGGTCTTTTTTTTTTTTTTAAGAGTCAGAGTCTTGCTTTGTTGCCCAGGCTAATTCAAGTTTCTTTTGAGAACTCATCTCTAAAATAACAAGTCCACACCATAAGTGGCTGACCTGGCTATGACTCCAGTAATGCACACATGACCACAACTATACAAGACCCAAAACAGTTCTTGGCATAGGGTTTTGCTAGGACAACAAGGAACATAGAGTTGCTTCCACTGGTAGAATGTAAACTTGAGGATTCTAGCAGCCTCTGCGTCGGAAAACTTGCCTTATAAGACAATCAACAAAAAGAAAGCAGAGTCCAGATCTAGACAGACAGAGACTATCCCAATAACGCTGAGCATCTGGACTCAGCCATGCCTGAGGCCGACTACACCCTTGGTTTTTCAATGATGTGAAATAAAGTCTCATTTCTCCCTAAGTCAGTTTCAGTTGCGTGTTCTTTGTTTGCACTAAGAATCCAGACAATACTTTCCTTGAATGTTTTTCTTATTTTCCATCACACACAACCAACCTGATTACACACAAACAATCCTCTACCTAACTTTGCCCTATGGCCAAGATGAACATGAATTGTTCTTCTATAAATTGCATTTGAATACCTTCCTCTCCAAAGCCCTTCAAAAAGGCAGCTGGCCTCTGTGATACTGACCATCAAAATCTTCTAAGGTACTCTAATACATCAGCTCACTTTTTGGCTACTAGGATCTCAAGGACAGACAGGTCAACTGCAAATACCAGCTTATTGGCCATGTACAACCTACAAGAGCCAAGTAAATGTCAGACTCCCTGAGTTCTGCCCTTCCTGCTCCCAGGCCCTCTAACATTGGATATAGATTGCTGGAAAATGTTCACCATATTTCAAATCAAATGAAGAATGTTAGATGAAACACAGAAGAGCCTCAAATCACATTTACTGGTTAAACATAACTCTGCAACCTGTTAAGATTTCTTTTTTTTCCCAAATGAACTTAGAGGGTACAATTATTACATATTCATTACTCTCTAGGTTGGATTCTTGAGCTGTTTTTGATCGACAGCTGGTTATAATTTTTTAAACGAGTTTCTCCTACAGTAAAAATACTGTTGTATCCCAGAGGAATTGCAGAGCTAATCAATCACTCTTACATAACAAGTACTCACTGTGAAAATAATGTCCTCGACCGAACAATGAACTTGAACACATATTCCAAAGCCTTCAGCGTTCTTAGGATTGGCTCACATTGCTCCCCTCTGCTGGAGGTATCCAAGTAAGTCTTCAGCACTGTCATCAATTTCCTGAATAAGGGATAATATTTTCAAAATACATCTCTTTCATCATGGTAATTAGTTTGCTCAGTAAATTATAAGGCATTCAATCAAAGGTTAAAGGTGGTAGTAGAGCCAAGCTCACTTACTCATTTGTAAGCATAAAGATAACTCTGCATAAAAATTATATTTATTACAGGGAATTAATAAGTATTTCCTGCTCATAAAAAGCCAGCAAAGAAAAAGATAGGGAGGAAAAAAAAATCTTTTGACTAGGAGAACTAGTCACAATCAGGCTACAAGTGGGAATAATGGGGAATAATGGTGGCAATAATGTCTTTTTTTTCAACTTTTTCTTTCTATAGAACATGCTCTTGTAATATCACAGAACTCTAAGTTTGCTTAGGAACTTTCTATGTTTCTTCTTTACCATAGGGCAGACTTCAAATTACTTGGCCTGACTTTCAAGGCCCCTTCACAAACTGGTCCCCACCAAACTCCCTGTGGCATCATCTCCTATCTCTCACCCTCTCCCTACACCCAAACCAGACTGAGCTACTTGGCATGTGCACTTTCTTCTGTGTAGCTCCCCCGCTGTTTTTGTTTTGTTTTGTTTTGTTTTGTTTTTGAGATGAGTCTTACTGTCACCCAGGCTGGAGTGCAGTGGTGTGATCTCTGCACAATGCAATCTCCACCTCCAGGGTTCAAGTGATTCTCCTGCCTCAGCCTCCCGAGTAGCTGGGATTACAGGCTCCCACCACCATGCTCAGCTAATTTTTGTATTTTTAGTAGAGACAGGGTTTCACCATGTTGGCCAGGCTGGTCTCCAACTCCTGACCTCAGGTGATCCACCTATCTCAGCCTCCCAAAGTCCTGGGATTACAGGCGTGAGCCACCACACCTGGTCTTCTCTGTAGCCTTTAAGTCCTGGTGTCCACTCAAGAAATGAGAGCACGCTAGCTGAATGGATGAATGAGCACTTCCAGGTACCACTGCAACCATAAGGCATTCATCCAAACCTATGGGTATTCCACATTTTTAATGATATCCAAATAACCCAAGCATAGGTTAGATTTTGTTAGAGAATGGAGAGCTCACACAGATGAGTCACAAAAGAAAATTACTCAAGTTCCTGTGCCCTAGGCATCCTGGCAGGGCAAGAGGGTGGTAGAGAAGAAGTTCCCATGTGCACAATTACTTACTTGTAAGCCAAGGTCGCACTGAAATGCTGTTGGATGTAAGCCTCCAGAACGGTGTTGAAATGCTGAAATTTCCGGTCTGCAATGAGTCCTATTATGTAAATCTGAGGAAGATGCAAGGCAGCAGTATTTTCAGGGCAAACCCAGGGCAGGAAGCCATCTTTACCTGGCATAATTCAACCCCCATTAAAATCCTTTGCCCAGGAATTAGCTCACTAATACATAATGAGTTCTCTTTATTAAGGTAGCATCTTCCCAAAGAAAATGTTTCATGAAGTGTGCTGTGGGGTGTTATAAGATGAAAAGGATTTCATGGTCAAATAGGTTTTGAGAAATGTCAGGTTATCATTATTAGACTTTCTTATTGCAAAACTTTTTAGAATCTTTAATATACTTATGTACATTGTGAATCTCTAAAAGGGTCATGCAACATTCAACACTTCCCTAAATTAATTAATCAAAGTATATATTTGTCATGAAACATCTTTTCTGAGAGCTAGCATTCTAGGGTACTCTCTGGGGAAGCACTTGATTAAGCCACAGTTGTCTCTCAGTAACCTCTTTAAAAATGCAAATATCCATGACACAAGGGGTTAACACTTAAAAACTTTGTTGGGCACTGATTCCCTAATGCAGATGTTTCTTGTGTTTATTTTGACATAACACTGAGAAAATCTGAGTCGAGATAGGGAGAGGACAAAAAGACCATAGGGGAGGACTAAAAGAAGGAAGATCTGGATGGTACAGCATCATGAAAAGTTCTGGGTGGGTAGGAGAAATGTAATGATTAGTGAGTTGGAGGAAATGGGGAGAAGAAGGTGAAAGGAAAGCTAAGAAACATTTTTGGTGCTTTACAACCTAGCCAGGGACTAGCTCCCAACATTCATAGAAAGCAGAAGCAATCATTCACAATATCCAGCCTCATGTACCTTCAGCCAGTGTCAATCTGACATCAGCATTTAAAATTCCCCTTTCACCCACAATGCCTCATGCTTTCAAATGAACTGGCAAGAAGCAAAAGGAAATAGCAGCTCATTATTGGTCTTGTTGCCAAACATTACAACACCTCCAAAGAATTCATGAAAAAGGCCATGAGGGCCATGAGGGCCATGAGTTCTCAGTATTTTCACAGTAAGACATACATTAATGCCTGTTGTCACTAGACACTTTTCCCCTCTCTCTTACCAAGGCATCAAAGACGAGGATGTCATATTCATCACTTTGAGAATGCTCCATCATGATGTTGAAGAGGGCATCCAGAGTATCCTGGAGAAACTGGAAGAAATAACAAAGGTTGCACTACTTCAGAAACAAGACAAAGTACAGGTGAACCAGCAATCCCACTCCTAACTATCTATAAGAGAATGAGAGCACACATCCACCACATGTCATGCTCAAAACGTCTAGAGTAGTTTTACTCACGAGAGCCAGAAGTTGGAGGAACCCAACTGCCCATCAACAGCAGAATGGATGCACAGATGGTGGCATGTTCACACTAGAGAATACTACACAGCTGGACTAAAGTGCAAACTACTTCCACAGGCAGAAATGAGGATGATTCTCACAAGCATTATATGCAGTAAAATACATCAGGCACAGAAAGTACACTCTTCACTATTCCATTCTTATGAAATTTGAGAGTAGGCAAAAACCCATCTACAATGATGGTTGTCAGGACAGTGATTACCCCGGGGGACTACTGGCTGAGAAGGGGTATGAGGGAATCTACTATAATGCTAAAAGTGGTCTGTATCCTCTTCTGGGTGGTGAGTACACATGGTGTTTACGTGTGTAAAAATCCATTATGCTATACTCTTAAGATAACTGCTCTGTATCTATTTCATCATATGTATATCATATTTAAATAACAAACTTTTTTAAAAAAAAAAAAAGAAAAAAGAATGCAAGAGGAAGACAACAAAAGCCTCATCTCTTCCATGACTTCTCCAAGCTACCAAAAGGCTATAGACTTTATTAAAGTGGTGTCTTGGGGAGTTACTCTGCCATTGCTGAACGAGGTAGATGGGTCAGTGGTATACATTTACGGCATCTGGAAATTCTGCCACTGCTTCTCCAGGTAGAGGCAATTAAATAAAACTTGATTTTCCTCCCTCCTAAGGGATGGGTCAATATTTCCTATAATCCCTCAAAACACAGAGCTACCATATAAAGATGTTTAATCTCAGAATTTCTAGCTGTATCAAGGAAACAAGATCTCCAGGACCATTGGGAAACACTTGTCCCAATTCATAAGGCTGGAGAGAAGGGTTGCTTTAATTAGATTTGCACTTCAGACGCTTTCTATTCTCCACTACCATGTGGATGCAATAATACATCTGACATTTGCATTGTTTTCTGCTTATTTCACTTAAAATGTAAGCCCTGATGTCTTTCCCTTTCCCGTCTTTAATACATAATGCTCTCCAAGCAGCAGAAACCAAGAATACTTTTTATTTCTAACAATGATCTGTGGGTAGTACTAACAGATCATACTACTATATATATATGTATATATACATATGCACACATATATATGCTCACACACATACATACATATATATGCATATACATATATATCAACATATGACAACAAAAATAATAATTACCATTTATTGAACTTTGTTTTATATGCTTTGGTTTAATTGTTGTGTACTATGTGTAAGAGACTGTTGAGTAAGTTTTAAATATTATCACCTTGAATGCTCATAACAGCCCTGAGAACTATGTCACTTTTATATTATCACATAAAGTTGGCATGTGGGAGAGCTGGGATTTACACCCAGGCTCATCTATTTCCAGAGATTGAGCATAACCATTGTTTTCTGGCACCCAACATTCAGTGCCATTGAACCAAGTCACTCCCCTGGATTTCCCAATAAAGATTCCTCAAGGCAACTCGGGAGAGTGTATCCTACTGTTGGAAGAAAAGTTTCCCCATGTCCTTCAATACCTTGTTTTTCCCCTGAAGCCACCCACATGGAGAGTTCTGTCACTAGTGTAAGAATACAATCAAAATGAAGCCCCACTGACCTTCACCACTTCCTCTCCATCCACAATCTTCAACTTTTCTAAATTCTCCTGTAGCAGTTGAGGCTTCATACGCCACTTCAGCAAACCCAGCAAGCCCACTAAAATAGAGTCCAGACATTCAGAAGTATCATTACTGGCCTAACTGTCCATATCAGGACCTCCTTGGGTCTGCAAGCACATACACACATGTACACACACACGGACACACACACTCCCCACAGACACAACTCTTGATGACCCGATTACCATTCTGAGTGAGCTTTGTGGAGCACACCAGGGTGGAAATGGAGAACACATCCCGGGAGCTGACAGAAAGCCCCCCAACACTGCTGGAGCTCCTGCTCAGCGTGGCCCCCTTGTTTTCCACATGGTGTCGATAAGAAGGAAGGGTCAGGTATGCGCTGGCATCCTCCATCTTCTTGCTGTCCCCCTGGAAACAACACTTGGTTACTGCCCCAAGCCAAGGCTCCATGCCCAATGCCACACAGAGCCTGCAGCAGACAAATTAGACACTGTGAAGTGGGGAGAGTCATAAAGAGTGAAGAAAATCATCAGAGAAGCAATAGACATTGGCTGGTGAGGCAGGACTGTTTTTCCACAATACAGGTAAGAATTCAAAGACACATTAATAGAAAGGGGGTTGATCCACCAGGTGAAAGCTCTGTGAACCTCATTAATGGCAAAATAAAAACGGAATTGAAAATTCCCAGACAGTACATTTTAATTCATCCTTTTTTTGAGACCATAATATCTGCTCACCAGCAAAATAAGGACTCTAGCTTAAAGAGGAATTTAATGGCAAAGGCACTAAGTAAGAGTGTGCTGGGATCTGGACCCTGTTTTGCCATTCACAGGTCTATGCTATCTTGAATACACTATTTTGCCTCTTTGTGTCTCATTTTTTTTTTCATTAGTAAACTGAAGACAATCATCATCCCTACTTCCTAGAATACCTGAGCAGATAATATGGAATAATGCATATAGAATACATAGCAGAGTGATACACACATAAATGAGTGGCATGTTAAAATGAATGACTAGAGGTAGGCATTACAGAAGATAACATTTATCTTACTCCGCACCAGGAGTGAAACCAAGTGTTTTATATGTCTTGGTTCATTTCATTTAAGCCTCATAACAAACATATGAAGCAGACACTGTTATTATCCTCAGTCAAGGAAACTGGGACCTAATGGGGGTAAGTAAAAGAAAATTGACTGCAACTAGGCCTCTGACCCCAAGGAGTTCACATTCTGTCAGGGAAGAAGGGCTTTCAAGCCAAGAATTCTATGTGTGATAAATGAGAAAACAGAGGCTGTACAGAAGAAAGGGGGTTTTCTGGAAAAGTCAGAGAGACTCAGAGAAGAGTACAAGAGTACTATGAGATGAAGCCTTGACGAGGCTGTGTTTGCCATGCATCCCACAGGCAAAAGGGCAATTTCAGCCTACAAGGCTAAGAAAGCCAAGGGCAAGGGTGTGATCCATGTGCTGGCTACTCAACCTTGCTCCACCTCACAGCCATACACTTGCCTCCAGCCAGGTGCTAGTAGATGCATTCTGTTGTCATAAGAGGACATGTGGAAAAGCAGCAGGTAAAAACCAGACAAATGCTCCTCCATGTCTCAAAAACAGTCCAAGTCTCATAATGTAAAAATAAAAATAGTGGACATCTGCACTCCCTTTATAGTTTAGATGGCCATTTTTCATGGGTCATCCTAGTGGGTTGTCATAAATATTGCCACAACTGCTTAAGAAAAAAGAAACTGAGACTCAGGAAAATATGTGAGATGAGTCCAGGCTTAGTCAGCAGCAGGATCAGGACTGCAGGTTTTAATATTTTCCCATTAGCTACAATGCAGCATCTCTCAAATGTTTATTGTACATCCTCTACACATGCCACAGAGGTCCCTACAGAGTCAAGAGTATATAACAGTCATTAACAATAACCTTTCTGTAAATAACAATAACCTTTTCCATGTATTGAGTTCTTCCATGTACTCATCATTGCTATGTTTACATCCACTGTCTCATAATTTTCACAAATATTCACTGAGGGCACAAAGATGAGGAAACAGAGGCCCAGAGAAGTCAAGAGTTTATAAGAGGCCACAAAGTTGGTAAACTCTGGTGTGTGTGATTCTGGGGTCCCTGCTGTTGACCACTAAGCAATTTTGCCATCACCCCCTTTCTTCCTGCACTCCCCTCAGTGCAGAGCTCCTTCCAACTCATGGTACCTTGAGGACAACTAAGTCATGGAATCCATCGTGTAGAGTAGTCCCATCTTCTTTCATCAGCTTCACATAGGACATGGCAAAGTTCTTTTCTCCTTTATCTTTAGCTGGAAATAGCATTGTGGGGTCAGGAAAGAAAATGATACATGGGCCACCCAGCTCTTCCATTCTTCTCCCCTTAGGGGGAGGTGCAGAGATGCCATTCAGTATGGTACTCACATTCCAGAGATGACCGATGTCGAAACATGAATCGCAGATGGATCCTCTGCATGTCTTCAATAGGGACAGCCACCTCAGCAGACAGAAACAGAGCTCAGAACACAATGAGTTAAAGGGCCCTCCCCACTGCACCCCCCTACACACTTCCACAGCAGCCTGACCATTTAACTGAGAGAGCTGCCTGCTGATTTACAACCCATCCATTGAGGCTGATGAACTGTAAATAAATTACAGAAGAACTAGCTATGAAGAGAAAATAAAGTACCAAATGTAATCCATTTGGCAAATTGCATTCCCAGCCAATGAAAAGAGGTCTGTAAATTATAGTGAGGAAAAATGAGTCTCCCCAAATTGATATAAAAGTCACATAACTTTAGCACAGGATTTGATGCACTGCAAACTGCACAATGCACATTTTCCTTACACACTCCAGGAGTTCTGGCAATTGCAGCAGGGCTTAGCAAATTAACAATGGTTGTTAGGGGGTTTGCTTGAGGAATCTCATTTATGCAAATTAATAAAAATGCTTTAATCCAATAATATTTGGAAAAATCCTAGGGCTCATCTCACCCTTGATCAGACACATGTCCAGATGTTTTTGATTCCAAGGACACTGAGCTAAGACAACAACCCACTGGTCACCCAGGCATCCCTGTCCAGTGAATGACCCACTGGTACCACTGATTGTGATGCTTTCAGCCTGGCTCTGTGCTGCCCACCTCCCAAAGTCTCACAGCTCCTCTGCAATCTGAGATTCAGGCCAATGCGGAGAAGGTTAGCTACCTGAGAGAAGGACACTGATTTTAAAAAGGAATACATTTGTACTGTACAGATGCCTATTAAACGCCAAAACAAATGTATACTTGGGGGCACTTTCTGTTGCAGAAAATGAGGCTTGAGCCTGAGGAGGTCCACCATCCTGTCTATGTTTCAGGCAGAGCAAAGGAACTGAGGGTCTCATGGGTAACTGCAGCCAATTCATTCTTTCCCTGAGTGTTGAATGTTCACTAGAAGCTACAATCATGTGGGGTGCTGGCCATGCTGATACAAGGCAGAGTCCTCACACTCAAAGAGCTCATTGTTCCGTGTTACACATGGGGCAATGTGTAACAGCCCTGTGACAAGGGCTAGCAAGGAGATACAACTGAGGTGCAAGAGAGAACAGAGAAGGGAAACCTGACCTGGTACATTAACTTTCTGACCACAGAGTTGACCGGGTCATCAATTCGAAGGCATTGGGTATGGGGAGACACACTGAGCAAAGTAATAATATGTGTAATAAGTGGAGAACCGCTGGGGTTTGAATAGCTCTCACTGAAAAGGAAGTCAAGTGTGCATCTTGTGTTTGGAGTCAGAGCCCGGGGGGAATAAAGAATGCTGCTAATGATAAGGCAGAGATATCTGAAGCTATGATCAAGCTGCAGTGTTCACTGAATTAATTCCAAATCCTTATTCCAATGCAGGTTATTCCTTTCTGCTTAGTGTGACGATCTGGTAATGTAATATTTGTAGTTAATGTCACTTCTGTCAAGGAATTATTCCAAAAGGGCATCTTTCAGGCATTATACAGCCTGTGATAGGCTCACATTGGCTTGCAAGCTCTGTCACTCCTCATTGCTGAGTAGAATGGTGCAGCTTGATGAACTGGGCACCACCCACAAGAGGACTATTTGACAATTCCACTTTGGTTACATCCTGCACCAAGGAAGGGTGATCAAGGGAACCAGGGTGCTCACCCACCTGGCCTCCATTTCCACTGGCTGACAATACCACCAGACACATGCTAGGGGGTCATTTCAGATTCAGAGAGGTGCCTCCAAGGACCCTAAGCTCTTACAGATGGTGACTTCTGCTATAAACTAGAGCTAAAGAAGTTTTTCTGTCACTCTATGTCCCTCCAGTATGTTCATGACTGGCCTCAGAATTGAGTTAGATATTTCATGAAGAGAAACATAATATATTCTCATATGTTGTTCACAATCACATTGATCCATCAAGCCTCCCACCTGCTTTGGCTAAAACAAAGAATTTCTAAAATATGTTCAACAGAATCCTAGCCCCAGGATATGACACTAGGAAAAAGGAAAATGCTCGGTAGTCAACGAGTTTTGGGACGTGCTCTGCATTCTTATTTCCTTTTGCAGGTCTGCAGAGCACATTTACATCTCAAGGGCTCTAAGAACTTGACATAAGGAAGCCTTTAACTTCTATATTTGTTCTCAAGTTTCTCACATTTGACCAGGAAATGTTATTTTAATACATTTAACGTATGAATTTTTTTTTTTCTGAGAAGGAGTCTCGCACTGTCACCTAGGCTGGAGTGCAGTGGTGCAATCTCAGCTCACTGCAACCTCCGCCTCCCAGGTTCAAGTGATTGTCATGCCTCAGCCTCCTGAGTAGCTGGAACTATAGGCACATGACACCATGCACGACTCATTTATGTATGTATGTATGTATGTATTTATTTTTAGTAGAGACAGAGTTTCACCATGTTGCCCAGGCTGGTCTCGAGCTCGTGACCTCAGGTCATCCACCTGCCTCAGCCTCTCATAGTGCTGGGATTACAGGCATGAGCCACTGCACCTGGCCTAAAACGTTATTTTAATAAAACACCACTTAGTATTCCACAAAACATTTTGCGGGGAGATGCCATATGAGAAGGACCTGGAGGGAGACTGCAACAGATATCTGGAACAACTATACCTTCCCTCTGCCTTCTCCCCACAACTACACAGAGAGGCACAAAGCTGCCTGCCACTACCAATTAGACTGCCTGTAGAGGGGTGGTTAAAAAACAGGCAAGGGTCAAGTGTTTGAAGGGCATCTTGAAGGAATGCAAAATCTAGTTCAATTTTGCAGACTGAGATAACTGCCAAGTATAATCAAGAGTTGTATTAATTGAATAAGTACTCTCTTCCAAGGACTTGTCTGACAGTATTATGTGTATTAAGTCCTTTTACTTCCACAGTCAACCTATTGCTCCCATTTTACAGGTGAGGAAACCAGGGCACAGAGCAGGTGAATGACTTGCCCAAGGTCACACCATTGGTGAGCATTAGGGCTGGAATACGAACCCAGACTCTCTGGGCCTAGGGTCTATGCACAGAACTGCCTTGCTCAACTGCTCTCATTAAAAGGAAGAAGGCTGGGTGTGGTGGCTCATGCCCATAATCCCAGTACTTTGGGAGGCCAAGGTGGGCAGATCACTTGAGATCAGGAGTTTGAGACCAGCCTGGCCTACAAGGTGAAACCCCATTTCTACTAAAAACACAAAAATTAGCCTGGTGTGGTGGCACACGCTTGTAATCCCAACTACTCAGGGGGCTGAGACAGGAGAATCACTAGAACCTGGGAGACAGTGGTTGCAGTGAGCAGAGATGGTAAAACTACACTCCAGCCTGGGCAACAGAGTGAGACTCTGTCTCAAAAAAAAAAAAAAGAAGAATGCTAATTGTTCCAGTCAGTATTCTGCTCCCTCAGCTTGCGGGGATGAGCACAGACCCAGAGCCAGACTGCTCAGGTTTGAATCCCAGCTCTGATATTTCCTAGCAGCGTGGTCGTGGTCAGGCTACTTCCCTGTTCAGTGCCAGTTTCCTCAACTATAAAATGAAGGAAATATTAGTACAAACCTCACACGGCTGTTGTAAGCAATACATAAATTATTTAAATAAAGCACTTAAAACAGTGCCTGGTTCATGGTAAGAACTAGACATGTGTTTGCTGCTATTATTAATTATTACCTTGACTGTTTCCATCCAGCGTGGCTGTTTGACTTGATAGTACACAACGGAGCGATACTCATTCATGGGCTTGTCCCCTGCTCCCACGCAAATTGCATTCTGACCCAAGAAAAACAAAGTGAGGGAAAAGACTACAGAATTGTCATTTTCTGTGCTTGTGCAGGTTTGGTCCCTAGGCCACGACCAGCCTTAGGGCCTGGGCCAACCCTGCCTTCCCTAGCCCTCATGCCAGGTGCCCATAATGGCTCCTTCTCTATTACAGATTTACACAGGAGTGCCCCAGCCACAGGACTGACAGGCACTTAACTACAGAAATTCCATTACTTCCATTCTGGAAACCACTGGAGTGCACCAGGGCATTGATGTGGCTGCCTTACTGTAAGTGACAACCAGCCTTGGAGTTACTGCACACTGCCAGTCTTATTAATCCTATTTGTTTCCTAAATGTGAATGTGCAGAAAGTTTACTAACAGGCTCAGATCAGCCAAGCAGCAACTCTTTGCGATGAATTTCTACAGCTAACACGTCAGGGCGGTGGGCAGTGCTGGACAAAAGGAGAGAGCACAGGCTTCAGAGAGACACATGAGCACCTGCCTTAAAGAACAAGTCTGGGGTGAGGGGGTTCCGGGGAGGAGGCTCAGTTCAGGTCACAATAATGGAAACATCTTCTTGGTACTCCATGCTGTGCACTGGGGTATAGGAATGGGTCAGACATTGAACCTGACGTGAGCTCACAGTTTTGTGCAGGAAACATTAGGGAACACGTCATGACAGCAAGGCAACGTGATGACAGACATGTGTACACACTACTGTTGGGCACAGAGGAAGGACACAAGGACAGGTGAGGAATCAGGGAAGATTTGTTGGAGGCAATGACAGTTGAGAATCTTGAAGAAAGTTTCCAAGTTGGCACACAGCAGAAATGTGGGAGGGGCTTTCTGAGCAGAGAGTGAGCACAGAGCACACATGTCCAAGTGGGACATTTATTCCTTGCCATAAAAATCACCCTCAGAGGTTCAGAAAGGAGCTGACTCACAAGGAATGACCTCCTGGTCACATACAACAATGCCTACTTCTATGGTCATTCCAGCCGTTTGGCCCCCAAACAAGATCCAAGCTAGGATTACCCAGAAGGGGCCCGAAGTGTGGTTTTTATATTAGGCCAAACAATTTTCAATCCTCAAATTGCCAGATTCATAAGATTTGGTTTTGGAGCCCCAGCCCCTGAAATTGCAAACTGTGTGCCTCTCGGCATGTTGATGGTGAGCGAGTCATGCCTCTCATGAGATTCAATCAGATTCTCCCGTGGGTCCTTGACCTTCAGCAGGCTGAATCACCAAAGCTGGCCACATACAGGCACTCCGTGAGCCCTGGCCAACCATGCTAACCTGGGGAAAGGAAGACTCGCCCTTCACACTGGAAATCTCCCCTTGTGCTTCCGAGGTATGGAAAAGGAATGAGCTCAGTTTCAATATTGACTGACAGTACTTGCAGCCAAATCGATCCATTTGAAAACAGAATACACAGCAGTCCTTTCAGAATGTATCTTTAAAAGAAAAACAAGTGTAACCAATGAACCAGAACTGAGTGAAGACACACAGCTCTCCTTGTTTTTCCATGGGATGAAGCCTTCCAGAACTTCCCGAGGCACTGAGCTAAAAACATGCTTCCAAAGTCTTTCTAACCATTTAGAGTGGGCTTTGTGTCCAGCATCACACTAAGCCCTGCACACACACCACCTCGCTTAATTCAGTCCTCATAGCCACCTCTGATGCTTACTGTCAGCATCCCCATTTCACAGCTGGGTGACCTGAGTCCCTGAGAGATTAAACCACTTGCCCAAAAAGTGGCAAAGCCAGGACAACATCACAGACCCTCTAAATACTCATCCAGTGTTCCTTCTATAAGAACCTAGATGCCTTCCAGCCTACAAAGATTTATATCTGTTGACATTTATGGGCTTAGAGTTTCTGTAGTTACAGTAAATCCCATGTAGCTTACCAAATCAGAAACTACACATATATCTCTGGTGAAAGTAAAACTGCCGCATGGCAGGCAACTGGATCTCACAAAACTGTACTGATGATGAAAATTTTTGATTTCCTAAGGCTGGAGAAAAAAGTCTCAGTACCAGTCAGAGAAAAGCCAAAGATAGTGCCATAGGCCTCAGCACTTCAGAGAAATAACAGTGTTGGGAAGTGCACTGAGAGAGCATTGTGACCAGGGACTGAGCCCAGTTCTAGGGAAAATATACACTGGTATATATCTCAAATAACACTGTTCCATAATTTTCTACATTGCCTATCCCCATGGCCCCCAATTAACAGTGAGAGCCCCTCATAGGTGTGGGAGACTTCAGGTCAGTTGAAGAAAATCTGAGTATGGATCAGGAAGCCTGGAGGCTTTCATGTTGGCTTGGCCTTAGAAGAAACATCTCTGCAGGAAGAAAAACCAGGCTCCTAACACATGTCCTGTTTACTTGGTAGGAATCAGGTGAGAAAGAGATGACACCAGGGATGTGAACACACTTTAGGAAAGACAGTGTTCTCCTCTCACAAGACCACATCATGGGATGTCGATTAGCATGCCTAAGGTAGGAATCAGGCTGGGAGCTCAGTATACCCTTCTAATAATAATAGCTAAATTTAATGCACACCTATTATGTAGATTACCTCATCTGATATTCACAAGAGCAAAGTGCCATTGCTGGTCCTATTTTCAGACAGAGACTCTCAGGCTTAGAGAGGTTATGTAACTGCCTCAACATCCTCTTACTAATTCAGGCAGAGCTGGGCTTTGCACCTGGCTGTCTGGCCCCAGGGGTCATGGTCTTAACCACTATCCCATACTTCCCCTATCCCCTGCCTCCACCGCCTCAAGTTGGGTGGTCTCAGAAAAACAGAGGTTTCTTGGCCCAGCATCTAAGCCTTTCTCTTTCACCAGAATTTGCTTCTGGCTGGATTGCCTGTTTGACTCCCTCAGGTCCCTCAGAGGGCTTCACCCTGCACTTGGTCCTCTTCTCTGAATGTGACCCTCCTTCCTGTTGCTGGGTACTTACTGCAATACCAGGTGCCTTATACCTATGGCGTGTTTTGTCTGTTTGTTGAGAAAGGGTCTCACTTTGTCGGCCAGGCTGGAGTGGCTGGGGTGCGATCTCAGCTCACTGCAACCTCTGCCTCCAGGGTTCAAGCAATTCTCGTGCCTCAGCCTCCTGAGTAGCTGGGATTACAGGTGCTTGCCACCACACTCAGCTAATTTTTGTATTTTCAGTAAAGACAAGGTTTCACCTTCTTGGCCAGGCTGGTCTCAAACTCCTGACCTCAAGTGATCTGCCCCCCTTGGCCTCCCAAAGTGCTGGGATTACAGGTGTGAGCCGCTGTGCCCAGCAGCATGTTTATTTTTAAAATTTTTTAATTTTAAAATTTTTAATTTTTGTGGGCACATAGTGTGTGCATACACATACACACACACACACACACACACACACACACACACACACACACACACATATATATGGAGTAAATGAGATGTTTTGATAGAGGCATACAATGCATAAAAATCACATCATGGAAGATGGGGATCCATGTCCTCAAGCATTTATCCTTTGTGTTATAAACAATCCAATCATACTCTTTTAGTTGTTTTAATACCTACTCTTTTGTTTAACCTGCAACCCCACGAGAAGAGGTTATTATTTCTTTTTACACATGAATAAACTTGCCTAAGATCACACAGCTAATATGAGGGGAGGCTGGAATTTGAACCCTGTCTGCCTGACCCCAGAGCCCACCCCATTAGCTTCTCTGCTATGACCCCTCCTGAGCAAGGCCCTTGACACCCCAAGGTGAGCCATGAGCAGGCCTAACCTCCTCTGCCCTCTGGTCCTGCTCTGCCAAAGACAGTGTGCATGCACCTAGAGCAGGAGGAGAAATCAATATTTCTAAAGGGGACCATTTCCACAGGAGCCCACCAATATCAAACAGAAGTGTTTGAATGTACTGACTGACACTTAATTAGGCAGTAATATTTATTTCTACAAATAGAGAAAGAAAAGCCTCCCACAGGCTTCCTAAGCAATTTTCAATAGTCAGTCAACTGAACTCCCCCAGAATTTCCCTAATAGAGGAAACCACAAATCATCACCATGCCCCACAGTTCCCTTTCCATGTCAGCCCCCAGAATACCTGCTTACCTACTCATCTTGGATAAGTGCATCTGCTCAGCCTGCTCGGTAGTGACTTGAAAGGGTGACAAAAGTGGAAGAAAGAGTGGCTCAGACAGGAGATAAGATGGCTGCTTGCCTGTTAACTGTGTCTTTTAATTTGTCCTTTGGCAACATGGAAGGTAAGCGTATCAATGTTTCAAAAATGAAGCTGAGGTTAAAAAGTTCTCTACCAGGGAAGTTGGATAAAAGTAACTTCAAAGCAATGGTCTCTACATTTGGGAATTGCAATTTCCCTTTCAGATAAAAACCCTCCGCTCCTTTATGTTCCTTTGAGTCAAGTATTTCTCACTTATTTTATTTTTTGGAAAAAGTTTCAGACTGCAACAAAAGGAGGATGCGTTCAATGCTTAGATTTTGTTCAAATAGATACTAATTAACATGACCAGTCTTTATGAACAAAAAGGCAATTGTGAGGATTTCTTTACATTTAAAAAACGATTATGAATCTTCCCAAATTTGCCAGCAGTGGTTATTAGCCTCATTTTTTAAAATGAGAAATAAATTGGAGAATTTTGCTACATGTACGGGCATTGTAGTGAAGTGTCTCAGAGGGCCTGGAACCAGTCAAACCCCATCTCTGACATATGCTAACATTATGGCTTTGGGCGAGTTACTGTAAGTGACACGGGTTTTGTTTCCCTATCTGTAAAATGGGGCATAATAAAGGAAATGTGTCATACTATCACACAGCCTGACACATGGTAATTCCCCTGTGAATGTTAGTTATTCTTGGGTACAAAGTATCAGTCTGATCTCCAGGCCCCAAGGACAAAAATGATGCCTCTTCCATCTTCACATCCCCTCTCTGATGAACACACCCGCCCTGCTTGGCTATTTGATCACTCACAGTGGCCTAAGAGGAATATTCGCCCATGCTAAAATTTCTCCTGAGAGCTGATTTTCTTTTCAGCTAACTACTCTGTCAGGAGGAACTGAGAAACAAAACCCTCCTACACACTGGACACAGCACTGACAACCTTAAAGAAAATACAAGCAAATAAATATAAACACACATGACAAATATTGGACAGGACATATGCTGTATAAATATAGCAATGCGCTTTGCATTCCTGAATACACCCTGCTAGCTCTCTGGAGACCAATTTACGAATAAGGCTTTCCACCAGCATTTCTGGCTGAGCGCTGGGGAGTTAGATTAAGTGTTGAGAATGCCTGCTTTAAGCACATCCTGAGCCTCCACACCAGCCCAAGGCACTGTATTGATCCTCTTTCTTACCATGGACTTTGCCTGAATAAACCAGCTCAGGTTTCAGTGAGAACATTTTAACTGCAGAAAGCTAACCTATAAGCTGAGACCAAGCAAAAGTAAATAAATAAATAAATACATACATACATACATACATACATACAAGAAGAAGTTGTGAAAGGAAAGGAACAGACATTGAAAAACTGCTTTGGTGTAAGGAAATATCACAAGGTCTTATTATGGAACACTGCACTAACCAAGCTCAAAAGGTGTTGAACACATTATTCAACACCATCCCAAAGGCACCTGGCATTTAGACAACAGAATCAGGGAGAGGAAAAGTACGTCTTTACAAGCAGAGGCCCCCAAGGCGGACCCTGTCACCCAGAGCAGCAGTGAGTCCCTTACAGGCAGCGTTTTGCCATCCTCCGCGCACACACACATGATGACTTCCACATTCCTCTGTGTGGTCTTGTTGTACTTGTCAAAGTCACCTTGTAAGAGAGTAATGTAGATGTCGTTCCTGACATCCCCTGAGGCAGAGGGAGAGAGAGACAAGAGTTAGTGTGGATTACAGCAGGAGAGACGCTGACTAACTAGAGGGGATGGAGGGTGAGAAGAAGCTCTCCCACCTGGATTGGTATTAATTAAAATCAGAATTGCTTAGAGAAAGCATTTTTCCCTCATCAGGGAGGCTGGAGAAGTAGGTAACACGGGGATGAAGGGATGCTAGGAAATCAGTTGCAAAAAGGGAAGTAGGGACACTCAAAATTGGCCATGTTTTTCTCGACATTAAAAGTCATTTAATTTTCATCCTCTAGTGACACCTTCTGGGAAGGCAAAGGAAAGCTCCAATTGAATTGATCCTGTCCCATGAAAACAACCAAACATATACATCTGCCGATATTTCACTGTGTAGGAGCAGAATAGAGCAACTTTCCATGTGTCCTAGGGACACAGGGTTAGGAGGGAGCTGCAGAGGATCTTCAGGAAGGGAGGTAAGAAAAATAGAAAATCTGCCAGACACAGGTAGCTCATGCCTGTAATCCCAGCACTTTGGGAGGCCAAAGCGGGCAGATCGCCTGAGCTCAGGAGTTCAAAACCAGCCTGGGAAACATGGCAAAACCCTGTCTGTATCAAAAAATACAAAAAAATTAGCCGAGTGTGGTGGCACATGCCTGTGGTCCCAACTGCTCAGGAGGCTGAGGTAGGAGGATTGCTTGAGCCTGGGAGGCAGAGGCTGCAGTGAGCTGAGGTCAAACCACTGTACTCTGCACTCCAGCCTAAGTAACAGAGCTAAACCCCATCTCAAAAAAACAAAAAGAAAAAAAAAAAGGAATAGAAAATCCTACAAGGGGTTACACAAGTAACTGAAGTCTCAGGTAAAGCATGGACAAATAAATGACAGCACAGGCCCTAGGAGACAACCGCCAGACAAATGTGGAAAGAAACAGCCAGTCAGTGAGAGCCATCGTGAACGGAAGTCCAAGACACAGGTTTAAGACACAAAGAGAAGTTTCAAAAGAGTATTACCATTGTCAAAAGACAAAATTACAACAAATTTAGTTTGAAGACCTCACTTGGCTCTATTGCAATTCTAGAATCGGGCAATGCTTCATTCCATAAAATAGAATCAGTATTCCAAAGAGCTGAGCAGAAGAGGTTGGCTTTATAGACAGAGAAGGCCTGAAGGAAGTAGAAGCAAGACAGAGTGAATTGGTTATTTCAAAGTTATAGCCCTCATAAGGCTGAAACAGGGAAACAGAAAAATAGAAAAGTGACTGATTGTTAACATCAGGTTACTTCAGGAACTTCATTATCATGCCCATTGAAAATTGAAAATGGCCTGTCTGGAAAATAGGCTGTTTCTCTTTCTTTCTTTCTTTCTTTCTCTCCTTCTTTTTCTTGTCTTTTCTTTCGTTCCTTCCTTTCTTTCTCTCTCTCTCTCTCTCCCTGCCCCCGCCCGCCGCCCTCTCTCCCCTCTCCGAATTTCTTGCAAGATCAGATAACAGTTTAGTTTAGGTTTGATGACATGACCCTTTAGCATAGCTGACTCCATTTTGATTTTCAGTCTGGTTTGTTGGGGGCTGGTGCAGGAACTTAGTCCAAAACAATGCC